>NC_000002.12:87498377-87803761 GCF_000001405.40 Homo sapiens
TTTCACAGTCAAATGTGAGTTGACCAGCCGTCATTTGTGAGCTGTGAGCGGTATTTTTGGAACTTGCCCACCCCCGTTCCCCCAGAGTCCTGTGGAGGTCATGCTCATGGGTTCTGCCACCGGGACAGGAAAGTTTGGACATTACTACCAAAAAAATGCAACGTGACTAAGCACCGTTTAAAATAGCCTTTCTTATTCTCTTGTAAAATTGCAGGGATTTCCATGACAGATGTCGTTTTAGTCATTTTAAAACTTCAGCGCGCTGAACCTCATCAGCATATTTTTATTTTTGACATTTCATATTTTAGAGTGGATTGAAAACTAATTTGATCCATTTCAATTTGGAACATCCCTCAAGGTCATTTTACCAGCATTTAGGCCAGTGTTGATCTTGCTTTCATTTTAAACATAGTTATTTTCTCTCTGTGAAGTGATTACTCCTTGCTTGGTGTGTGGTCTGGTGACTTGTTAATTTCAAAATTCTACGATGCAAGCGGGTTTGGACGTGGAGCCTGGCCCGGTGTGGCCAGGCTGTGGCTTTGCCCATCGCAACGGCTGCCTTTGCCTCAAATGGCTCGAGGCTGGCACCTGGTCAATATTTGCTTTTGTCCAAAAGAAGGAAACAGTAGGGGACTTGGGTGGTGTAATTTTAGAACTTTACTGTTGGGTTGTTGGCTTGAAAGATCCATTCTCTTCTATAAATACAGATACATATTTACTCCTCCAACCTTTCCCTCCACACAATTAAGAAACCCTACAATTAATTATGCCAAATCAAGATTTGCTTTTCTACATGATTTTTTCCCTTTTCCCTAGGAAGTCTGTAATGAATTTTCTTCTTTATTGTAATATTTTATGTTTTTATATACACTTGTATATTCTTATAGCACATATATGTATATATGCAAACTTTCTGAGGCTTCTAAAAAAGAGAAATAATATTGGTTGATTAACCTCAATTTCTTTTCAATATCAAATGTGTAACAATAACCCCAAAAGGAGAGGTTTCAGAAATTAAAACAAGTTGACATTTGCCCACTTCTGAATTAAAATGCAGCATTTGACTTTTGTACTGTTTTGGCTGTCAAGCCTTAGTTTTTTCACACTATCAGGTATTTTCAGATCAAAGGTAAATATGATTTAGAATTATATTTCAAATTAGAACTGTCATATGCCCACACATACATTTTGCTGATATACTTACAAACTGGTAAACAATGCTCTTTAATCAACAATTCATAATCTGGGTCAGCGATTTTTATCTCCATATTTGCTCATACTGTATGACATCAATATTTTATATTGGCTTGCCCATAACTTAATATTTTATAAAAGCCTACCTATGAAATTCATATTTCATATTTGCTTGGCTATGAAATTAATTTTTGTGATGCTGCAGTTCACCTTGTAGCATACAAATTGAGAAAATTAGCAAGCTGCATGTAGTTCCTTGCTGTACAAAAACAAATGACACATGGTGTCTTTATCACTTGTTTTGTATTTACAGATAAATTTTAAAAATAAAACTTGCCATTTCTGTTAACGTGGAAAACTCCCCACCCCACTCCCATTCTTGTTGACTCTTTTTTATTTTTAAACAACAAATACATAATCAACTTCAGTCATCTCATTTTCAGGGGAGTTACTCATTGTATTTTCTACTTACAGTCACCGGGGCTGATGTTGGGATCTGTGATCAGTTTCCTGTTGTTACGCATAGCTTTTCTCAGCGGTGAGAGAGACATCATGTACAGAGTACACACGGAGGGTTGAGATAGCAGCCTGGTTTATCTTACTTCTGATATGACTTTTAAAATATTGATTTTAAAAGTGTGTCTTTGAGTGTACCAAAATAGTATGTCCCTGATGCTTCTCGCTGGATGCAATCCCTGCGCAAATGCTTTCTATGCAATTAGATTTTGGGGCTCAGCTTCCATTTTTTAAATCTGTGAAAGCATTGATCATGCCAGCGGCCCTGGAGAGGGCCACTCTGTTTTAGTGCCATTTACATGTATCAGGACAGGACAGAAAAGGGACAGCATATTACAAACAAAATAAAACTATAATCTTGTTCAATCCTTGTCATGCTGAGGATGTTTGTAAATATAAAAAAAATTGTATGGATTCCACTTACATGAGATAACTGGAGGGGTTAGATTCATAGAGAAAGAAATTAGAGCAGTGGTTACTAGTGGCTGGAGGCAAGGGGGGGAATGAGGAGTTATTGTTTAATGGGGACAGAGTTTCTGTCTGGGAAGATGAAAAAGCTCTGGAGATGGATGGTGGTGATAGCTACACCACAGTGAGTGTACTTAATACCACTGAAGAGTACACTTAAAAAATGGTTAAAATAGTAAATTTTATGCTATGCCTATTTTAGCACAATAAAATAATACACATTCATGGAAACAGGGCATTTAAATCATTATGCATAATAAAGTGAGAAGCTAGTTGTGATTTGCAAAGAATTATAGAAATTATAGGGAGAAACACAATCTCAAGAGCCACCCTGGAGTCCAGAGCTCTCGTTTTACAGATTCAGGAGTGGAGGCTCAAAGAATATATGCTTTCTTAATGACTGGAACCCAGACGGCAGGACCCCCACACAGGGCTCCTTGCTGACCCTTTGCTGCCTTCCCCCCTCCCTTAGAGGGGCCATTCTTTATTCTGAGTAAACGTGCCACTGATTAGATGGGCTTCATGATAAAGACCTGCAGTAAGGACGTTTTAATCCTTTAATCTAGACGGTTCACGAGTTCCACTGGTGTGTCTCTGGGGGCAGGCTCCCAGATCACAGACTGGTTCCACCGTGCCCCGTGACCTCAGCGTGCCATTAGATGGGAGGCCGTTATTTCAGGGGAAAAATCATGTTTGAAACTAAGTGGGTCCCCGGCAGTTTGCAGCAACACTGGCTGCTCAAAAGGACAGCACGAGGCTTTTCACAGCATGTAGATGCCATGGCTTTATGAGAGCTTTGAGCTTGGGAGGGTCTACTTGTGCTTTTGCAACCTTAGTTTAGATTTCATTTGCATCTACTATTTGTAAGTGCACCATTTTTCTACGGGAAGTATGTATGTGAGAATTATCTACATGATTTTTGTAGGTGGCTCACAAAACAAATGTCAGTAGCCATTCTATGGCCTTGGAGTATCATTTCCCACACCTTTTCTATGGACTGTCTTTATTTTTGACTCTAATACGTATCCCTTATCATACAAAAAGTTCTTGAGCATATTTGATATATTTTAAAACTTCCACCCCAGTGGAATTAACACTAATTATATTTAATTCCACACAAACTTTTGTCCCAGTTGTAGACCATTTACCTACTTCCTGACAGCAAACACTACACCGCTGTGAAATTTTATTTTAACACATTTGTGCCCATTTTCAGCATTAATAATCGTGTGTGGAAGTGGCAGCAAAATGAAGATATCGCCTGAGCATGGAACCACAAATGCCTGAACGTGTGATGGCATTTGTGAAACAAAAGCATGACATACTTTTTCTTTCCAAATGAGGCAGTGCCACAACTAAAAAAGCCAGTTCGCCTTTCGCTTTCTAAAATCATCTTGCTGGAGAGAACGGTTATCAAATCCCATCCACTGCCCATGTAAAATAAATACCATTCAGAAAAGCGTGGCATGGATGGCCATACTTCTGATGGGTTTATAACTGTAGATTGCATACGATCCCAACGTGAAGCCTGAAATACGACATTCAACGTCAGGCTTATTCCAGGCTACTGCTGTGGCTACTTTTGTAATTCAACCAGTGGGGCGTTTTAGGCTAACGTATATTGCCTCTAAGCTGATAAGCATTTTCCTGATCCCAGGCCCCTTCTAAAATTGAACACACACGTTCAGCTGGGGACACCTAGATGGAAGGAAGGGAAAGAGGAGAACCCGAAGTGAAGGAAAAGTCACCAAGAACAGTTTCATGGAAAAAAAAAAAAAAACTCTCAAGAATTAAGAATGTTGAGTTGCTTGAATGGAGCTTGGGCAGGAAAAAGACCATAACTCTCACACACGTGAAGGTTACTGATACCCAGGAGGTAAAAGAAGTATTTAACATGCTCTAAAGAAGGGTAACCAGAGTAATGGGGCGAAACCAAGGGAGGACGTCCTGGAATGTAATATTAGAAATAAACTTCCAAACAGGGAAGTGTCCATCCGAGTGTGAAATGGGTTTATCAGAAACAAGCTGCATGCCAGTTTCATTGACATTGCAAAGAAGGTTAGAATAAAAAGCTAATGAACAGAAAGAAGAAAGAGGCAAACAGGGTGTGTGTTGAGAGTGGTGGAATATGAAGGATGGTGCATTTGTCCAGGCTGGGGCTGCTGGCCTGAGGAATGGTGGTGGAGTTTTTTTACAGAGCATCTTCTGAGCACCAGGAGAGTCCCGGAAGCTGAGTTTGACACTAGCAAGACCTGCCCTGAATTGGGGACTGCTGGATGCCTGGAAGCTCCCCTACACTTACGTTCCTGAAGTTGGGCTTTTTATCACCTTAGGACTATGGCTTCCCAAACTTGGCAGTCAGCGTCCCGGCAAAAGCCTCTCTATTACTGCGAGGTAGTGTTTATGGAGTCACAGCTAAGAATTACAGAAAAAATCATAATAGGTGAATCTTTTTTTTTTAAAAAAAACAACATTTTTTGACTTTGCAAATAAATTGCAGAATTATCACCATTGTTGAAATATTTTCCATTAAAACTAGAGTTTATTAAAAGTGCCTGGAAGGATGCCCCCTGCTGCCTCCCTGAGTCATCGCTTTGGATTTGTTCTTCAGAGGCAGAGATTTATTTCCATAGCAGGGGTTTTCAGTTTTGTGCTTACAGTCCCGCAGTAAGTCTTACTGGCTTCATCTTCTGACCTGCTTTTAAAACAGTCCTCCACCGTGCTAGGTACACAAAGGGATACTTTTTGGGTTTTTTTGAGACAGAGTCTCGCTCTGTCACCCGGGCTGGAGTGCAGTGGTGTGATCTCAGCTCACTGCAACTTCTGCCTCCCAGGTTCAAACAATTCTAGTGCCTCAGTCTCCCGAGTAGCTAGGACTACAGGTACGCATCACCACACCTGAATAATTTTTTTTTTTTGTATTTTTGGTAGAAACAGGGTTTTGCCATGTTGGCCAGACTGGTCTCAAACTCCTGACCTCAGGTGATCTGCCTGTCTCGGCCTCCCAGAGTGCTGGGATTATAGGCGTGAACCACTGTGCTGGGCCCAAAGTGAAACTATTATAACAAGGTAAGAGCAACTTTTCCCAGAGTTAAAGGATGGTGCTCCATGGAATAGTGAAAGTCTGGGACCAAAGCACCTTTTCCCTTTAATTTCTCCAATTGCTTTTAAAATATTCTATGCAATAAGCATCTGAGTCCAAAGGGAGGCTGTGTCTTCCTCTAGGGTCTCTCTGAATGAGGTCAGTTTCTATGTTAACTTTTACGCTTCCTTTTTTGTCTCATCCCAAACCATTTCTCCTCTTGTCATCCTCTTTTTCCTCCTCCTTTTCCTTCTTATTTCTCCTGTTGCCTTTTTTCTACCTTTTTATTTTTTGCCAATATACATAAAATTGCTTGTTAAAAAAAGATCAAAGACAGCATTTTTATATTTTTTTCTTAAAAAACAATATGAAGGGCTGGGCACGGTGGCTCATGCCTGTAATCCCAGCACTTTGGGAGGCCAAGGTGGGCGGATCATGAGCTCAGGGGTTCAAGACCAGCCTGGCCAACGTAGTGAAACCCCGTCTCTACTAAAAACAAAAAAATTAGCTGGGCATGGTGGCGCACACCTGTAGTCCCAGCTACTCGGGAGGCTGAGGCAGGAGAATTGCTTGAACCTGGGAGGCAGAGGTTGCAGTGAGCTGAGATCGCTCCACTGCACTCCGGTTTGGGCAACAGAGCGAGACTTTGTCTCAAAAAAAAAAAAAAAGAAGTTAAACCATGAAACCACCCATAATATATTAGTCTTCAGAAAGAAAAGAAAACCAAGGTAAGATGCAAATAACAGAAGTACAACTTTTATTTTTCTAATTGTGGAGTGACTCCAAGAGGATTCTGCTCCCACCAGGTGGGCGATAGGCGTCCTGTTGGTGGCGTGTAAAGGAATGGAAAGCTACCACGACCTGGGGGGTCCAAGAGGGGCTGCTGCAGGTAGCCTACCCCCCCAGCCTTCCCCATGACCACAGCCACCCACTCCCTCAAAGTGGGACTTCAGGCCAAGCAGGGGAAGATCTCAGGCGAGGAGAAACAGTCCATCCGAGAGCTCCCTGGGAGAATCTTGTAGACTACACGCTAATGAGATAGGCCTGTCGCCAAAGGTCACCTCCGCACTGTCTTGGCCACAAATGAGGCCTGAAATCCTGCTATTAGAGTTGCACACACACAGGAGCCTCCTCTGGGAGTTCTGTTAACCACTGGTCTGGGAGAAGAGACGGCACAGATGGCCTCCCCAGTCTTTCCAGGGCAGAGCGGTGGGGGCGGGAAGGAAAGGAAGTGCCGAGTAGTTCAGGAGAGGGGGTGGGCATGGGGTTGGGGGGCAGCCTGGGGACACTATGGCCCCATCCTAGCCTGGTGGGAGCTAGAGGAACAGGGAAAGTAAGTCTAAAGTAAGCTAGACTCAGGAAAGGGAAAGAAAACTCTGCGTGTCTTTTTTTCTTTCCTTCTTTTCCTGACACACATAGTCTTGTGCTCTCTCTGGGCTGGTTCCACTAGTGCAGCGATGCTATGGGGGAGGGGCCCAGGGCCCTGATAACAGGTGGGCGTGTGTCAAATAGCAACTCAACCAATGAATGAATGAATCTGCCTCTCCTACCTCTCCGGACAGTTTTGAAGTTTAGGTGAAACCATGTGTACAAAAGCTCCTGTGAACTGGGAGACACTTTGCAATCCCAAAGTGGTTAATAATAAAAATAGTAATACTTTTAAAAAATCATAACAAATAATAATAATGCTATTGGAACCATCAATCTAATACACTTTTTTTCTGTGAGAGACTTATTGGATTCTTTCCTTGGCATGAAAGCCCTGCTTCTCCCAACACAGGCAGGCTCCCTCTGGCACAGGGTGATTGCATCATAGACCTGACCCAACGTGACAGAGAAGCGGTTCTTTCTGAGTTACCAATGGCCATCCATCTTTCAGCAGGCGTGCCTTCCCATTTTCCTTGCTCTGCCCATGAGAATTTTCAGCAGAACCTTGGATTAGGTGTGCCAGACATGTTCTACTCTTGATTGTGAAGATTATACACACTCTCACCTTCTGAGATAAATGTTATTAAATTGGATAAACAACCTTGTGTAGTTTTGCTTTTCTGTTTTATCTCAAGATCCTGCTGACATGGCTAACAGGGCAACTGTGAAAAGATTTTTATTCGTGTCTACATCAGTGTGAAAGGCTTCATCCTGGTGTGTACTAATCACTCAGACAGTGGTATGAATAAATGAAGGAATGCATTGACAAACTAATACACAAGGTGATTCCGGAAAGGCGCACCTCCTGGGATAAATACGGTGACAGTGGTGAGTCTGCTCTAGGTCTACGAAGTTCTTGCTCTTAGTAGAGATCCAGACACCCAATGTTGAAGACAGTTCCTCTTTGCTTTAGAAAGCTTTGTGTGCAAGAGATGGCAAACTACTTCTTAAAAAACAGAGAGTCCCGTAAACATATGCCAAGGTCCACGGTGCTCCAGGCAGGGTGCTTGGTGCCAGAGAGACAGAGTGAACTGAGCTGGCCATGGCATCTGTCCTGGAGAAGTCACACTCCAATCAGGAAGGCAGGAATGTGGGCCAGACCTACAGCCTCTGGGGAAGGGTGTCCATAAGCTGTGAGGTGGTGGCTACTGACTCCAATGGCAGAGAAGGTGTGGTAAAAAGGCAAGGACATCTGCAATCCTTCTCTAACTCTTGACTTATTGTTATCTGCAGCAGGTTAACCACCCCTCTGTTAACTTCCTTCTCTCTAATGAGGATATTAAGAGTAGTTGCCTCAGAAGGTTGAGCAAATTTGGTAATTTACACAATGTGTAGTTGTCCCTTGGTATCCATGGGGAATTGATTCTAGGATCTCCTATGGATATCAAACTCCAAGGATGCTCAAGTCTCTGATACAAACTGGCATAATATTTGCCTGTAACCTACACAGATCCTCTTGTGTACTTTAAATAATCTCTAGATTACTTATAATATCTAATGCAACATAAATACTATGTAAACACTTGTTATGATATTTTTATTGGCATTATTTTTATTGTTTTATTATTTTTAAATATTTCAATCCATAGTGGGTTGAATCCAGTAATGTGGAACCCACAGATATAGAGGCCAAGATACCTCAATGATTGGCAGTTCCAGCATTGCCCATCTCCCTGTACCAATCTGTGCCAACCTCGGAACTGTGGTTGAGTCCCAAGCTAGGGGGTCGGTTCACACCATCCATCCCACCACTGCAGCAGATGCTCACCCAGCGTCAACTCTGAACCAAACACCATTCTGGGCAGGGGCGAAGGTGAGAAGCACAGACCTTGGCCCTGCTCTCCCCTCCTCAGGAGCCCAGCAGAGCCAGTCCCCACAGGTGGGACTCCACTACCCAAGGGAAGCCTGAGGCATGAGGCCTGTGTGTTGCTCAGTGACCGGGTCCATCCTCCCAGTGCCAGAGAAAAGGAGGTGCCCCTCAAACCACAAAGTAACCCTTGGACTTCTCTTTAGCTGGGGTGGTGGCTGCTGGAGAGGGCCCTGCTTGCTCATCTCTGCCAGCTTCCCAGTCCCTGCAACCAGCAGTGGCCAGCCTCTGGCCACCCCCATGAAAGCACATAAAAGGGTTGGGGAAGCCGCAACCCCAGAATTGAGGTGAGCTAGAGTTTGAGGACATAGGTTGCTTTTCACTTATCTCCAGCAAGAACCATGTTATAGATCATTGGTACAGTGACGATTTTATGCTTCTAATTGAATACTGATGAAAAATGGCAATGGTTTCTCAGTTACTTCTTGGAAATAAATTGTGGGTAAATAACATCTGCTTAAAGCTTGGAAACCCAGTTTCCTTTGGTTTGTGTTTTTAAATGCTTTGACGATGCGGTTTGCTTTTTTACTCCAAGAAAAAAAAAACAATTAAATAGAGGCTGACAACTAGGTGAGATCCACAGCCAAGCTATTCTAAGAGCCCGAAGTCACCCTGGACACCCAGCTTGATGACAAAGGGCAGAAATTCAATATGGAAATAGGATCCACTCCAAATGCACCATCTCCGACATTATGATGAAGAGAATATGTATTTCATGACAGGGCAAATGTTGCCATCCTTCTGAGGGAAGATGTAAATGAGGATGCTTTTAGGGATGATTTCTACATTGTCACTAAACTGAGACATTTGTGCTTGCTCGTGCCAAGTGAAGATTGCTGTTGCTGTTGTTCTCTCGCAGTGATTAGGGTTCATTCCCTAGCAACAGGCAGCAGCAGAAAGGAAGCTTTGCAGGCAGAGTCACCGAATAAACGCAGTGGGAACAGTATCAACAACAAACCCAGTGATGAAGGGAGGGGCATGTGGGGCACACCACATTGCCTCTCTGGCTTCTCGTCTGCACCTGGGGCCAGAGGCAGGTGGGAAGGAGACCTTGACAATGTGGGAAGTCCCTTTGATTTGCTGAAATGGAGGAGTTCACATTTTACTGTGCAGTCTAACATTGCCCATTCTGGATTAGCTCCATCAGACACGCTTTTGTGCTTTACTGTAACTCTTTCTTTATTTGTCCTCCTCGAAACTGATCCATAATGCCAATTTGCTGATCAGCTGTCCCTGGGACTTCGGTGTACTGGGCTAGAACCTCAGTCTAGTGTTCAAAGGAGCTGGCAGAATGGGTTGTCTCGGCATGGAGGACCCAAAAGCAGAGCTCCCTGGTGCTTTGGGGGAGAGTGAAGCCCTTCATTCCACTCCTCATTGCAGACCAGCTTTCCTGGTATTCATGCACTGCTTTTTGTAACGCCTCAAATGAAGGCCACAGCTCAGCCAAGTAGAAGAGAGCTCCTAATAAATGAAGTCTGGTTGCCTTTGAATTTATAAAATAATCAAAGTTGCTATTTCCTGCTAAGGAGACAGATACAGAACAGGTGATAGGCCACAGTCATTACTGTCCCCTGCTTGTTCCCTGAGCCCCTGGCCTTCTACCTTTTCTAACTGCTGTCAGAACCCTGGTTGGGGACTTCCTTTTGCCTGGTTCTCCTGGGCTTGAATGGCAACCTATATTGACAGATTTCATGCCACAGTTCTTTTTCAAACAAGATGATTCACAATGGAATAATTGGGTTTGGGAAGAAGGCCTTTTTAAAGCAAACTATGGAAAATAATTGATGAGTAGCGCAGTTTTATAAAACTTTTTTTTCTATTACCCTTTAAAAACTATGTTGCTAACTGCACATCACACTGCATTCATATCCTGGGACTAATACCCCTTGACCTCTGCCATATGAATTAAGGTGAAAGAAGGGTCATAAGTAACAAAGTTTCAAAGTTGAATGAACCTTTTTTTTCCTGTAATTTTACTGACCATTTCCCTTTCTGTTTGAGAGATCTGTGCGGTCCTGTTGCTGAGGTTCTGTGGTTCAGGGGTGTTATCGGCGACAGAGTGCTGATTTCACTTGGGTCTGTTCTGGTTTGTCTTAATTTCTCTTTTAGAGCTTAATTTTCATTTCCAACGAATTAGGCAAGACAGAAAGTGACATTTGGAAAAGAGTGAATGGATGACTAAACATTCACCAGACGTCATTCTTGTAACAGTTAAATGGTAGTGATTCATGTCTCCATCTCTTGATAAAATATAAAGCATTAAATCTTGATGGCTAAACACACTGACAAAACTACCGAACCATGTTCCTGGTTGAGGATACCTGAAGGTCGACATTTATCTGGGATCTTTTGCTGCTGCTTTGGTATGACTTCTATCAAGATAGCTTTCGACGAGGTAGAACGTTTGCTTTCACTCTGGGTTTTCCTTGGTTTCGACAATTTTTAAGTGTTAACTGAAGGAAATCCCGTCTTGTCAGAATGTTCTTTTCAATACAAATCGCAGTGAAATAACGGGCTAGAAAGATGTGGATCCTTCTTGATTTTAGGAAGCACACACCTATCGGCAACTCTCTCTGCCTGGCCTGTGTTCACGGCGGTATTTTTGCCTCTGTCACCATCCTTGGGACTAGGTACAAAAATAGGCTTATGTTCCACGTGTCACCCACCACTTCACTTCCTTTTTAATAGATCATGGGTAAGGAGGTGAGAGGACATGAGAAGGATTGGTATGAAGTAAATAACAGTTAAATCTTTTCAGCCAGGGGTGGTGGCTCAAGCCTGTAATCCCAGCACTTTGGGAGGCCGAGGCGGGCGGATCACCTGAGGTCAGGAGTGCGAGACCACCCTAGCCAACGTGGTGAGACCCCGTCTCTACTAAAAAATACAAAAATTAGCCGGGCGTGGTGGTGGATGCCTGTAATCCCAGCTACTCAGGAGGCTGAGACAGGAGAATTGCTTGAACCTGGGAGGCAGAGGTTGCGGTGAGCCGAGATCGCGCTATTGCACTCCAGCCTGGGCGACAGAGTGAGACTCCGTCTCAAAAAAAAAAAAAAAAAGAGTTAAATCTTTTCAGATTTCTAGGCTGGAAATCAACAGAACAAGATCTGCTAGCAGAAGTTGTTACATCTCAACTAAGTATAGACTGGAGATGAATCTGACAACCTGTGACATCTTTAAATGTCAAACCCACCGCACATCACAGATGACATCGTACCTAATGATCAAACTCCCTTTAAAATATACTTCATGTAAATACATTTTTGCGAAACCACAAGCTGTTTCTCTCAGTTTTGTTTTCAGCTGGCTTTGATAAGGAGATTGGTTGGCAGCCTACAGCTAATTAAGCAGCTTTCAAGCCAACATCAATGAAAGGTTTTAGGTGACTATCAGAAATCCATTCCACTCTCCATGGTCCACCGGTGTCGACTATGCCTTTCAATTGTGCCGACAGACCCTGTCAGAAGAGAATGGTTTCGCACTAATCCAAGTTTACAACCAAAATCATCCTGTTTTCAGTGGTGTAGATCCAGTGTCTGTATCTGTCTTGTCAACTCACAATAGCATTAGCACAGGGGGCTGGATTTATGCTCTAAGAAATGCAATTTACCTTTCTAAGCTCACTTATATATATTTGTATCTAACATATTGTAAATTTCTTAAACTTGTTACACATTTAATTTTATAACTAGAAATCAATTTTTATTTATTTATTTATTTATTTAGTGGAAAACAGAAAATGAAGTGCAAGAGACCCTCATTTCCGGGGCAAGAATTCTGAGTTCCTTGGCTTCTTTCATTCTTGTCTGACTTTCCCCCCTCCAGTTGCAGTTATTTCTAGATTTTGGTAAATTATTCATTGCTTTTAAAAGAGAAAAAGCTCGATTTTCTAAATCTACAGTTGAGCTAGCCCTAACCTCTAAAGCCAGATTGCTTTAACAAAATTGTCATCATTTTATACATGACAGATTGGCTTCAAATAAAATGGTAAATGGGAGGAAAAGTATATTTTGCTTACACTTAGGAATGCCTGTAAACGTAACAGAGTTTAAAAAAAAATCTTGGTGTTTTAACAAATGCATATTGTGAAAAAGAGGAAGAAAAAATTAGCTGGTTGCCTGTGAAGTAATTGTGCTAAAAACATTCATTTTTAATATATAAGAGTTCACATTTTAATTCATATACTTGCAAAAGAAAAGTGGGATTTTTTTTCTTAAGGCTTTGACTATTTAAGGAAAGCTTTTGTGCTGTGCCAGTCTGCTTTTAAGAAATTCCAGAGTTACAGATACAATTGAGGGTGAACTTGAATTTGTTCCGTGGGCACGGCCTTTTCTGTTGTGGTAAAACAAAGTTAAAATGACAACGGTTCTGAAGAAAGTGCTTCAAGACCATGTCCTGTTTCACTCTTTCCAGATGACTAAAATCACCCTCATTTCCCAAGTCTTACATCGGGGGAAGAGGATATGTGGTTTAAAAGAGTGGCAAGTACTAGTTAAGGTCAGGCTTTTTCTGAATGTGAACATTCAGTTATGCTGCATGAAGATAGGGGCAGGTATTGCAGAGTAAAATTCTCATACAGAAAATGTCTGAAAGTAACAAATTAGGTGATTACCACGGTCTCCTTATCCACTGTCATCTTTAATCGTCGTGTTTTTTTTTCAAGGCTGTTTTGTCTGTTTTTAAATGCTGTTGTCTTATATAAATCAGGCTACTTGCTTTAAAGTACCAGAAGAATCCTATAATACTGAAAAAATTGAAATATAAAAAAGTGAAGTAAGAATTCTGAGTCACATGTTTTAGATACGGTGTTAAACAACATAACACATTATCTTGAATGGAAGATGTTATTACCTTGGTGCTCTCATCAGTTCAGCTTGCCCAGAAGCAATGCCAACCTTTCACTGAGAATCTTTTAAACTGACCACAAATGTCCCTATTCTTCTCAATGATTTAAAATGTCCTGTGCTAACTTTTCTATCAGTCAATATGTATTTTTCAGTGTTCTTACTGAGTTTTGTTATTTGCTTTTAGTTCTTTTCACTGTTTATTTGCTGGTTTATGTTTTATGAAGAAATCCACTTTCAGAAGAAATGATGACTTATTTTCTGTGGGTGTTTCCTTTCTTCACTACTTTAAGAATTTTCAAGTATAAATAAATTGTGAGAATACATATGTGTGCAAGGAGTGTGGGGAAGAGTTAACTAATTTTTAAATTGAAATGAGGGAAATACTGGGCTGACTCTACTGGTGTTTTTCAGAGTGTTCCTCAATTTAACAAAGCAAAGCACTGAGTAGTATTTCTTTCTAATATAGATGTTTAAAAACATCTTCCAAAGTAAGTAGCAAGAACTAATGCTCAAAGTGTTGTCTGAAAAATCTAGAAATATCTGCATGCTGTTATGAACAATTCTGTTTCTTTATGGAGAGTTGTTTGGGCTTTTTAGAAACTCATTAATTTGATTGTAAGCACCTCACTGTTATCAGGAAAAGAAGCTTTAGAAAATGGTTTCAGAATGTGTCATTTTCTCCTTGTTTTAATCTGAGACAGTGTGTGGGCATGCTGGTATTTTAAAAGGCTAAAAATGTTGTACATATTGCTGTGTCTTCAAATATGAGGGAAGATTACAAACAGAAGTTTTCTTCAAGCCTCTGTCTGAAATTCTGCTTTTCTTCTCAGTAGTGATTCTTAAATTTTTACGGAGAGATCTTTCATTCTTTTTTTTTTCATTTTCAATCTGTTGTTGAAATTCAGCAAAACAAATATTTTAAAAGCCAAGTCAGCTTTCTACCGTTTTGATCTGAATATTTAATGCTTTATAAAATAAAACCCTGTGTTTTAATTTTAACTAGTTTCATTCTTTTTTTATGAAATGATTTGCGGTATTAGACTGTCATTTGGTTTCAATATTAATATATAACATGAACTACGTGGGTGTCACTTATTTTCAGTAGTAAATAACTGCTTAACCGATTACTTTACTTTAACATAGTTCTACTGTTCTCCTTGAGCCTCGTGATCTGCATCTTCAAACAATATTTGGTGTGTGTTTTTGCAAAATAGCATTTACATACTGTGTCATTAAAAACTAGTTTCATGGTGTCATGGTGGTCGGAATCAGGGAATGTCGTGTAGTTGGTTTCAAAATCCATCAGTAGGTTAATCATTAATTATTCTTTTTCCAGGAAAAAACTGATGAGGTTGTTTCAGAATTTGAATTTACTAGAATTCCTTTTTTTTTTTTGCATTAAAAAAAAACTTTTGCATTTTAAGCTTAAAGGGGGTTAATTTGGTAAGAAAAGGTACCTTTTCTGTTTGTATTGTGGCTTGTTCATTTTCTCATAAACTGTATTTGGTAGCTAAAATGTTGAAAGCAGTTTGGGAACAAAATGTCTGCTCAAACCATGACAAAATTGGCCACAATTTGCCGATTGGGCTGATAACAAAAGCCAGCAACACAAAATAGGTAGAAAAACAGTTTGTTCGGTGATGTGAGACCACTGAAGCTCTTTTTTGCATGTTTTTTTTTTTTTTTTTTCATTCTGATGCTTATGTTGTGATGGAAATACATGAAGTCTCTGCTTACCCATTGTTTCTGATTAACTATTTCATCTTTGGATTTCTTTTAAAACTTCAGAAAACAAGCTGCCCCCTGGGCATCTGAGACAAATTTGAAATAAGAGCCAGCTCTGCACCTAAACATTGTGTTTTCTCTAGACCCCACTTGGTTGTAAATGTCCCAAAACTCTTGTTTTGATCGTTTAAAGCAGCATTTAAATTCCATTTCCCCCACCACCCCAATGTTCAACATTGAATTGTATGGCTTTTACTACACTTTTGCAAGTGTAAAACAAAAATTCTAGTTTGCAGTTTAAAAGAAAAGTTCTCCACCTGGGTATATAGTTGACAAAAATGTCAACAGCTAAAAGTACATATTGACTCTCATATTATCTTCGCAGACTGTAAGCAACTATTAATGTTTTACATGAGACAATACATTTTTTTCAAATGATAGAACGAGATAACAGCCTCCTCTCCCTTGCCTCTGCTGTTGTAACTTCTCATACCTTGTGTTGCCTCTGTGTGTGTGATGGTCTTATTTTTTTGGTCTTAAAAATCAGATCCTCCAGGACAATAATTAGGATGAGGTTTATGTTTCTACTTATCTAATCTTTGTTTTCACAAATAAATACAAATAACTCAAACTGAAACTTGATGGCTTTGGTGATAATATAATAGCAGCCACGGGGAAATTTTCTTCATTTTAATGTTCTTTCACAACCCACATTCAGTTTCGGTAGGAAAATTATTAACCTTTTCAAAAGCATGCTGAAATATGGGTTCACAATAGACTCCTGAGTATGATTTGCAGGTTTTGGTTCTATTTTGAGATTTTGGTGTACAGTTTTTCTCTTTTTTTCTCTCTTTCTTTCGTTCGTTCATTCTCTCATACCAATTGCTTTCTTTGACACCAATCGCAATGACTTAAAATCCTTCAGTTGATATCTTTTTAATGTGTGCACGTTATACAGTGTTTGCATTTATTTTTTTATTATGAGAAGGGAGAATTCCTATTTCCTTCTCTCCTACTGATTGGTTCTATGAAAGAGGACATACTCTTTATTCTCACTGTTTTTCTCCACTCTAATCCTCATGTGGAGGTTGTGAGTCCTCCAGCCCCATTTAAAAAAATCCAGTTGAGCCACATTTCCCCGAGGGCACCTGGCTCCATGTCAGGCATCAGATCTGACTCCTGTCTGCCTCCAGTGGCCTCGTGTCTGTGTCCATCACACCAAAGCAAGTCCGCCCGTTTGGGCTTGCTGTCCTGAAGGTCTGCACGGCCTCAGGCTTCCAAGGAAGGCCTGGGTGGCGGTGTCTCCATAGCTGACTGCTGCTGGGGCTGCAGGTCTGGAAGGGCTATTGGAGGGAGGTGATCATGATTTTGTAACTCTGGCTTCTTCACCTGAAACACACACGAGGGCAGGACCTGGGGCCAGAGAGGCAGGTGAGTAGGAGGATCTCGGATAACAGTTTCTGTTTTAGGCATCCCCTTCTCCAAGTCTGGCTGGGACAGCCACACCTGCAGAGAGGGCCCTGATTGGGGTCGTGGTCCTGCCCCACATCTGGCAAGCCTGTGCCTCATGTACTCACAGTCACCTTTTTTATTTGATCCCCATCCATCCTAAGTCCCCACCCCACCGCAGTGCCCTACCCTACCTGTTCCCACCGTCCCTGCAAAGTTGAATATGGAAACTGAGAAACACATATTTTATCTGTAACAAATGTGGACATTTCCAGTATTTTAGCCTGGGTTTTTTTCTTCTTCTTCTTCTGCTTCTCATACTTCCTGTATGAGGTTAGTTTTTTTAAAATGATAAACAAACTATTTTTTTTTTCAACTTTTTTGGGAGGCCTGGTTGTCTAGTGCCTCCTACCTGTGTTGTTGTGAGCCTTTTGCTGGTGCTCTCTACCTGGGCACAGAGGTCGGTGTGAGCAGAGCCTGAAAGTGGGAGTGGGGGATGTGGTGTTTTGCATAGGGTTGCAGTGAGGAGGGTTGAGCTGGTGAAAACACTTCTGTTCTCCTATTTGAGAGAGATGCAGCAGAATTCATGGCTGTCGTGTTCTGTGCAGGCAAAATGAGCTGAAGGATGGAAGGCAAGGGGGATAGGAGCAGGGGTGGAGCATGGCTAGAAGAGACATTTGATGTTTAGGGAGAGAACACTGGTGCAGATTGAATATCCCACAGTGCTCAGTCCCACGCTGTGCAGATGAGCAACATCTGGAAAAGAAGATTAAGGGATGAAGCATGCCAACATTTCTCCCCAGGTCACCCCAAAAATGAGTTGAAAATTCTGGATGGCTTCTGAGCTGCTTGCTCTTTCCGCCCCCAGTCGGGATCTCAGGAGAGAGCGTCCGGCAAGTAGCTTGGGTACAGTTGACTAAGTGTGAACATCAGTAGCCAGCCGCATAGCCAACCTGCAGTCACCCATGGCCCTGCATACAAGAGTGTCACTAGGAGCAGATATCACTTGCCACTGGTGGTTGTGTGTATCTGAATCACCTGGGCACTGTGAAACACACATTCCTAGGCCCCAGCCCCAGGGTTTCCTTCTTAGAATATGTGAGGTGAGGCCGGAGAATTTGCATTTCTAACAACTCTCAGGTAATGAGATGCTGCCAGTGCTGAGACTCCCATTGAGAACTGCAGCCTAGAGCCAGGGTGCTGGAAATGCCTAAAAACCGTGTCTACTGGAGTCTGCAAGTTGTCTCCACTTTTTTCCTAATGTCCCTTTGTGTGTCCTACCACAGACTTAAAATCCACACCAGCCTCTCAGAAGGCCTTTTGCATTTCTCAGTAACTGCACAGCAAGGTTACCTGTCATCTTGGCCTTTTACCATGTCCATCAGACTATAAAATGGCTAAAATGTTTTTGAGGTTTGGTTCTCTGAAAAATGGGTTGTATTTTACAGATAGTGAAAGGGTCAAGCTGTAGTGTATGGTATCACTAGACTAGGAAACAATCTACCAAGGGCCAACCCTTGGGTTGCTGCCCCTTGACAATTTCCGCCTTTATTATAAACTAAGGGAGCTGTCATAGGTTCTTCCCTATATAGAGCACTCTTGACGTAAGTGACACCATCTTAGAAAAAGACTCCATCTTACATGTCAAAAGGCATCATGCCAACAGGGAACAGATGGCCACCTAATCAATAAAGACCACACCCAACCAGACAGGGACATCACCAGCCCTCTTCTACTATCAGTCCTTGCCAGAGGTCTCAGGGCTATAAGAAGAGCAGGATTTCACCGGCTTGAGATGGTCGTCTTAACAGAGCCTTGCTCTGTTGTTGCTCGTGATCAGCACCTGGCATCTGCTGCCAAAGACTCTGCCCACATCAGAGACTCTTGATGTCTGTCCGGAACAGGCCAGGACACTCTCATCCACGTTGCTCTCATTGGATTGGCTCATTAACCCTTTCTTCTATCCCCTTCTCACTCTTTTTTTTTCAAAGCCACACTTATGCTCTGTTATCCCCTTTCTCTCGATGTTAAATGTTACTGTTCCATGTGGAATGTTTAATATAGCATTTATATATTGATTAAGTTAAGGACACTGCTGTGTATGGTTTGCAATATTGACTGACTTGCAGAGTGGCTTGAGCCTGAGTGCTCACAGCTCTGACTACCAGTTGAACAGGACGTACTAAGGAGAATCACTTCCTTGGGAACTCCATGTAACTTGTGGCTTTTGTGATTGAAATAGCATCAGTAAAAGTCTGACCCTGTGGAAAGACACAAATGTGCGTGGACCTGGCTATGTCTGACTTTGTGCTGCTCAGGACACTCTCTGTAACCAAAAGTGAGAGAGCCTGGAAGACCTCAGGGGGTCAGATGTTTGAAGGAGCTGCTGAGTATCCTGGCAGGCAGCAGAGCCTCACCATCAGTTTGCTGCATGGAAGGCTGTGTGCCTCTATTTCCCTGCTATTTGTTGAACTCCCTTGAGCTCCGGTCCTTCCTAAGTGAGAGAGATGATACCAATAGCACCAACCTGAGAGGGCTGGGGAGATGTTTGAAGGAAAGCTTGGCTGGGGAGCTGTAGCTGGCCTGTGGTACATGCTTGGTAACTGGTGGCCAGGAGACCCGGGTGTGTGTCCTGGGACTGTCACACTCTGCTGACGAGGGTATTGAAAGTCCCCACTCAAAGACACAGAATCTTCCTGACCAAGTGTAGGTCTGTAATGACGTGTGGAGCACTTTGCAGAAACTGCTTCTCAGCGGGGGTCCCCTTGAAAAGGTGCTAAGTCTGCTCAGAGATACGTGGCTGAAGCTCTAGACGCGGGAGCCTCTGTCAGAGACAAGGGCAGGGGGACTCAAGTGCTGCTGCCTGGCTCCCCTGCCCTGACAGCTCTAGCAGCACACGAGTCTGATTTATACAAAGAACCCATCTCATATCTCCCTAAAATTAGTCTGTGATAAGCAATATACATTTCCTGAGTGTGCGGTCTAGGTTTTAATATTCTGAAAAATAAAAACAGTGGTCTCTTGAGAGCTGAACAGTTTGGTAGTTACTGAGCAGGCTCCATCCTCCTTGGCAATTCTTTTGAAATCTCAAAAAGTTGGCTTCCTATACTGTTAGAATCTGATGTGAGTCAAGAATGGACAGGCTGTGAGTTCCTCACTCGTCCCTTTTCTATGCATTGAGGAAGACCTCGGTGCTGCCAATGGGGCAGAGGAAGCTCAAGTGTGTTTTTGCATGAGGCTGGCTGGAAGCTCTGGCTTGGGCTCTCAGCAGTGAGGTACTGGCAGTTCCTTGGATGTCACAGCAAATCGAAGCTCGTGGTCTTCACTTCCTCCTACCTTGAGACTTACTGCGCAGAAAGTAGAGGCTTGGATGGTTCAACTTCAGGGGCAAAACAGCCTGCCTTGGGGGTGGGACTGGGGGTATGCATCTGTGCCACTGCTTCTCTCCCTTTGTCAGTTTACCATGCCAGCAGCCTTCTGTCTGTTATCGGGAACAGAAAGAGCACGATTTGGGAGCTAGCTGGGGAGCTTCCCGAAGGTTGCCTGAGCTGCATTTGGGGCCCCTGATGAGGGCTTCTATTCAGGGTGATGTGTGTGACCCTGAGGCCATCTCTCAGATCTGGGGGGAAGTGAGGTTGTGTACCCACAGTGGGGAGACCTACCTGGCGGCTCATCAATATTAGACACCTGCAGGAACAGCAGGTCAGCCAAGCCAAAGAGTAAGAGTGGCCCTGTCTGTGACTAGACGCTTCTTCAGGGTTGCCTCAACACCGGAGTGGCGCTGGTGGTCTCCACCCACTCCCAGTGTACGCTGGCGTCTAGGAAGCCATGTGTGTGATCGGCCCTGAATTAGGGGCAAAACTTTTAGTTCTCAGATGAACTGTCGTGGGTTTATTCAGTGATAACTAGACAGCCAGGCCAACATGGAGTTGATTCATCCATGCAAAACCTCCCAGACAAGGCCTTTCAGTGGAGAACTGGAATTCAGGGTCTTCTCAGCTTTGGCCAGAAGCCAAAGGTAGGAGAGGTAGGAGAGACCCAGGTCCTGGTCCCAGCTGTGTCCCATCCAGAGTGACCTTGGGAAGGTTGCCAACTTCCTTTTTCGGTGAGCCTTGCTTTCTTCACCTGCAAGGTGAAGGGTTGGTTGGATGATCCGTAAGGGCCGGCCACCTCTCACTCTGTGACTTTGGCCCAAGGTCCACATGGTTGGGTGTTCCATACTGTAGCCCTCCTGGGCTATTACATTTTGGTTTTTCATTGCACTCAAAAGTGGGGGTAACTGGTGAGGGGCACGGGTTGGTAAACCACCTCTCTATTTCAGTGATGAAACTAAAGAAACCAGGTTTCCCCTTCCACCCCTACAGGCCACTGATGCATTACTTAGTTCCTGTTTCTCTTTGCCCACCCAGGAAGACACTGCGTATGAAATCCTGGGCCCAGATGCTGGACTTTAAGCCACATTAGAAAATGCTAGCTCATAGGACTCAAAACGGGAAGCTGGCTTTCCCAACAGATTCATCTGGGCAGTGTTCTTCCCAGAATGTGTAGGAATCATGGGGCCAGGTTCGCCAAGGCTCAGGAAGCTCGATTTTTCACTGTCACTAGCCAATGAGGCCTTTAAGGAAAAAACAGATAAGACTGTAGGAGTTTATATGGATCCGTTAACTCACTTGTACAAGACATTGGGAAAGATACTGGGGGTGGGGGGGAAACAATACAGAGTTTCAAAAGATAAATAGAGACTGTCATAATCACCACATGTCCTGGCAGCCAGGGCTACGGGGTCAGGAGAAGCTTTATTCCCTGGCCTGCAGCACTGCAAGAGACCCTAGGAGGAGGAGAGCTCCGCCAGGCCCTGCAGGCTGGGCAGCCTGCCTTTGGCCACATTTCCTAACACCACTCAGCAGAGCCCTGCCAGCAAAGGTCATTGTGCAAAAAATGTTATGCCCCATATATGTTTGGGAAGTGCACAATAATTTAAACAGCTTTCTTATTTCTTAACTTCTCTGGGTATTTTGTGTGCTACTGTATCTTGTGAATGAATCTCAAGAGGAAGGATGAAGCTTTTCCAAAATCACATGCCTTCATCTCATTTTACAGAAAAATTTGTGCCTAATATTAACCAAAGGAAATGGGGAGCGGCAGGGCCAGTGGGTTTTCATGGTGAACTGAGGGTTGCATCTTGGACAGGTTGCATGTGGAAGGGACAGCAGGGTTCCCAAGGAAGCTTTGCACGGTCATGGGTAGAGCCATCCCTTCTTCATCCATAGTGAATATGGCTGGAAATAGCGGGTAGTCTTGGATTTGACCTCCCTCCCATGGAAGTGCTGTCTCCAGCTCGCTCCTGGAAAAACTGCTTTCTCCCCAAAGTGTGTCTGAGCAGCAGATTTAAGCATGAAGTTGGTTTTGTGGGGCTACAGTATGGACTTTGGGAAGATGGTGCCATCTGTATTTCTGATTCTACCGTCCCTCTGTCTGTCTTTGGAAGTATCCTTTCACTTGTTTGGGAGACTGAGAATGATTTTCTGCAAACAGTGAGCCAGACCATGCTGGTCTCAAGCGGCAGAGCAGTTATTAACAGAATCACAGTCTTTCTGGAGCTGCTGTCAGTCCTGTGCTGTCCTCAGGGCCTTTGCTTGGTCAGGGGCCCCACTTCTTATCCACCCTTCCCTCTACCTCACCGAGGCTGCTAGGCCCAGGTGTATTGTGATTATTTGATGTACCTGGGAGGCCATGTCTCCCGGGGAGGCTCAGGACCTCATTGGGCTGGAATTCCACAGGGATCTCTCATTGGGTCTCTTTGGGCCTTTGGAGAGGGGAGTGCAGGGCACCACCTGGGCGAACACCTGTGCCATCCTGTAAGTCCTTGTGTGACTCTTCATCCAAGTCAACAGGGGCATGTAGGGGAAGAGCCTCAGGGCCCATCAGGAGTCAGACCCTGACCAGGAAGTCAGAACTGAATCAACTTTTCAATAAACACACAGGCTGGCCCCAAACAAAGCAGCAGGCTTTTGGGAACATCTGCCTTTTCAGTCTCTTCTGAATTCTGTTTATGTGGACACCCCATGTCCCGCACCACCATTGCCGCCAGCAATGTTTGTTGCTTGCCAATATTTGAATAGATGCTGATAAATTTGATTCTCTGGCTTATTGTGGCATTCATGATATGTCTTTCCCTTTTCAGTTTCCATGTACTAGAGCGACTGTCAGTGTGGTTGGCAGTGACCTGTGTTTTTCATGCATGTTTTTGTTTCAGAATAACTGGGAGATGAAACAGGAAGCTCTATGACACACTTGATCGAATATGACAGACACCGAAAATCACGACTCAGCCCCCTCCAGCACCTCTACCTGTTGCCCGCCGATCACAGCCGGAATGCAGCTGAAAGATTCCCTGGGGCCTGGTTCCAACCGCCCACTGTGGACTCTGAGGCCTCTGCATTTGCGGGTGGTCTGCCTGTGATATTTTGGTCATGGGCTGGTCTGGTCGGTTTCCCATTTGTCTGGCCAGTCTCTATGTGTCTTAATCCCTTGTCCTTCATTAAAAGCAAAACTAAAGAAAACAGAATTGTTTGCTTATTAGCTATCTTTAAACGCTGTTTGAAAGGATATCGAATAGTGTTTGAGGGAACCCTGGCACGTCCACACAGCTCATCTGACATGTTTAAATGTGTGTTGGGCTTGACTCTCTCATAACTCAGCCACGCTTGCCTTGCTGCTTCTCATACCTCTCCAGATTGCTGTAGAGTCAGTGTGGGCAGACTGACATTTGAGAGAAACGTCGGGCTTCATCTGGAAGCCTCTTTCCACACCCACCCTGATCGTGGCCTGTAAACTGTGGCCCCAAGATCTCCATTAACCTTGGGCTTTCCACTAGAGACATCTGCCATCTCTGCTGCCTCCCTCCCCTCACACATCCTTTACTGCTTCACTTATTCATCCCATAAGGATTTCTTAGGGGCCTGCTGTGTGCTGGTTCTGGAGACAAAACAGTGGATGGGACCAACTCAGCCCCGGTCCCCACCCAGCACCTCTAGCCAAGTCTGAGTGGGCTCTGCTGAAGAAGTGTTGGGTGCAGTGCACAGTTCATCATGGTCGATGGCTCCATCCCATTTCACTTAGATGCCCCGATTTCCTAAATGCTTTCTTGAACTCTGACACTCTGGGACTGGCACCTGAACAGTCTATAAAACGGTGAAATGTCGAAGCATTCCTGCTGTGTAATCCCACTCTCTTCCCCAACCTCAAGCAGGACAATTTGACCCCCTCCTGAGGACATGGCCAGACAGGCCATTAGTAGAAGCCTTCCAGAACTTTCTGGCAATCTTCACTTTTAAGCTTAGCAAACATCTAAGAATAATTTTAAATGGCCATGTTTACTCTTTTGTACTTGTTGGAATTAGTTTACCAATAGGCCATGATGGTGATCACAAAACCCCCTATGTACATGCACAGTGTTCATTGCAATGCATATCCAGGTCTCAACCCAATGTCCCTTTCTCAAGGAGAATTCCCTGAGCACCATGTCGTGAGAGAACCCTCCTTCCTCCCCACCATTTCTCTCTATCTTGTGATTTTATTTTATTTTATTCATAGACTTATCATTATCAGCACTTATCCTGAATGTTCAATTATCATCTGTCTGTCTCTCACTCCACTCCCAAAAGGCAGACTGTGGTCTGTCTTATTTCCCGGTCTGTCCCCAGCGTTTGAGATCCGAGCCTCATCAACAACTATGTGCTGACTGGGTTCATCCTCTTATTACTTCTCAGGCACACCGAGATGCTGAGCAGCCCAGTGCTCTGACCATGTTTGGTGGATAAGGAAACTGATCTGAGTCTGGTGAATGGCCTCACTAGGGTGAGGACCCAGGCTTTCCTCTGGGACATCACCCAGCAGAAAAGGGTGATTGTGAACTCTCTACTGTCTGGACAGTCAGGTTCTCATCAGAAACCAAGCTTTGCCCTGCTGATGAACTTCCTAAAGTTTATGTAATTTGCCCCCATCCTGGAAGATAAAGACCACTGTGTTGTGGAGGGAAATAGCCTCAGCTGGGCGTCTCTGGATGCTACTTTCTCCAGCAGAACACTAAGAAGATCAGATGAGATGAACACAAAGATTCCACCCTGCCCTGAGTTTCTGCTGGTTCTACCTGGCTAGGTTCTAGCAGAAGAGAAGGAAGTATACAAGGGTAACATGTGCAAGGGCCGTGTACAAGGGTAACATGGGCATCAGGGACAGTCCTCCTGAGGATGTGAGGAGCCAGGCCCAACTGTGGGCTGGCAACCTGCCCCAGGGGTTGCTCACACTCACCTAACTCCGGCCCCTCTGGACACACCCCTTGCCCAGGTGCAAGGGGCTCCACTGGGAAGAACATCTCCACCCAAGTGATCACTCTTCCTCTGCGTTTTTGAGCAGGATGAAACCACATTCTCTACCCATTTCGCAGTCTTACCCCCAGGATTATTTATGACCTCAAAAAGATGGAAGTCACAGGTGCAGGGAGGACCAGACGTAACCCATATGATGCCTGCAGGATAGTTAGTTCACAAGGATATTAGGAGAAAGAGCAAAAGAGAAGTGACCACACAATTCTAGATGGTTAAGGCAATAGTTCTGACCCTGGCCAGACATTAGAATTACCCAGAGGTTATAAAAAATCCAGACACCCAGGATCCACTTGGACCAATCACATCAGAATCTGGGGATTGAGGGGGTGTAGACATCAGTATTTTTTACAACTCTGCAGGTAATTTCAATGCATAGCCAAGACTGAGAAACATTGGTCTCTCAACGTACCATCCAATGTGGTAGCTGTTAGCCACAGATATCTATGGAACCTTTAAAATGTGGCTTGTACAACCAAGGGACTGAATTTTTAAATTCCTTTTTATTTTAAATTTAAATATCCACATGTGACTTGTGGCTGCCATATTGGACTGTGCAGGTACAGAACATGTCTACGGTCACAGGAAGTTCTACTGGCTAGTGTGGTCCAGGGGAACCTGGAGTCCTATAACTGCCGAGTGAAATCCTGCTGATCCTGAAGGGACTTTAAGGTAATTCTGTCTGTTAACTTCACTAACAAGCCCTCCTGTCTTGGGTTTGCTGTATATTTTTCATCTATGTTTCAAGCCAGGGCTTGTGCAGCAGCAAGGGTGACAAACTTTCAAAGCACTGCACTGTAGGATTGAAAAGCATTGAA
Organism: Homo sapiens; assembly: GCF_000001405.40. Lineage (NCBI taxonomy): Eukaryota > Metazoa > Chordata > Mammalia > Primates > Hominidae > Homo > Homo sapiens. The sequence continues at coordinate 87,524,156 of NC_000002.12, forward strand.
AATACAGTTATGCACTCACTAATGTCTCAGTCAACAATGGACTGCATATACAATAGTGGTCCCATAAGATTATAATGGAGCTGAAAAATTCCTATCACCTAGTGATGTTGCAACTGTCATAATGTTGTAGCACAATGCATTATCTTTTCTGTGTGAAGACATGTTTAGATGCACATATTCTTACCGTTGTGTTACAATTGCCTACAGTATTTAGTGCACTGAAATGCCGTACAAGTGTGTAGCCTAGAAGCAATAGGCCATACCATATAGCCTAGGCAGGTAGTAGGCTATGCCATCTAGGATTGTGTAAGTATACCCTGTGATATTCGCATCACAAAGAAATTGCCTAACGATGCATTTCTCAGACTGTATCCCTCTCATTAGCAATGCATGATTGTATCTGTAAAAATCTAAGGCCCAGACCTCAGTCTTTTGGTGTTCATTCTGCTGGTTTACTCAGTTTGCATCGTTGAAGACCCAGTCCTAGAAAGGAGCTTTCTAAATTATTGTTTAATTAGTGTAATCCAAGAATTTATGAGACTTTTGGAAAAGCAGAGCGCTAGAAGTGCCACCTTTCGGAGGTCACGGATTTAGTCAGGTGACCCAGCAAACTCCACTCGTTGGGGTTAGAGATGGAGAATTAGAACCAAAGCTGAATCACTTTCTGCTTATCACTCATAGACTGCCAGATTTTCTTTTTTTTGTTGGAGGGAAAGCACCTTACAACAAATAATAATACTATTTTGAATTTCAGAGCTTTCCCTTTTTCAAAGCACTTTACCACCTATGACTTATTTTGTCCTCCTAACAAGGCCATAAGATAAGGAAGGGAGGGCTTTTTAGAGCCTGTCTAACACCCTAAGACAGAGCTTAATATTGCTGAAGGCATTGAAAAGTATAGGTTTTGTTCTCTCATCCCTGGCCACACTCAAGTACTTAGTGGCACAACTTGAAGCAAATTGACATAGATGTTTAATCCTACAGTGGACTGTGTTTTTAATAGACACTAGAGCTTCACATTTGTTCCCTTTGGTTCCATCCCAGGTTTCTAACCTTGTGCCTAAATTTTTGGGGGCCCTTTCTTCCTCAGAGCTTTGTGTGATCTGCAAATTTGGTAAATATGCCTTCATTTACCATGTCTCTTTCCAAGGTGGGTTTCACCATGTTGGCCAGGATGGTCTTGATCTCTTGACCTCGTGATCCACCCGCCTCAGCCTCCCAAAGTGCTAGGATTATAGGCGTGAGCCACCGCACCCAACCTCCAAGGTGTTTTTTAAATGGTGAATGGGACAGAACGCAGGACAGAGTCCCATGGCTCTCCATGAAGAAAGTCCTGTGTCACTTCAAAGGATGTCCCCTGTGCAGAACCAACCACGCTAGGCTGACATCCTCACTTTTGGGTCCCCAACCTTCTCATGGGTAGAGCTGCAGAGAGTCATTTCAAACCACACTTGCCTGTGGGCAGAAAGCACGGAATTGTCTGTCCAACTAGGGACTCAGGAGCAGCCTGGCTGTCTGCAGCAGCTGCAAAGGGAGCAAAGGCAAGCAGGACTTCCATGAGCTAGGAGGTGGCCTTCTTTGGAGATGAGTGTCCTGCCAATTGCAAGTCCTCCTGGTCACACCATCATCTGGCCCATCTTTTGTATCTTAGATCGGATAGGGTGAGAGGTTTTCAAAGGCTTTACTGAAATCAAGACACACTTTCTGGGGCATTCCCCTAATCGACTGTTCTGGTGAAGCTCGTCAAAACAGGAAATGAGGTTAGCATGGAGTGACTTTCTCTTAGAGAACTTATGTTGCTTCCTTGAGACCACCAATTTCTTCCCAAAAGCTTGTGAGCCTTATTTCGTGTCTCTTTTGGGTTTTCTTGGAACTTGGAGGAAGTCTGTTCTTCTGTAGTTTTTAGAATCCATTCCTCTGGAAAATGGTGGTGGTGTTTGCTTATTCCCAGCTTTCCAGACTCTCTCCCTTTTTCTCCAGTATCTCTAAGATGTTTGCAAGTTTGTCTGAAGTGAGATCTGCACATACTTGAACTACAGCAAGAATGGGATTGACCCACATGCTCTGTGCCCACGACCAGGCTGACAGGGCCGCATGTGGGCTCTCTGGCATGGGCTTTAGGCAGCTCCTTCCCCTGAGAAGCTGTTGGATCCACATGTTCTCACGGTATCAAAAATGGCAGGAAGAGAAAACTAACCTGGTGGAGATGAAACTTAGTGGGAACACTCCGCTTTCCTCCCCTGCTCCGTGTGTGAGCACTTGGCTCAGAAATGCACTGTGGCTGAGACAGCCCTATCTGGCTTCACCTAAGCCTACCCCCGTGTTGAGTTCTTTAACTTAGTTATCAAAGCGGCAAGGGTTTCAGATCTAGACAAGCTGCATCATGCTTATTTTTGCTGAGGTTTTCTGACAAATGGCTCTACTTGAAATTTCCAGATTTAAATGTCTGTTTTATTAAAACTAAAGTACTTTTGAGTCATATTTGCTTTTATGTAGTAGAAGCAAGTAGAAGAGAGTCCATGGGAAGGAATAGCTGGCTTTGCCTCACAGGTGTTTAGGGAGGACTGCTGTCTCCAATGCAAGACCTGGATTACCGTTTAGAGATCCACCTACCCCTCATGATGCTCTTGTTGCTGGAATCATGGTCTGTTTCATGCTTTACGTGACTTAGCAGGACCTTGAAAGCTGTCCTGAGTGCCCATGCTGGAATGGGGTAGATTTCAGTTCCCTCTCCCTCACTCCCGCATGAACCTCAGCCTCACTCTACTCAGGTCTAGGGTACTTAGTGTGTTCAGTGATGATTGTCTACATAGATGGATTAATACATATGCACCTTTATAATCATCCCAGCTACCATCTAAGGTTCTAGCTTTCTCTGGAGACATTTTTGGTGGTTTACAATGTTATTTTCCAGTGCGCATAGCAGGCCCCAGAGGCAAGGTGATCACCCCTTTGTTTCAGTTAAGAAAACTGAGTTTTAGTGAGGACAATCAATTTTTCCCATATCACAAAACTGGTCATGTGATGCTGCATCCCATATTTAAGTCCAGAGCAGTGAGCTTCTCCCTATCCCTCTATTATGCTGCCATTTTGTATTTTGTAGGTGTGTAAAATCAAATGTCATTCTTCCTTAAAAAGGACTGTGAATGGTAAGCAACAGTTGGGAAGGGTGACACCAGACAATGGCTGAAAACAGGGCGACTGGAAGTTGACTGATGGGTGCTGAGCACTTGGCATCCCTTCCTGCTGCAGACCCCACTGGAATCTCCTCAGAAGGGGACACTGGTGGCTTCCATTGGCCCTGCCTCCCGCCAGGGCTGTGTGAGGATCCACATGGGCTGGGATGAGGGTGGATGTTGTTCTCTGAAAACTGTCCACTACTCAAAAGTGATGTTGTGGCCGGGCACGGTGGCTCACAACTATAATCCCAGCACTTTGGGAGGCTGAGGCCGGTGGATCACGAGGTCAGGAGTTCAAGACCAGCCTGGCCAACATGGTGAAACCCTGTCTCTACTAAAGATACAAAAAATTAGCCAGGCGTGGTGGTGTGTGCCTGTAATCCCAGCTACTTGGGAGGCTAAGGCAGGAGAATCACTTGAACCCAGGAGGTGGAGGTTGCAGTGAGCCGAGATTATGCCATTGCACTCCAGCCTGGGTGACAGGGGAGACTCCATCTCAAAAAAATTTAAATAAATAAATAAATAAATAGATGTTGCTGGGTCAAAAAGGGAGAGGCCCCACCCTGGCCCCCTAGCACCAGAATCTGCATTTCAGCAAGATCCCAGGGGGCTGTCACAGTTGCTAGCTCTGCTCTTTATGCTTGCCTCAGCTAGGTGCTGAGTACCTGCTAGAGGTGTGAATTCGGTCTTTATTCTTCAGAGGCACTGGTCAGAGGGTGGAAACATCAGACAGGGACTCCTGGGCCCCCAGGCAGGACTCCATGGGGATGGAGCGGGGGATGGAACATTTGAGAATCACCAACATGCAGCAAGGACATTAGTGAGAAATGAGTTCCACCTGCCAGAAGGGAAGCTGAGAAGGGAATGCACAAATCAGGAAAATATACCATCAAAAACTACGACTCTTCTACCTCCAGCCCTCGCCACCAATTCCTATCCCATTATTTTATATCCGAGAGGGTTGATAGGCAGCAGACACACTGATTCTGTAAGCATTGTCCCTAGTCCCTGTAGGCGAGGTGACCATGTACCCAAGTTCACTCAAGGTGGTCCTGTCCATGCCTATTAGAAATGAGTTCATAATTCCTTTCAGCTCCGCCTTTCACTCTCGAGCGTGCCCTTGCTTGACGATTCCTATCTGGCTTGGATACCCTCACTTATATTACCTTATATCTGCTATTATATTTCCCCAAGAAGTTGCTTTACAAACACTGACTCCTCAACACACGGTCATCTCTAAAAGAAAGGGTGTTTGGCAGTTCCTCGACAGTTCTGGAAAGGCTGCCTTACTAGAAGCAGAGTCAGCCATGGGGGGGTGAGAACGAAAGTGTGCACTCAAGCATGTGTGTTTGGGGTGTGTGGGTATGGGTGTGAGACATGGTCTTATGGGTTCTGTGTACCTGCATGTGTGACACAGGTGTGGGTGCAGAAGAGGACACGGGGTGTCTGGTGCATGGGTGCCTGTATGCACGTGGGGTGGTTGCGTGCATCTGTGAGTGCACATCTATGGTATGTGTGTATGCTTGTGCATACATGCCTGTGTGTTTGCATGTGTGGTGTGGTATGGTGTGCGGGAATGCATGGGCGGATATAAGTGTGGGTGTCTTAGTGGATGTGTGCATGGATGTAGTATGTGATGTGGCTGGATGTGGGTATGACGTGTGCAGTATGAGAGTAGGGTTCTGTAGCACGTGTGTGTATGCAGTATGTATGTTTGTGGTACATGTGCATTGTGTGTGGCTGGGGGTGGGTTGCATATGTTGCATATGGAGTGAGGTGTTTGTGATGTGTGTGGGTGTGTGCGGTGGGTATATGCTGGTACCTGTGTGCATGTGTGTTGGTGTGTGGAGTGGCTATAGGTGACATGTGATGCCATGTGTGCTTCCTGAGCTTGTTTGTGGTTGTTCCCAGACCCACTGCAGACTCAAGCATGGCTCCACATGGCACCACCACAGGATAAGCCTCTGTGTGTATGCAGTATGTATGTTTGTGGTATGTCTGTGCCTTGGGAGCTGGTGGGGAGGAGGGTCTCACCCTTGTCTGTCCCTGGGCATCCACTATGGCTGCACTGGGAAGCCACTGGGTGCAATGGTGTTGCTGTGTGGGACGGGGCCTCAGGCCCACAGGCAGCAAGCATAGACCAGATCCACCCAGCACCCTGACTGTTGAGGATGGGCCCTGGCTGTGTCTCTCTAGCCCAGCTAGCTCCTACTGCATAGTCAGGCTTTGGGAGGCAGGAATCTCTGAATGGATTTCCTTCCTCCTGCCCTGCTTGGATAGGGGCACTTGTGGATGCTTCTGGCTCCAACTTTTGTGTGCAGTGACTATGATGGAGAAGCAATGAGCTCCCTCTACAGCCTTCTGGGCTGCTGGCATCCCCAGTATGTTTCTCCCTGGAGACACTCTCAGTGAGGCCAATTCCAGGCTGCTGGGGGCTTTTCCTTCTGTCACTGTCGGGCCTCCGCAGGGATCTGCCTGGCTGCAAGATGCTGATGGGTGGAGGGGTGGCCCACCTGGCCTCCAGAAGCAGGAGCTCCCTGCCCACTGCCCGCATGGCCCTCAGCCCTGGCCCTCACCTGTTGCCCCTCTGGAAGAACGTTGCTCTTGTTAGCTAACAACCACCTGACTTTCCTCGATCTGTCTCTCCCTGAGGCAAGAATGACCTAGGTCTGAAGACTGAAGACCAGTGCTGGGGCCCCTCTTGGAAGGCCAAGGAAGTGGAGAAGTGCCCAGGTCTGGTCTGCTTAGCCTCCTGCTAGTTGTTGGAGCTCTTTGAGCCTTGGTTTCCAAAGCCATAAACTGGGAGAATGACACCTACCCCAGCAGCACAGAGGGATCTTTGCAATAATGTGCAAACCCACTCAGCATGATGCGTGGCACAAAGCACAAACCCAATAAATGGTGGCTATTATCACTATTATTTTATTTCATAGATTCAAATATTGAGAATGAAATAAATATATCAGAAAGTAGTAGCATCGTGCCATCAGAAAAATACTCTGATGGGGTCCTAGCGATCTTATCCATGAAAATAAAATATCAAAAGAAAGACAAGACGATCTAGAAAGAAGGGATGCCGGCAGTCTTAGAAAAAACAAATAAACAAAAACAAACAAACAACAAAAAACAAAACTGGTGGCAGAGAGTGAGACAACAGGAGCAAATATAGGGCCAGCCAGACAGGCACTGCTTCCTCTCCCTTTGACAGGCAGGACAGCGGCCCGCTCCCAAATCTGCAGGGTCAGACGTGGTAGATGAACAGTGATTTGCCTGAGTGTAAATATTGTGATGTCTTTCTTTTCTTGAACTTTTAACCTTGCTGGTAAACAGGGTGCATCCAGAATTGTTTTTCTGAGAACTGAGTTTTGAGGAAATAGGGGGGAAAAGGGTTTTTATTAGCTAATTTTCAGTCTTGTGCGTGACTCAAAACCTTCTTATTCTGTTTCTTAACTTTGCTTCAGGAGACACTTGGCCAAAAAATAGCTTTGTTTTTAATTGATGAAAGAAAAATCATTACAATGTGTAAGTATGCCAATTCAAACATGGCAAAACTTTCAAAGACAAAGCAGGGGTGGGGAGGTCATTCTGAAGAAGATTTCTGAGACAAGAAAAACAACCAATCCAAATCCCCATTTGTGTTTTCTAATGAGAAACTCCTCACACGCCATTGCCCTGCTGACCCCGGTCTTACCTTGACCACCTCGCCCCATCTTCATCTGTTATAACTTCTGAGATATTGTAATGGAAGTATAGAGTAAGCCTGAGATACACTCTCAGCATTCAAGGTGCTGCCTTCCTTTCTCCAGGCAGGAGGCTGACACAGCCGCCTTTATTTACAAATGCCGTAAATTGACTGCAGGATCCTTTCGTGAGAAAGGAGAATAACGGCAGGGAACCATCCCAGCAAAATGAAGTTCTGGGCTCCACCGCCAGCTTTTCCCTCGAAGGTCATATTTCACCTCTGCCCTGTAATTTCATGAATTGTTCAATGAAGATGTGACTTATTGGCTTCCAAGCTTCATGGAGGTGTTGTCCAAATACAAGGTCCATAAAGTGCTTTGGAAGGCTTGGAGGAACAAAGAAACACTCTTGATCTGAGGTTGTGATGGAGTCTCCTCAACATTGTAGCCGATGATGGCGAGTGCTGGAGGGTTCATCAGACCTGACAGCAACCCCAGCCTTCAAACCACTCTCTCCCCTCACTATTCATACCTGCATTTGTGTCTGTTCAGTTGAATGCTGGCAGACCGTCTTTCAAATAATGCTCCAGTTGGAAAGTAAACTGAGTACATTGAGAATAAATATCTCCAGTCTTCTAAGCTATACGGCAGTGTTGCTGGGACCTGTAAGAAAGTTTCTCTCTGCCATCTTAGAAGAAGGAGGAAGAGGAGAAGGAAGCAGGAAAATGGAACAAATTGCCGTACCTTTGTAAAAGATGAGATTGAAATAAATCACAAAGAGTGTTAAAACAGGCAGCTTGCGGGAAGCCAATTGCTAACATTCTCAGGCCCCATCCTTTCCTCCTCCTCTTCCTTTCAGAATAAATTAAAGAATGGGCCCAAGTCCAAGTTGTGTGTATGGTATCTTTATCTGATTGACCTCGTACTCCTAATAATATCTTATCTTCGCTTGTAAATCATTAGCACCCTTTTCCGTTCTCCCGGCATGTTACTTCTTTAAATGTGATGAACACTCACAGGAGTCCGCTCTGCAGACAGACAAAGCTACTGCAAGGATCCTCTGTCATTCATTTGGCGATTTGGTCCCGAAGGCCTCAGCTGGCTTTACTAGCAAAGTGTTTCACAAATTCCCATAGCCCTGCAAACAGCCACTCCCCCAAAGCAAACAACCTGAGACATCAGGTAAACACTGAAGAATGGAAATTTCATTCATTTTCCTGCCTGCATCCTCTCTAGTTGACAGAGAATGTCAGTCAATGCAAGATTTGTTGAGAGTGGTACATTTGAGGATTTATTTGTAGGCTGTGTTAATATACTTTCGAGAAATTCAGTTGTATCTAATTAATGCTTTTTTCCCTTTGATTCATTCCAAACTATTTAAATTGGAAAATTGTGTGCTATTTGAAGATGCACTTCAAAACTCCTTTTGTTGTCATGGTGCCTGTTGTCACTGCTTTTTGTTGGTTGGTTCTTGTTTCTATAGGGCCCCTCCTCTTTGGGATCGTGTGGGTACAGATGAGACTCACAGTTCCCTAGCCAGATGATCTATAGAAGTTTTTCAAAGACTGCATAGGTAGTGTTACTGAACATAGTTCATATGTGGTGTGTGTTTCTAACCTTGCAAGCTCCTTGCAAAACTACATAAATACTTGTATTTAAGTTGTGCTGTGCATATGAACATACCTTATTATGAGAAAGGTAGATTTTAAAGTATTCCTTCCATGGGTAAATAAGTCTTCCCTGATGATAAATCATTACAGTTGCTTTCACCTCCCAAACTCCTTTAGCTCTCCTCTCCCATTCAGCCCCTGTAGAAAAGGGCTCCCTTTATTTACTGCCCCACTTGTTGCAAGTTGGGGGCTATTTCTTTAAGTCTAACTTAATATTCCTTGTATTTAGTTCAAACTGAAAAATTCTCATGTGTAACCGCCGGGCAGGGCAGAGGGAAGTAGTGTCTACTTTAAATCTGTTGCAGCACATGAACTTAAATGACAAAACAAACACAGAAGACTGAAAAGTCAGAGACCCTCTTAAAGAAAAGCTTACAAAATTATAGTGTCCACTCTAGGCAGGACTTTCATATCCTTTATCTAACTGTCACATGATGGGGTGACATGTTGATCCCCCCACAGCCTGGATGATAGAAATATTTGTGGTTTGATATGCGTCAGCGCTTATGACTTTGGCATAAAATACAATCTCCTTTGTTTCTTCCCCAAATTCAAGAAGTGCATCTTTCCATAATATTGAGAATAGAACCTAACATTTATTGAAAATCTACTAGCATATTTTGTCTTTAAAAAAAAAAAAAAGCACTTCCACATACTCAGCAATGGCCCAGTGAGGCAGATAATAGCTTCATCCCATCTCACAATGGTGAAATAAAGATCAGAGGGAGCCAGTAACTTACCCAAAATGACTCCCTTAGGAGGTGGCAGAGCCCATACTCAAAGTCAGTTTGTTTAACCAAACTGCTTAAAATGTCAACTTAGTTTGCAAAACAGCCCTATGTGGTTGGTGGTATTATCTGCAATTCATCACCAACACACTAGGCCCAGGGCAAAGCTAAAAGCAAAGCTAAAAACAAAGCTAACAGCCAGAGTGACCAGAACTGGGTCTCACCTCTGCTACACCTGTGCCAGGGAGAGGAGATGAACACTCTAAAGTGCTTTCATGCACTTGGGGGCCTTCCTGTCCAAGTGCAGTATAAATGTTCTTTGTGCCACATCTTAAAGGAATCCTCTTACAGAAAGGGCTTCCCATCTGAGTGGCAAGACCCAAGGCTAGGCTGATGCCTCTTCCTTTGCTATGTGAGACCTGAAGGCAAAGTCTGCCTGGACTGACAGAGATGGATGTGGCCTCCATCTGTCTGTGTGTCATGACAGAAAGGAGGTGGGAAAACTTGGAAAATGGGAACCCTCACTTTCCTGAAATTCCCAGCAATCAGTTCCAAGAATTGTAACCTTGAAGCACAGGAAAGCAAGACCCTCAGCCGGGAACATGAAAGCTTTTGTCGGGAATTCTTTGAGGTCCTGATGAGGTGACACAGTGACCAGATGTTCCAGATTCAACATCAAGGCCGGTGGGGGTGGCACTGCACCGGTCACGTCAGGAAGAGCAGTGTAGTCAGAGAGCGTGGCAACCACCATTCGCCTGGTAGACAGCTCATTCCATCTGCCTTGCATATTTTCCGCTGAGCTCAGAATGGAGAAGATCGAATACAGTCTGCTCTTATCACCCTGAAGACTTTTAAAAAGGCTCTGCATACTCACACAAAAATCGGGAACTTGATCACTGTGGCCTGACAATGTGTTTTGAAAAGGCGGGGGTTGGGGGCGGTCAGTCTTTCCCTGAAAGTTCCCATCCATTGTTGAGTAAACATCATAAATCTATCGCAGAGAGACAGGCTGCCTGTACTCAAATTACCGCCTGCTACAATTTTAGCTTCAAGTTTTAATGCCCTAAACATGAATAACGTCGTATCCCAGCACAGGTCTGATTAATGAGGCAACTTTGCCAACTTCAGGGTCGGAGAGTGGCTCCCCACCTCCTTCCTTTTTTCCCCCTGTGGCTTAGTAACCATTTCAGCAAATTTCCTCATTAAATATACAAGGCGACTGAGTGCAATAAAAACTAAAGGATGTGGCAGATAAACACCAGCGTCTCTCTGAGCAGACCTCGCTGCCCAACAGAGCAGGCCAGCTCAGGTTTGCTGGGAGGAATCCAGAATGTTCCATCATGAATTCCAGCATAAAAATCATGCACGCATTGCCCTTTGCCATGGGTCATTTTCAGTCTGTGGGTTACACTTACAGGACCGTCTGCTTTCCGAGCTGTCACATGGTTTATACATGGAATGCCACTCATGCCCTACTTGCACGTAAGGTGACCAATGGCTGGCTGAAGGTCACACTCAGGAGATGACCCAAATTAGCACGTAATGTCCAACCTTGAAAGGAAAGAGGGAAGTTTTATCTTGCCCAGATATTGTCTGTTCCCCAAATAAGATTGTGTGTCGCTTGAGTAATTCCCGAATAGGAGCCCGTTTGTTGAGCACTTAATGCACCCTGGGCACTGAAGAAGAAATGCGGAGGAGTCCCCAGGACTTGCTGAGTCTCCTAGAGACAGCAGAGGTGCTCTGCTCACAGGAGCTCATTTTCTGCCCACAACAACCCTGTGCCATCAGCTACATTATCTCCAGGTTTCTCATACAACCAAAGCTGAGGCTTATAGGGTGGCACAACTTCCCCTGCTCTGGCTCCGAATTCAATATTCCTAAGCCATAAAGCATTTCTCTTTCCTCCCCATCCTGTTCCCATTCCCAGTCTCTCCATGAACACACACACACACACACACACACACACACACCCTTGTCTACACTTGAGCTGTAGTCTGGGCCCGTTACATCAACAACACAACCACGGCAGAACGTGGATTGGTCCAAATTGCAGAGATTTTAAATCTAAATTTCCCATGCTATTGAGACTTTACAGAACCAGTCCTTCAGGTGAGTTTTGATTTTCTGTTTAAGCCAGGGTTCAGCAAACATTTTTTCTAAAGACCAGAGAGTAAACATTTTAGGCTTTGCTGGGCTGCATGGTCTCTATCACAATGGCTCAACTCTGCCATTGTAGCATGAAGCAGCCACCGGTAATACATAGAGGAATGGCAGAAGGTGTGTTTTAATACAACTTTATTTTTAAAAACAGGCAGAGGGCCAGATTTGGCCTACGGGCCATAGTTTGAGACCCCATAGTTTGAGATCTAAGTCATCACTAAAAGTGTTATCAGTAATTGAGGGTTTTAGACATTGCATCTGTCTAACCTATCAGAAGTAAGATTGGGGGCCAGGGCCATTGCAGTGAGGCTGTGGAAGTTCACAGCTGCTTAAGAAGCACTGTGACCAACATCGCTCCTTACCCCAGATGGGCCAGGCCAGCAGTCACAACATGTGCTCCATGGGGAGACAGCAATAGGCATTTCGCTAGAAAAGAATTCTCTGGACTAGTAAGTTTAGAAAACCTTGGGCTATTATTATCGTTATTATTATATTATTCCATGACTGCAGGACTTCTCAGGGCTTTCATAATGCTGATGAACATGAATCTTCCTAGATATTCTGGATCTCTAGGAAGGGAAGGTTTGTGTGCAGAGCATGTCTGCACGATATTCTTTGGGAAGACTGCGCTGGCTCCCGTCCTAGAGATTCTCATGCTGTCTTTTCTTTCTACCTGTTTTCCCAACTGTTCCCACTTGAGAGTACTGGCCTGAGTTGCTGCCAACCTTACAATATCCAGCTCCGTCCTCAGAGCCACACTGCGGTCCCACTGGGGACTTTGGTGGCCCTGCCTCCCTGCAACCCCAGGTACTCAGTTTGGAGGGTGTGGAGAGGGCAGGGTTGAAATGCAGGCTGCTGTGTCTCTTTCCTTCAATTTTATCACCAGCTGCTGACCATGCTTGCTTAAAGGTCTGGTATTTATGGTCTCCTAGAATCTCCCAGAACCTCACAAATACCCCCGGGCTCCTGGTTTGAGGGACTAGATGGGAAGCCCCCCTCCCTGGGAGAACACAGGCCTAGAGCTTCCTGGAACTTAGGCAGCTTGGTCAGAGAGTGTGAGGACTCTGACAGGAGCACGGGTGTGGGACATTCATGCCTGGAAGGCCCTCGACACCTGAGACCTCGGTGTGGAGGCGGGACTTGGAGGAAAGGAGTCCCTGCTATAGTGGAAAAACCAGCCAGGGTAGGTAGTTTTGTATAAGACTCTTAACTCTGTGGAGACTTCTGTTCATTATCTGCAAAATAGAAATGTGTATCCCAGCAGCCTAGGCTTAGATTGTGGAGGACTAGCTGAGGGGTGTGTGAGAAAGTTTTGCAAACATGGCTGGGCACAGAAGGCTGAGCTATTGTCTGGAGGAAAACTCTCAGGGCAATTCAGACCTTTCTGGGCCCTTCTGAGGCAAGAGGCATTGAGGCAAAGTTTGAGATTTGACTTCAGGGACACTGTTCTCTAAGCATATGCTTCAGTCACGAGCGCTGAACCCACTCTCAAAAGCTAAGTAGTAGCAATGAAATGCTTAAAAAGTTCGACCCAGACTGCAAAGACCCACAGAAAATAGAGCACAGTGGCTGGCTTGGGGAGGGACCCTCGGTCCAGACAGCAGCCAAGGAGTTCTTGAGCCTTATTTATCACGTTGTAGTATTTTACAAGGAGGGCTATGCATTATTTCTCTAATTGAACGTTACTTTTAAAAACAGACAAAGAGAATCAGGAAAAATGATGTGAGGACTTTAGGCCCAGATCAGTTTCCGTTTCAACAAGATGTGTCAGGATGATGAAAATGTCGTTTGGTTGAGCCGTGGTCATCACCCCGCATTGTTGTTCTTTCATGTGTTTGTGTGTGTGTGTGTGTGTGTGTGTATGTGTTTCCCTCTGAGTTTCCCAGTAGTCATTACTAAAAAAAAACTCCTAAACTGACTCAAAACAACAATGACAAAAACAAAAGCAAACAAAAAGACCCAATCACCACAGGCGCCATTCAGGCCCTCTTGTCTGACGGTGTTCACAGACTGTGCTTGTGTTTTTGGATGTACCCGCTTCCTTTTCTCTCTTACTCACCAGATATCACTGGGAATCCCTCCTTCTTGCTCCAGGACCCTAAAGGAGACACTGGGGTAAGACTCATGTGGGTCTTGGGGCAGCCCATTTCCAGGAGAGCATGACCCCCACCCCCCAAGCCCCAGGAGGACGGACCCTTCCCAGCTGAGGTCTCCTCTGCATCCGGACCAGGGCCCTGGGCCTGAAGCCAGGTTTTAGTGAAGGCCTTTTGTGGGTGCCTCTCTTGCCCAGGAAACACAAGGTCTTTAAGCTAAGCCTGTTTGTGGGGAGAGCAACCCATTTCTTAGAGGGACTCAATCCATAGGGAGGACACTAGTCCATCAGGGGGCCCTTGTATTTTCATCCTGGAAAGCACAGTCCCCTGTTTCCTTCTGGGACATGAGAAGTTGCTTCTAATGGTTCATCCCCACAACCTCACTTCCCCATCCTTGATTTGCAAATGGGTCCATAGAGAGGTCCCAGGCAGCTACTTGACCCAGGCAGCGAAGGTGAGCGTGGGTCTCCTCACTGCCATGAGCCAGGCAGAAGAGCAAGCAAAACAGCTAAGAACCAGACAGGCCAGAGTTCAGGTTGCAGCTCTGAACCTGACTAAGCTGTGTGACCCAAGGCAACTCACCCAACCTCTCTGAGCCTCAGTTTCCCCACTTAAAGTGGAAACAAGACCAGCCCCTGCCTCATGGAATTGTCATGAGGAAGAGTGAAGTGGTGCTCGTGCAGAGCTGGTGCCCAGGGAAGGGGCTCCGGTGCCAGGCCTGACAGCTCGTCAGGGAAGCCTGCTGCCGGCCATCCCAGGGAGACAGTGCCAGATCAGAGGGAAGCTCAGCAAGCCACTTAAAAGGGACCTTGACTCATTTTGTGGTAACCGAATGTGCAGTTCAGGAAGTGCTTCGCAAAAGCGAACTGGGCTCCAGCCGCCCCCTCGTCCCCCTGCCCTCTGCTCAGGATTCACTGTGCGAGGACCCACCTGACACCACCTGATGCATACCAGCAGCGTGGATGGCAGGCCCCACGTGTTCTCAAGCCCACCAAAGGCTGGTGGGTGTCGGCTCTCGGAAAGACAGCCTGACCTCCTGGACTGAAATTCCACTCCTCTCTTTAGTCGAGGTGCTCAATCTCCCTGAGCCTCTGTTTCCTCCTCTGTAACTGGCACTACCGCATACTAGGGCCGGTGCAAAGCCCTTGGCAACTAGGTATCATTTAATCCCCACAAGCAGCTCTAAAGGCAAGTACGAAACCTTGCCATTTAAGGATGGGGAAGCTGAGGGCACCTTGAGTTATGCAAGGGCACACGCAGGGTGAGTCTTGGAGCTGGAATTTGAACCTGGGGAATGGCACTCCTGGGCCTTCCCTCCTAACTCATAGTATCTACAACCTGGATTGTAGACCTAGCTAGTAGGTCTTGGGGGTTCTTCCCTCCTAACCCCTGGTATCTAGAACCTGGATCGTAAACCTAGCTAGTAGGTCTTGGTGGTTCCTCACATGGATGGAAGAGATGCCAATTTCCATTAACCATGCACACTGCTGCTTGGTGGGCAGGTGAGGAAGTGGTCTGAGTGTGGAGGAAGCCCAGGACAGGACCCTCTTTGCCTCCCCGTGGGATGTCCTGGCTGCCCTGGGAGGATATGTGTGGTGTTCTCTACACCCACCTGAACCTCTAGCTCCCCAGAGCCTCTGACTGCATGTTCTGAGGGCAGTGGCATCGGGAACGCATGGGCGCAGTGTGCAGAGACTGGCCGAGGAGAGCTGTAGGGGTTACCTATTAAGGAGGCAGGTCCCAGCAGGTACTAGGGACTGAAGAGGGTGGAGGGAGACCCGAGGGGGGAAGAGGCTGCCCTCGTCATTAGCCCAGATCCATCCCACCCACTTCTTCCCATCTCCCTGTACTTGCCCCATAGGGATTCCCAAAGAGAGGGAAGTAGAGGGGGAGAGGAGTACATGGACACAGGAGAGCGAGTGAGCACCCCACCCCACAACAGTGTCCTGAGGAAGGCCCCTCTTTTGTCCCCTGCTTCACAAGCCTTGGGAACGGGGAACTCTGCAGGCTGAGCGGCATCCCTGCTGGGAAATGAGGGCCTGTCTTAGTTCCTCATTTAAGGCACCCACCCTCATTCCCAAGGCAGTTAAAAGCCCCAAGTTGCCCAACTCGGTCAGAGGAAGCCTGTCCCATCAGTCTCACACACCCAGAACTTGATTCTCTGGCCTCCGAGACTGGGCAGGGACCAGCTCTGTGTCCCCGAGCCCACATGTAGAGGAGGGAGCCGCGAAGCTGATAGCCCAGGAACATCTATTCCCCACTTGTCATTGTCAAACTCTGATGTCTTCTGGGACTAAATTTGAAGGACAGTTTTTACTGTTGTAACCAAAAAAGCAAAAGGAAGCAAACAATTAACAGGCCCCCTTCTTTTCGGGACTTTTTTCTTTGTCAGTAGAAAGCCATCTCAGTAAACAAGAGCTGTTACGAAATGTACCTCACCCCACACTATGCCTGTAAAGCATCTCCCTTCCCCCCGCTGCACAACCCATTGTACAAGAAATATTGTGATAGATACCTTTGGGTTGAGGCTGGAACAAAATGAGCCATCAGGAAGCATTCCATTTTCAGCTGGACTTGTTTCTGCATCTTTTGGAGGATTTCTGCAAACCCACAGCCCAGTATGGCATTTCCCATACTCTGTGATAAGAACCTCCAGGATAACGTTGGTGGCTCAGGGATCATCTGAGCCTTGAGCAGCTTCCATTCTGATCTGGATGTCTCTGATGTGTGCTTGTTCAAGCAATCGATGAGCCAGTCATGGGCCCCAGACTCATGGGAACTGGGGGAGTGCCCAAGTCAACCCTGCTTGCTTTTACAGCTTTCCTATAAAAGCTTCTCCACTCTTTGCCTGGGCAAGCCCATGCCCAGATCTCCAGCACACACTCCAGCTGCCAGAGGGGGTGGGGGGGCTCCCTCCTGCGTCTGGAACCTATTCAGCCAGCCTGAGATTCAGAAGGGCCTACCTGCTGGAGCTGAGGGTGGGTGAACCCACCCACTTGGGGCTAGCGAAAGATTGCATCTTGTCCCAAGGCTCTGCTGGACCTCGGAGGATTCCCACCATTGTCTTTTTGGGATTTGAGGGAGGTGTTTCAGACTGGGAGACTGGGAGAATGTTTCCCAGCAAAAGGCAGAGGTTGGGGTTCCTGGGATGTGGCTCCCCACAGACCAGGAGGCTGACACAGTTCCTCTCTCTGTCTTCCTGCTTTTCTCATGCAAACAGCACCCCTTTCCCATGGCTGCTCTAACATCCTTGGTAGCTTAACACAAAACACAAATGTATTCTCTCACAGTTCCCAAAGGCCAGAAGCCTGAAATCTGTTTCAATGGGCTAAAGTCAAGGTTTCGGCAGGGCTTTGGGGAGATCAGCTTCCTTGTCTGTTCCGGCTTTTAGACATGGCCAACGTTCCTTGGCTTGTGGACCCCTCCTCCACTTAAAGTCCATCACTCCAGTGTCTGCCCCATCGTCACATGGCTATCCCTTCTTTAACCTTCTTGCCTCCTTCATATAAGGACCCCAGTGGTTACGTTAAGGGCCCACTCAGATAATCCAGGACTACCTCTCTATCTCAAGATCTTCAACTTAATCACATCTGCAAAGTCCCTTTTGCCGTGTAAGGTAACATTCTCAGGTTCCAGGGATTTGTGGATGTCTTTGGGAGCCATTATTCAGACTCAGATAGTTATAGTTAAGACCTATGAGACAGTCTTCTACATCCCTGAGTGATACTTGAAGCAGCCTAGCAACAAAAAAAGCCACAAAACTTTGTCAGGAGAGCTGTTTTTGGGGCCACCCCACATTGACCCTTACCTCTGCAGCCCCTGGTTTCCTCTGGCCCCTGCACTTGTGTGATACCTTGAGAAGGGGTGGATCCACATGCCAGCCTACGCAGGAGCAAGAGGACCAGTGCTGCCTCTCCTTTCTTGGTACATGCCAGCATGGTCTGTGGCTGGGATGCTGCTCTCTGAGACTTGGGAGCTTACTTGTTCACCTCAGCAATGAACTCTGACCACATTTTGCCATTCCTATTCTCAGGCCCCTAGCAATCTCATTCCCAAACTCGATGACCCAGTCTTTTGCATGGCTCAGAGAACTGCCAGAACTGTTAGCACCTAGGCCCTCTGCTGGAGTTCACAGATGCAAATTCTGTTGCTTGCACTCCAAATCTGTGATGCAGGATTGTCTGCTATGTGGAATTAATTCAGGACTTGAGGAATCCTTGTAGTGCCACCTTACAAATGGGTTGGTGCCTTGGAAACCCAGTCCTGGCATCAAGGCCTTGGCATCTGTCAAGCAGAAGTGTGCCTGGGGTGTATTGGGGGGGGGGCAGTGTTGGAGCCGATTTCACCGATTTCTGTCCCTGGCTCTCTATTGTGCAACAACAGGCTCTTCTATTCCTTAAGACGGCAGCATTATTGCCAGGTCCTTCTATTTGCTCATAAAACTCCCATTTACACAGCAGTTTGCAGGACACATCAAATACAAAAATGGATGTGAGGTTTAGTACAGGGAGACCACAGCCATAATGAATCCTGGCAGGGTTTTTATTTTGGTTGCATCTCAGAAGCACTTTGCCAAGCAATGTATATGTGTTGAATGAATGAATGAATAAATGAATGAATGAATGCCGGTGGACTGACATGGCCGTATAGAACTGTAGTCACCCTTCAGAGAGAAGCCTCTGCAATGCACCTGAAAAGCAATGACCATCTACATGTTCTTCCTTTTCTTGTTACTATGTTTTACCCCACCAGGATGCCCACTGACCAGAAACTAAACAAAAAAACTCATGTTCCTGAATTCATCTTTTACTTGAGGGTAAAAGCTTGGGGTAGTGAAGTGAATGTTGGTGCCATATCATGTTCAAGCATTTTGGAATTATATAGCTCTAATTTAGACAACAGCAACAACAAAGAAAAGAGACTCCATCATCAGAATTGATAGGTTAGTAAATTTACAGATCACTCAAAGATGTTAAAACAAAAAAACAAAAAACTTTCTAAACTCTCGGTGTTCTTGGGAAGTAGCCTGCTGTCGTTGGGCTAGAGATACCAAGAAGAGCCAAGGCAGCAGATTGTGGTTGAAATTTAACACGGTGTGGGGGTGGTAGGCTGGCGGCACAGGGGCTGCTGTCAGAGATAACACACAGCCCGGAGAACCAGGGTGTAGATCAGTGCATCAGAGCCCTTTCCAACGGTCAGGAGAGGAGGCAGCTGCCCTGGGGGCAGGGAGGACCTCTGACCCACAAGTCCTGACCTACTGGCAGGAGAACCATTCCTGGTTTGCTTGCTGGGTCTGAGACATTTCTGGAGATGTGGGACTTTCAGTGTTAACACCCAAATAGCCCTGGGGAAACTAGGATGGTTGCTCACCCAAGCTCCAACTTGTCTATAGAATTATCTGGCTTTGAAAGAATGTCACGTGCTTTTATCTTGAATCTAAGGTCACTGGCATGCCCCTCTCATCCACTGGTTATTCTTGATGGTAAGGGGGCGGGGTGGGTAGGGTGAGGGGAGGGTGAAGGGGAGGTTCCTCCTGCCATTCCTTCCTGGAGAAGAGACCAGGGCCTTTCCAGGATTTTGGACTCTGACATGGAAGGAAAACACTTAAAGACCTTCAGGATTTCGTGAGAATAACAAGATTTTATTTTAACCATAAATTGTAATATTTGAGAAAATGCAGACATATTGTTTCTCAGAGCCCATACTAAGTCAGTGTGGAAAACAGCCTTTCTCTGGAGGCAAAATTGCACTGATTAACTTGAATTACAAAGGGAGCATTGCTTACCTTAAGCTAAGACAGCTCAATGAGACCTGCTGTAGCATTTTTATTACATGTGCAATTGTGCACATGTACCCTAGAACTTAAAAGTATTATAATAATAATAATAGGAACCTGAAAATCTAGACGTGGAGTGCTTGCGGTCTCTGGACACTCAGGTCTCTCCTCTTACCTCCTTTCACCTCCTCTCAGAGCCCATCGCTGACATTTAGTTCCTCTAGAAACACAAGCATAGCTCAGCTGCATGTCAGAAGTGCAAAAATATTTAACTTTAATTTTTTTATGTATATGTCTAAACTTGTCTTACACTTAAGGTCCCTGTATTAGTCTGTTTTCACACTGCTAATAAAGACATACCTGAGAATGGGTAATTTATAAAGGATAGGGGTTTATTGGACTCACAGTTCCACATGGCTGGGGAGGCCTCACAATCATGGCAGAAGACGAAGGAAGAGCAAAGGGACTTCTTACATGGCAGCAGGCAAGAGGCATGTACAGGGGAACTCCCCTTCATAAAACCATCAGATCTCATGAGACTTATTCACTACTACAAGAATGCCATGGTGAAAACCTGCCCCCAAGATTCAGTTACCTCCCACTGGGTCCCTCCTATGACACATGGGGATTATCACAATTCAAGGTGAGATTTGGGTGGGGACACAGAACCAAACCATATCAGCCCCTTTCTATTGGTGGCAACAAAATATTTCATTTTACTAACTAAAGATTAGTAATCTCTACTGTATTAAAACTTACGTTCATTAAGGTTCTAAGTTTCTGATGCCACTCAAGGATTCCCCACTCCCCTCCTTTCCCAAAATGCAGCCCAGGTGCCAGGAGAAGTGGGTGTGTGTGCCCTGTGGCATCTGGGGAGAAGGGGCTGGCCTCCCAAGGAAGAAGAGCTTCTCCCTCCTGGTCTTTAGGTGCCACCCTCATGGGGTCCCTGCCTAGGTGTCTATGGCTGGGGTTGCTCATGACCTGTTCTCACCACAGGCACAGCATTAAGGTCCGAGGTGACTTGTATGTGTCCCCAGATTGGCTGAGAAGTAATTCATTGTATGATTATAGCACAGTTTGTTTAGTCATTCACCTGCTGATGGCCATTTGGGCTATTTCCAATTTTGTAGTACAGTAGTCCCCCTCCTATCCACAGGATAGGTTCCAAGACTCCCCAGTAGATGCCTAAAACTGTGGACAGTACTGACCCCTATATACACTGACTGTGGATAGTATTGACACTATCCGTGGATTTGATAACTGAGAGGGCTACTAAGTGACAAATGGGTGGGAAGTGTATATGGCGTGGAGACACTGGAAAGAGGGAGTATCACTGTCCCTGGTGGAATAAAACAGGACATCACGAGATTTCATCATGATACTGAGAAGAAGGCACAATTTAAAACTTATGAATTGTTTACTTCTGGAATTTTCCATTTAATAATTTTGGACCATGATTAACCACAGGTAGCAAAAACCATGGAAAACAAAACTGTGGAAAAGCAGGGACTACTGTATCATGAATAAAGCTGGTAAGAACAAGTACAGGTCATTTTGTGGACAAGTGTTTTTACTTCTCTTTGGAAAGTAGAAGTATTGCTAAACCATACATAAGTGGATGTTTAATGTATAAGTAACTACTAAATAATTTTCCAAAGTGGCGTATGTTCCCACTAACAAAGTATGAGAATTGCTTCATGTCCTCACCAACAGTTTGTGTCTTTAATCTCTATAATTTGAGCTGTTCTAGTACATGGGAAACGGCATTTAGTTCTGGTTTTAATTTGCATTTCCCCAATTACTCATTATGTTGACTACCTTTGCAAGTGCTTATTGACCATTTGCAAAGTGTCTGTTTTAGGCCTTTTATTAGACCTATCTCTAGGCTGTTCCAGGCCTATTTTTATATTTGGCCATGTATTTTTTATTATGGATTTATAGAAATTCTTCATGTATACTTGATATAAGTCCTTTGCCAAATAAATATATTGTGAATATTTTCTCCTAGTCTTTGGCTTATCTCTTTTTCATTTTCTTTCTTTCAAAGAGAAGAATTTCATGAAAATAAATTTATTACTAAAATAAATGTATAATTAATGTATGAGTAGTGTTTTTTGTATCCTAAGAAATCTTTGCCTAACCCAAGGTAGCAGAGATCGTTTATGCTTTCTTCCACAAGTTTTATAGTTTTAGGCTTTTATTTTTAAGTCTATATTGATAAACCTAAAAGTGTGTTACTTAATTTTTGCATGAAAATTTTTAAGATATTATATGGTTGTTGATTTCTAATACCCACTTAGTTAGAGAATACACTTTGCATAACATGACATAGACAACAGGGATAAGCAATGGGCAATTATTTTTTAAAGAAATTAGAGAAAGACAAAGAGAGTAGTCTTTTATGGTTACACACATATTTTACCTATCCATGGTTGTTAACATCTTGGTATCTGCTTTCCATTCTCAATACCCAAGTTTCCATCTGATGTCATTTCTCTTCAACCTGAAGAACTTTCTTTCATATATCCTGGTGATGAATTCTCTCAGCTTCACTTAACTGAAAATGTCTATATTACCTTCATTTTTTGAATGATATATTTTACTGGACATAGAATTTCAGCATTTATTATTTCGTTACCACAAAATTTTGTCATCTCTGACCTCATTGCTTCTGATAAAAAAACCGATATGATTTATATCATTGGCCCCACACAGGTAATGTGCCTCTGGCTGCTCAAGATTTTTCTCTTTCTCTTAATTTTTCAACAGTTTGACTGTGTTGTGCATGTGTGTGTGAGTGTGTGTGTGCCCTCTGTGTGTGTGTGTTCATCTTCTTTGGAGTGTTTTGAGATCCTTGGGTTTATAAGTTAGTGCTTTTCATCAAATATAAGACATTTTCAATTACATTTTCTCTCTATTCCTCTTCTGAAATTATAATTACACATATGTTAAACTATGTGATATTATGCCAGATGTCGCTGATACTCTTTTATTAAAAAATATTTTCTATATGTTCTTAAGATTGGATAGCGTATATTGAGCTCTCTGCCAGTTCACTGACCTTTTCTTCTGTTGCCTCCAATCTAATGTTAGGCTTATCCACTGAAATTTTCATTTCTGAGTTCTAGAAGCTCTATTTGTTTTTGTTTTTTGTTTTACCCCAAGTTGTTGCTATTTTCTTCTCTGATTTTCTATCTGTTCCTTCATTATTAAAATATTTTCCTTTATGTCCTTGAACATATTTATAATAGCTACTCAAAAATTCTTGTCTACTAATTCCAACACCTAGAGTACCTTGGAGTTTGTTGCTATTAACTTTTTTTTTCTTTCGAGTATGAGTCACTTTTTTCTGTTTCTTTGCATGTTTATAAGTTTTTATTATATACTGTGTTTTGTGGATAATAGATTTAGAGATTCTGGATTCTATTGTTTTCCTTTGGCAACATCAATCAGTTAATTATGGAATGTCACCTTAAAGTTGCAGAACCTTGGTTTTATACTCTTTAGGGTAGGCCTATTTAGATTTTTCCTTAGTCTTAGGGAGGATCTTTAATCCTGGGGGCATAGTTATTACTCTTAGGTATGACCCCTTCCTAGGATTTTAGTGAAATGCCCAAGATGTTTCCAAACAGCTCTTTTGGAAAAATTGATAGGATTTAAACTCCAAAATCTGTCTCCCAATCATTGAGCAATGGGCAATTGGTTGAAATCATTATTCAGCTTTAAAAACTTTAGCTCTTTCCAGGATTTATCCCCCTCAATTTCCAGTCACTCTGGCAGCCCCAAACTCTGTCCTCTGACACCTCAAGCAATAAGATCACAGCTTTCTGCCTGGCGGACTAGAGAGAGCCCTTAGATAAAAACAGGGTAAGCATAGGAAGCACGGGTGCAGTTCCTTATTTCAAAGGTCAAACTCCAGTTTCTCTCTGCCAGTGCTTTCAATTTTTAAAAAATATTTTGTTCAGAGTTTATAAATCTTATCTGCAGGAGGATTGGGCCAGTGGAGGATACTCCATCATCATTAAAACTAGAACTTCTTCTATACCCACTTTATGGTTCTTAAAATGTATTCCAAAATTGACCTTCACAAAGATTAGACATTCTCACTGGCAAGAAATGAGAGTCCCTGATATCCTTTCCCCTTGGCAGCCAGAATTTCTTAGACCAAATTGCATAGAATGCCAGAACCTTAGAAAACACCAGACCCAGTACTTCCCAGCTCAAGGCTCCTGAATCCCAAAAGCGTTTATGAGGGTAGCACAGGGTCAAATGGCAGCTTCTATAAATTATAAGCACTATGTATTTTTCCAAGCATAAAATATACAGTTATTCATAACACAAATCTTAAATGTCATTACTTTTGGTTGGAATTACATCATAGTTTTCCTGCAGACATAGGTTTTCTCTTGCTCATCAGAAGCACTGCTTTATAGTTAAGTACATTTTTGGTCAACCTCAAATGGCAAGGTGTATTATTATTATTGATAAGTGACATGTGGCTTTTAGGACATAGGAACCTCAGAAAGAAAGTTTATTAGAAGAATTCTTGGTGGCCCTGGGCACTTTGAATAGTAATGAGTGTTTCTGGTTGATGAATTTAGATTTAATCATTGGATCTATCTTTGTTTATAAGAGCTGCTATAGCTTTAGCTTCATTATTTGCTGAGGCCCCAAGACATGAAAGCACTTGCCTGGAGTGACACAGACTGACACCCCTTGTGGGTTCAGAGATCAGAAACTAAGATCAGACTTTGTTCTGAACACAGCAGCATTTATAACTGTGAAGGACTAATTCTGATACCTACCATGTTTCAGAGACAAAATATAAAAGGGTAAACTTAGAGAAGAGCACTTTAGAGAGGCATCCAGAGAGAATGTTGATGATTGGATGGACATGACCTTTTGAAATGCCTGTGATTTCTGTTCCATTTCTTACCCCGGCAAGAATAAACCAATTGGAATTCAGGTGAATGAATTTTGATTGAGCACAGATTCATCATATCTTGCCAGGTTTGTCCTTTATTTGTCTCCAATGCTGATGCATCTGGATTCACATCAACTCCATCCACTACACTTACAAAGGCAAATGCTTCCCCACCTTCTGTAATCATGGAGGAAATGTATGGTATAGGGCAAGCACATAGGTGGCTTTTTCTTTATAACTCCTGTAATATCCAGGCCAATGTTACATATTCCTTAATATATATTTACTGCAGCAAAATTTAGATTTATTTCACCATATTTTTCCCCAGAAAAGCCAGCATCCCCATTTACAGAAGCAATCACAGAAACATGGAGAAATTCATTACAGTCTTAGTGCCTCAGAAGGACATAAATCAACTTTTAATTACCTCTACCTGGAGATGCTTGGTGCAATGTGCTGTGTGTGTGAGACTGAATGTGTGTGTGTGTGTCGGAGATTGAGTGTGTGAGTGTCTGAGAAGTGTGTGAGGGTGTGAGGTGGGTGTATGTGAGATTGTGTGTGAGAGTTAGCTACGCATCTCCTCTGTCTCCTCAGAGCCATTTCTTTTCTAATTGTGCTCTCAGACAACCAGCCAGCTAAGCAGGGTCTGGCGAGTCTGAGACATTCATGCTGGGGTTTGCATGAAGCTTGTCTCCAGGAATCCAGGACACAGTTTAGATTTGCTCAGACCCGTCTCAGCAGCCTGGAGTTAGGATGACCAGATCCTTTGAAAGGTAAAGAAGCTGCTGCATAGGAAACAGAAATGAGTCAATTTCTGGGAAGTTGCTAGAGTTTGAATATTTGTCCCCTCCAAAACATGTGTTGAAATTTAATTCTCGGTATGTCAGTATTGAGAGACAGTGCCTTTAACAGGTAACTGAGTCATGAAGGTTCTTCCCTTATGAATCACAGGGTTATCATAGGAGTGGGACTGATGTCTTCATAAAAAAGGAAGCGAGACCTGAGCTAGCAGGTGAGCATGCTCAGCCCCCTTGCCATTTGATGCTCTGTGCTGCCTCAGGACTCTATAGAGAGTCCCCACCAGCAAGACAGCCCCACTAGATGTGGCCCCTCCACCTTGGATTTCTTGGCCTCCAGAAGAAAATAATAAATGCCTGGTTTCGAGTGCTCTGTTATATGCCACAGAAAAAGACAGGAGTGGAGAGGCTTATAACCCCCAGGATGGCCACAGGCTTATATCCCTTTTATCCTCAGGGGTGAACCCTTGCCTACCTGTTTTTCCATCCAGCCAGGCCAGCACTGTAGCAGAGGGAAAACCCAAGGGCCCCATATCCTGGCAATGCAGCCAGGACTAGTGTCCAAAAATATACTGGGAATGGTGCTGTGACTACATGCTGTGAATGGAAACAGCCTGACTGCAGAGGGAGGAGTCAGGAGGGGCTTCCCAGAGGACAGGGTGGGGTGGGGTTCACCCCTAGTGCAGCCTCAGCAGGAGAATGGGGGGTTGTTCTCTCTCCACTGTGAACCTGGTGTTCTTCCCTTCTCTGGGGTCTGGCTCTTCTACTGAGAGAACAAGGTGGGCAACAGAAGTCACCAAAACCTCCTCCAGTTGTGCAATGCTAACCTTGAGAGCAGGGCCAGGCTGAGACAAACACAGAACCCAGCTTCTTGCAGATAAGATGTGAAAAGAGTCTGTTACTCATTCCAGGTCCTGTGGCACTTTTAGCAGAGATGGATGTTTCCAGCTGGGGCTTGCCTTAGTTTACTAGAGACACTGTAACAAAACACCTTAGACTGGGTAATTTGTAGGTAATAGACATTTATTTCTCAGTTTTGGAGGCTGGAAGTCCAAGATCAAGGCGCAGGCAGATTTGGCGTCTGGTGAGGGCCCACTCTGTACTTCATAGATGGTGCCCCTTGCTGTGTCCTCACAAGGTGGAAGGGGCAAGCAAGCTCTGCTGCAGCTGTTTTATAAGGGCACTAATCCCATCTAGGAGGCCTCCACCCTCATGACTTAATCATCTCCTAAAGGCCCACCTCTTAATACTATTACACTGGTAGTTGTCTCAACATATACATTTCAAGGGGACACATTCAGGCCTTGCAGGGCTTTAGATCCCACCACTTCATCTTATCCTCTTTCTTGTCCCTTCTCCCTTCTCCTGAAGCTTGAACTGAAAGATGCTTGATTTTGGCCTCTACTTTGTCCTCATTGCCATTTGTGACAAATGAAGAAATTCTATGTATGGTGAGGACAGCACCATGGAGCCCCTTAGACTTTAGACTTGTCCATTTGGCTCTGTGGATATGGGTTGTATTTTCTCTACTTTTCTTTGAGCTCTCCAAATAAAAACAGTTGATAATCTGAATACATTGACCATGTATTCTAGAGGTATACAGAAACATGTGTGGACTCTGAAGCCAAACTTTCTGGTTTAGTCCTAACTTCAACACATATTAGAAGTATGACTTGGGCATAAATTATCTGGGTCTCAGTTTTCTCGTCTGTTAAAAAAGACAGTGATACAGCCAGGTGCGGTGGCTCACGCCTGTAATCCCAGCACTTTGGGAGGCTGAGGAGGGCAGATCACTTGAGGTCAGGAGTTTGAGACCAGCCTGGCCAACATGGCAAAACCCCGTCTCTACTAAAAATACAAAAATTAGCCCGGCGTGGTGGCTGGTGCCTGTAATCCCAGATACTCTGGAGGCTGAGGTGGGAGGCGGAGGTTGCAGTGAGCTGAGATTGCCGCCACTGCACCCAAGCCTGGGCGACAGAGCAAGACTTCATCTCAAAAAAAAAAAAGAAAAGAAAAGAAAAGAAAAGAAAAAAAAGACAGTTATATAATAGCAAAGACATGGAATCAACTTAAATGCCCATCAATGATAGACTGGACAAAGAAAATGTGGTACATATACACCATGGAATACTATGAAGCCATAAAAAGAATGAGATCATTTCCTTTGCAGGCACATGGATGGAGCTAGAGGCCCTCGTCCTTAGCAAACTAATGCAGGAACAGAAAACCAAGTATCACATGTTCTTACTTACAAGTGGGAACAAAATGATGACAACATATGGATACTTAGGGGGAACAACACATATTGGGGTCTGTTGGGTGAGTAGGGGATGGAAGGAGGGAGAAGATCAGGAAAAATAACTAATGGGTACTAGTCTTAATATCTGGGTGATAAAATAATCTGTACAACAAACCCCCATGACATAAGTTTACCTATGTAACAAACCTGCACATGTACCCGTGAACTTAAAATAAAAATGAAAAAAAACAGTGATAGTACCTACCTCATAGTATTGTTCTTGGAATTATGTTAGCCATTATATAATTCTTAAAGAGTTCTTGGCATGTAGAAAGTACTATGTAAGTGACAGCCATCGTTGCTTTTGTAATGATTATTTTGCTTCCTTTCTTTTTGTTCATTGCACATTTAAATTTCTAAAAGAGATTCCAATGTCTTTATTATTAAGGTGAGAGGAAAGCCTGAATTTACCTTCCCCCTCTTCCCAGCTCTGCCCCTCACAGCCCCCAGACCTTTGCTTTGCTTGCTGGACCCAAAGACACACAATTCTTGTCCCTGTGCCTGGGAAGGGGTGTTGGGATTCAGGGCAGATGTATTTACCAGACTGTGGTTTGGGCCCCTGTGTTGTCTTTTAACTTATAAAATATCTGTATAATTATTTTTCATTACTAGCCACCACATTCCTTTGTTATAACTGCTTTTTTGAAAATGAATATATGCACATTGTAAACAATTTCAAGTGAAACCGCCTCCCCATCCCTTGTCTGATGGCTAGTCTCCCTCCCCTGAGGGCCGACGCCACTGCTTGCCAATTTTGACATAAGGCTTGAAACCAATGAGTGTCCAGTGACTGGGTGAGTTTGGTTCCTCCTACTTGTCTTGGCAATCTCAAACAGTTCCAGGAGAAGATTGTTTCTTGGAGAGTGGGTGGCAATGAAATAATAGCAATGGTGGTCAACCTTTATTGAGCAGGAATTGTCTGCCAGGCACCCTTCCAGGAGCTTTGCCTGAGGGATCTCGTGATCTTTGTGATGAGCTATCGAGGCGGCTACTGCTGCGACCTGGGATGGAGATGCCCAGGTGGAGGCCCAGAGAACGGAAGTGTCCTTCTAAGGCCTAACTAACAGATAGGGGACTTCCATCTGCTCCAAGGATATCTAGTTCCAGAGTCCACACTCTTGGAATCTAGAAAACTCCATCAGGACTAATTTATGAGCATCTTAGAACCACTTTCCCTGAAATTTCCTTTCTACAAACCTAGGAAGGGTTTTTTCTCCCTTCTTCCTAGCAAGTTCTTAGCTTTTTATGGAATAAGAAAATGCACAGAGTGGCCTTCATCCTGGACAGGCTCCTTTGATGTGAGCCACGAGGCACCTAGGGCTGGGTCATCTGTGGTCTCTGCAGGTGGCCACCACGTGTCCTTGGGCTTCCCCATCTGCTCCAGGCTTTGGTCTTTTAATTTCAAAAGCAGGGAAAGAGCAGGCTCACCTGAACCTTCTCCAGAGTTCTTTCTATTACTCAGAGTCCATCTAGCTAAACATGTTTTTAAAAATATTTATTTGCACTGGTGAGCCCATGGCCATGGTGGAAGTGGGGACATGGGTAAGCAAGAGTCCACCCTGCCCCACGGAGCTCACGTTCCGCAGGAGTGGAACACACAGCAGCCCTGGGCAAGGCACCTCTGGCCTGTCCCTCACCTGCTTTGCACCTGGTTATGCTTCCCTTACTCCCAGTAGCAAGTGCCCCAGGAACCCCGTGGGTGACCTACTCAGTGGTAGGCTGTGCCTGCTTGCAGGAGGGACCAGAAGGCTACCTGGGGTTACTTCTCAGGCATGAGCCAAGGGTCACATTATAAAAGCTATGCCAGATTCCCCATAGATGATCCTCTATCCAAAAATTAGGAGCTCTTAAGTCATAAGATGAGTCAAATCTACCCCCTTAGAACTCAACATAGCTATGTTCAGTTTTACTGGAAAATAAGTCACTGGAAAGCACTTTTTATGGTTTTCTAAATCTCTCTTATGCCCAAAGAAGTGGTTCAGCCCTGGTCTAAGGCACTGCTCACTTACTCTGATTGCCATCTTCAGCATCATCGTGATGATGATAATGATGATGATGATGATGATGATATAACAAGATAGTAGCAATAACAAGAGCTGCCTCCTCCCAGTTGTGAAATTATGTTTATGGATATCTGGGGCTCACTGTTCTCTTTAGGAATGACCCCTGAGGGCTCATGGCTCCCAGCCCCCAGTACCGCAGGTAAAGCAGTGACCCTATCTCCAGAAACGTGGGTACCACCACCACAGTCATAGCTTAGATGGGGCAAAGAGTGCTGACTCCAGAAGCCGCCATCATCACCGACTGTGTCGAATTTGGAAATGGGGACAGAAATGTACACATACCCATGGGCTTTGCAGAGAGGCCATCAAATCGACTGTTTCTTTTTGGTTGTAAAACCCTGAGGATCTCTCTGCATTTCTTCCCTTCCCACCCCCATTGTTTAAGCCTCAGTTTCTCCTTTGAGCTACCTGGGATTCTGATGGGCAGGATTGCTCGGTAAGCGCTAAGCTCTGTCCACAACTCAGCCATTTTGTGTCTCTGGTTTGCTTTGGATGGCAGTTTTCCCCTTATCCTGCCCAGATTTCCAGTATCCAAGCCCGTTATTTTCTTATATTCTTCTTTATGACCTGTATTTTTCCAAAGATTGGGAAGCAAAAATGTCAAGGTGATAGATGCATATAGATAGGTAAAAAGATGACAGTCAGTTTTAATCCTCATTTTGCTTTTCTGTATTTCCAAAATTTCTACAAGGAACATCTATTGTATTTGTAATAAGAAAAATAGTCTAATGAGGCCGGGCGCGGTGGCTCACACCTGTAATCACAGCACTTTGGGAGGCCGAGGGGGCGGATCACGAGGTCAGGAGATTGAGACCATCCTGGCTAACACGGTGAAACCCCGCCTCTACTAAAAATACAAAAAAATTAGCCAGGCGTGGTGGTGGGCGCCTGTAGTCCCAGCTACTCGGGAGGCTGAGGCAGGAGAATGGCGTGAACCCTGGAGGCAGAGCTTGCAGTGAGCTGAGATCGCGCCACTGCACTCCAGCCTGGGCAACAGAGCGAGACTCCGTCTCAAAAAAAAAAAAAAAAAAAAAAAAGAGAAAATAGTCTAATGAAAAGCAAGTTGGTGCCTTGAAGTTGAGTGTTTTGGTTGAATGTTGGCTAAGGATCCAGTCCCCCAGAGGTTAGTTAAAAGCTTTTCCTCCAGCCCTATGACCACAGGGGTAACAACTCAACTCCTCAGGCCATGAAATTTCAGAGGGTTATCTTTGTCCTGAGCCTCAGACTTCTGTGGATCCAACAAGGGAAGGGCTGTCCGGCAGTGGAGACTTGACATCTCACTGGCTCCCAATACTTGCAGCTGCAGTGTTTCTTGAGCACTACTGTGTCACACACGGCCTGAGTGCCTGCCCCCATCTTCAGAGAATGGCACCCGGGTCTGGTTGGCTCACCTCACTCAAAGTGGCAGGACCGTCTCTACTGCATGCATTTTCTGTGTGGTATGTTTTTCTTTCTTTGGTAGCTCATAAAATTTCCCTATCTGTGCTGGGCCTCTTGGTCTTTAATCTTCAACCTCTGCTGGAGCTGTCCCTATTTCTTTTTAATTATGCCTCTTTTTTTATGGAAGTTTCCTATTAAATTTTTATGACTATATAGAGCTGTGGATAGACTCCAACAAAAATGAAATCTTTATGGAATAGTCATTTCTCTCCAGGAGCCCCTGATAGATGTTCCTCTGTGGATAGACACACATGTGTGGTGGGGGTGGGGAAAGTCCCTCTGGTCTTGGCTGCAGCTGGGCAGGATGCGGGAGAGGCAGCTGAGCTGCTTATTCCTCAGTGTGAGGGCTGCTGGGAGCGTGGGGTGCAGCTCAGCTTGGGGGGTGGGGGTGACGTGGGATGCAGAGGATAAGAAGTAAATCTTCCCTAGGTGTAATTTCTTTGCCTTGGTGTCTGCTGAATTAGCACTGCTCCCTAATCCCAAGCCATCAAGCTACATGGCTGCATATGAGCGGAGACATGCCCCGTTACTCCTTATTCAGAACCTTCATGGCCAGGCACGTTGGCTCATGCCTGTAATCCCATCACTTTGGGAGGCCAAGTGGCAGATCGCTTGAGCCCAGGAGTTCGAGACCAGCCTGGGCAACATAGTGAGACCCTTCTCTATATAACATAAAAATTTAAAAAAAAAAAAAAAAGGAGAAGAAAAGAAAAGAATCTCCTGCCCAGGTCTGCCAGCTGAGCTTGCAAAAATGTTATCCTTGGGGCTAACATTCTGTATTAGTTCATTTTCTCGCTGCTGATAAAGACATACCTGAAACTGGGAACAAAAAGAGGTTTAATTGGACTTACAGTTCCACATGGCTGTGGAGGCCTCAGAATCATGGCAGGAGATGAAGGGCACTTCTTACATGGCAGCGGCAAGAGAATAATGAGGAAAAAGCAAAAGTGGAAACCCCTGATAAACCCATCAGATCTCGTGAGACTTATAAACTATCATGAGAATAACACAGGAAAGACTGGCCCCCGTGATTCAATTGCCTCACCCCTGGGTCCCTCCCACAACACGTGGGAATTCTGGGAGATACAATTCAAGTTGAGATTTGGATGGGGACACAGCCAAACCATATCACATCCTAAGTGACTGTCTGGGGTCACTGGACCCTGGCATGCTTCCCCCTGTGCCAGCTACCAGCTATGTGGTCTGGGAATGGCTTGGGATCCACAGATAGCTCTCCAGGGGGGTCACGGACCAGAGTTGCTGTTGCAGGGTGTGAGTCCCCTTGCCAGGGAGGGAAGGGACAGTCATTCACTTATAAACAGATGTTGGGACTCACCCAAATTGAGTGCTGGGCCTAGATCAGGGCACCAGGGATTTCTCATTCTTAGTCCCGTGGAGCTGATGTTCCTGAAGGAGGAAATGGAGAAAACTCAAGAAAGCTTGTAAACGAGTGAGGTGGTTTTAGATTGTGGTGAATGCTGGGGGGCAAACGGAGATATTAAGAGGGCTGCCAAGGGAGGAGGAGGGAGGGGTTCTCATTTCAACAATGTTCAGGGAAGGCTGCCTGCTGGGGCGATCCTGGAGCTGGGACAGGATGATGAGGGGCTTGCATACTCAGATCAGGGGCAGAGCCTTCCAGGCAGCAGGACCAACAAGTGCAAAGGCCCTGAGGTGGAATGAGTTTGTCAAGTTGAGAAACTTGTCAAGATGAGCGTGGCTGGGACAGTGTAAGCCATGGGGAGAGTGGAGAGACAGGAGGCTGGGTCAGGCATGGGAGATTTTTAATCCTTGCTAACTTACTTTAAATGTCTAAAGACACCATTTTGACTGCTGGACAAAGAATGGACTATGGAATTGCATTAAAGTCCAGAGGTCCAGTTTTTGGAACCACCAGGAAGGCAACACAATGCGCCTACTCTCAAAGGGATTTGGGGAATGGAAGAAGGTGGGGTTATTGTTTCATCAGGCTGCTTGGATTTAGACCTGTTTTCTTAAGCTGCAAGATCTCCTACAAAACTGGATCCTCACCTAAGTTTGGAGGACAACTGAGAAGTGATAGTTATGTTTGCCTCCCTGCAGAGAATAAACTCTCAGGAGAGGATGGAGCACTGCAGCTCTTACCTATGAAAGTTGATAAGGAAGGGAGTCTCCAATGTGAGTGTGGCAACTGTCTACTCACTGGAAGGAACAGTGATACATATCATAATAGGGAAGGAAATGAACAGCATCCATTATGTGATGGCGTCTATCCCATGTGTTAGGTCCTGTAACTGACAACAGCCGCCCTGAAAAGTATTATTGCATATGAGACTGGAGACCAGAGAGGTTAAGTAAATTGCCCAAGATCACATAGCTACTAAGAGGCAGAGCTGGGGTTTGGACTCACGTCGGCCTGACTCCAATGCCCTTGCATCTGTCACTCGTGCCCATAGCCCTAGTCAACACCCACATGCTAAAGGCGTCAGTGGTCCCCTCTAACAAAAGCTGTTATGGCTTCTCAGAGAGACTGGAGTCCATGGCTGGGAGAGGCAGGGGTACCCTGGGAGAACCATGTGTCATCAGGGTTCTTTCCAGGCCCTTCCAGCCACCCACCCATGGGCATAAGGCCTACCCCAGCTCTGCAAGGTTTCAAAAAAACATGCTTGACACTTGAACAAAAATTGG
The DNA here is from genome assembly GCF_000001405.40 of Homo sapiens. Taxonomy (NCBI): domain Eukaryota; kingdom Metazoa; phylum Chordata; class Mammalia; order Primates; family Hominidae; genus Homo; species Homo sapiens. The sequence continues at coordinate 87,557,629 of NC_000002.12, forward strand.
CTCCAAAACATAAGAAGAAAGCTGCAAAACCATAATTAGTAATTTAGATCAATAAAGAATAAGGACTATAAAGAAGAGAGTAGGGGAAGTAGGGAAAAAAAGGAACATGATGTATTTATTACCATTGAACAATACACTTAAAATGGTAAAGATGGTAAATCATATATGTATATTTTACCTCAATAAAAAAGAATTAAATTAAAAAAATAAGCAAAACAAACGATCTTATTTTACCTTCATTTATGCTTTCTCTGCCCTGCATCTCTGCCTGATGCTGACCCCAGTTTCTGACTAATAAGGTTTTCCTTCTGCCTGAAGAGCTTCTGCAAAGCTGTCCTTAGGACAGATCTACTCGCTAGGAATTCCCTCAGTTTTTGTTTGAGAAAAATATTTATTTCTGTCTCACTTTTTTAAAAATTAAGCTTTGTTTTGTTTTGTTTTACTATAATTATCTTTTTGTTTGTTTGTTTGTTTTGAGATACGGTTTGACTCTCCCACCCAGGCTGAAGTTCAGTGGCTCAAACATGGCTCACTGCAGCCTCAACCATCTGGGCTTAAGCAATCCTCCCAACTCAGCCTCTCAAGTTGCTGGAACCAGAGGCACACGCCAATACATCATGCTATTTTTTTTTTTTTACTTTTGTAGAGGTAATGTCTTGCTATGTTGCCCAGGCTTGTCTCAAACTCCTGGGCTCAAGCGATCCTCCTGCCTTGGCCTCCCAAAGTGCTGGGATTACAGGCGTGAGCCACCACGCCCAGGCCAAAATTAAGCTTTTTTATCTGGAGATCATTGTAAATTATTCTGCAGTTTTAGGAAATAAATCAGAAAATATACTGTGTGACCTTTATCCAGTTTCCCCTAAAGATAACATCTTATATGATAGTATAATAGCACTGCCAGAATATTGGCATTGATATACTTTTACTTGTCCTCATTGTGTGTATGTGCACACATGCATGTGTATTTAGTTCCATGCAATCTTATCCCACATGTAGGGTCTGTGTATCCATCACCACAGGGTTCCTCTTGCTGCCTTTTTATAGCCATACCTCCTTCCATACTCTTCTCCTTAACCCCTGGCAACCAATAATCTGTTCTTCATTTTTATAATGTTGTCATTTCAGGAATAATAGACTCGTGGTGTGCATGTCTTTTTTGCTCAGCACAATTCTCTGGAGATTTTTCCACACTGTTGGGCACATCATTATCCAATGCCCCCTTTTCTTGCTGAGTAGGACTCTATGGAGTGGATGCTCCACAGTTTATTTAATCAGTCACCGACCACACAGAGTGAGGCTGGAGAGAATGGCAGATGAGAGAGGGGAGGGGTCGGGACAGGGAAAGAAAACCCTCTCAGAGATGTCTCACGATATCTGCAGTAAAACCTATACTCTCAAACAAAAACTTTCTTGGTGGACTCTTTTCTTCTTCTGGGAAAAGAGGCAACATAAATGGACGCAGATCACCTGCCACATACACATGTGCATACTGATATGTCCCCTCGTGTGCTCATGTGTACACATTTTTGCACATGCATACACACACACACACACACAGACATGCCTGTGAAGAGGCCAACCCCAGTGTGCAGCAGCTGTGAGGGGGCTCTGCCCCTCCTCTCCTAGAATGGAACATACGTTCTTGTGAACATAGAGAGTGGCATTTTCTTATGTCGATGTAATGTGAACAACTCCTGGTCACCAGCCCCCTTGACCACTGATGCCTCTTCATGGGTCGGTGAGTGAGGGAGACACAGCCATTTATTCCTGGCATCTTGAATTAAACTTGAAATTACTGCCCACTAGAAATAAGGCCTGGGGCATAGAGTCTTATTATTAAAATCTTTTGTGGAAAGTCACAGGGCTCCAATCACCCCAAAAACATTGTGTCTATGGGAAAATGCACCTTGAGTTCCATCTTACAAATGGATTTGTAACAGTTTAGGTTTCATGTAAGCTGTTCACAGTATCCTAGTGATACATGTTTATGGTAAAAAATCTTGGAGGGTAAAGAACAAACACTGCCCATAATTTTTTACTGTATACACTTTTTTTTCTTATAAAAATGTTACTCTATTGCACATAGTGTTTTGAATCATGCCAATTTTTATTTGGCAATTATATAAAGGCAGAACTTTAAATATCACCCCCAACATTCTGTGCCTATGCCTCAGAGCCTATGCTTAAAAAGAGCAATCATATTCATGACTACGTATTTAATGCAACATTAGAAAACTAATGCAGTCATAACCCACAAGCGTTTTCCATGCCAATGACCTTTTTGCCATCTGGTTTAGTGACTGCAGAGTATCCCATTACATGGTTGTCTCACACCTTGGCAAGCATCCCTTAAGGATGGACACTAAATCATCATGGGGTTTAATACTCTCATCCACAGAAGAGACTCCCAAGCCAGTCCTCACATATCTTGCTCTCATTACTAGGGCAGAGGGTTCTAAGAATTTTCCTCTTATGGGCCACCACCAGAGCAGACCAGACTCACTGTTTCCATGCCTGCTGGCTCTTGCTGCCACCATGCCCTGATTTCAAATAACCACTCCATCCATGAGCTAACTGACCTTAGAAAGATATACTTTTAAAATGCATATCCTCCCAATTTTCAATTAAGGCCAAAAGGAGTAGTAGAGACCAAATATATCCTCTTTCATGAAACAAACAAAAAATGGCAAAAATATGTGAATCTACGAAAAGATACTAGAACTCTTAAGTGAATTTAGAAAGGATACAAGCTGTTATATCAATATTTAAAAAGTCAATTTCATTTATATGATTAACAATGAACAATCAGAAAGTGAAATAGAGAGTGTCATTTATAATAGTATCAGAAATATAAAATACTTAGAATAAACCTGACAAAGGATGGGGAAGACCTGTATACTGAAAACTACAAAGTATTCCTGAGAGGAATTAAATAAAACTTAAATAACATACCACATTCATGTGTTCAGTCTGAATTACAATGTCTAAAGTTAAACATACTGACCACACCAAGTGTTGGTGTGGATGTGGAGGAACTGGAACTCTTATATGTTGCTGGTAAGAATGCAACATGGTACCTCCACTTTGGAGAACAGATAGGCAGTTTCTTAAAAGTTAAACATACATTTACTATATTACTCAGCCATTCCACTCCTAAGTATTTACTCAAGAGAAATGAAAGCATTTGTCCACACAAACATTCTTACATGATTGTTAATAACAGCTTTATTTTCAATCACTTGAAACTGAAAATGATCCAAAGGTATAGCAACAGATAAATGGACTGTGGCATATCCATATAATGGAGTACTATCAAGCAATAAGAAGAAACAGACAGCTGGGCAGTGGCTCACATCTGTAATACCAGCACTTTGGGAGGTTGAGGCAGATCACTTGAGCTCAGGAGTTTGAGACCAGTCTGGGCAACATGGTGAAACCCCATCTCTACTAAAAATACAAAAAATTACCCAGGTGTGGTGGCGCACACTTGTAATCCCAGCTACTGGGAAGGCTGAGGCAGGAAAATTGCTTGAACCCAGGAGGTGGAGGTTTCAGTGAGCCGAGATCACGCCACTGCTCTCCAGCCCGGGCAGGCGACAGAGAGAGACTGTGTCTCAAAAAAAAAAAAAAAAAAGAGAAAGAAAGAAAGAAAAGAAAAGAAAATTAGCAGGGTGTGGAGGTGCACACCTGTAGTCCCAGCTACTCAGGAGGCCAAGGTGGGAGGATTACTTGAGCACAGGAGGTCAAGGCTGCAATGAGTTGTGATTACATTGCTGCACTCCAGCTTGGGTGACAGAGTGAGACTCTGTCTAAAAAAGAAAGAAAAGAAAGACTATTGATACGTGCAAGGATATGGATGAATCTGAGAACAATTTTGCTGAGCGAAAGAAAGCAGAGGAAAAAACATACAAGCAGCATGATTTCATTTACATAAAATTTTTAAAAATGCAAACTAACCTATAGTGACAAAAAGCAGAACAATGGGAATTTATAATGTTAAACACATATGTTTATTAGAAAAAAAAAGATCTACAGTCAATCATTCAGGTTTCCATCTTAGGAAACTAAAGAAAGAGGCCTAATTTAATTTAAGCCTGAAGCAAGGAAAATAAGATAAGTAATTAAAAATTAGAACAGAAATTAATAAAATTGTAAACAGGAAAACAGTAGAGAAAAATCATAAAACAAAAGCTGGTTCTTGGAAAAGATCAATAAAATTGATAAACATTTAGTCAGGCCAATGAAGAGAGAAAAGACACAAATTATTAACATTAGAAACAAAAGAGAGGTCATCACAACTGATCCCATAGACATGAAAAGGTTAATTAAGTAATACAACAAACAACTTTATGCTCATAAATATAATTAAGGTGAAGTGCAACAATTCCTTGAAAGACACAAACTATTAAAACCCCCCAAAGAGAGTAGTCTTATATTCGAAGAGATTGAATAATTTAAAACCTTCCAGAAAAGAGAGCACTAGGCTCAGATAGTTTCACTGGTACTTTCAACAGAATACTTAAAGAGGAAATAATAACAATTCTCCACAATATCTTCCAAAAAATAGAGGCAGAGGCATTGCTTCCAAACTCATTTTATGAGGCCAGTTATCTTAGTCTGTTTAGGCTGCTGTAACAGAACACCACACAAACTGGGTGGCTCATAAACAATAGAAATTTATTTTTCACAATTCTGAAGGTTGGGAAGTCCATGAGCAAGGCACTGGCAGATTTGGTATCCAGTGAGGGCCTGCTCTCTGCTTCATAAATGGTTCCTTCTAGCTGTGTCCTCACATGGTGGAGGGGATGAGGAGTCTCCCTTAGGCCTCTACTATAAGGGCATTTAGGTCTCTTCTACAAGGGATCACCCATTCATGAGGGCTCCGCCCTCATGATCTAATTACTTCCCAAAGGCCCCACTTCTTAATACAATCACCTTGGAAGTTAGAATTCCAACATATGAATTTGGGGGAACACAAACATTCAGACCATAGCACAGTATATTACCCTAACACCAAAACCTGCTAATGACATTTTAAGAAAGGAAAAACTACAGACCAATATCTCTCATAATCATAGATACAAAAAAATCTTTGAAAAAATTATTGAATCATATTCAGTAATATTATATAACATAACCAAGTGGGATTCATTCCATGTATACAAAGCTGGTTTGACATTCAAAAATCAACGTAATTTACCATATCAATGGGCTAAAGAAGATAAATCACATGACTATATCAACTGCTAGAGAAAGTATTTGAAAAAAATCAATACCTATCTACAATAAAATCTCTCGGCAAACTAGAAACAGAGGGTATCTCTTCAACTTGATAAAGAACATGCACAAAAAGCCTGCACTAAACGTCATACTTATTGGTGAGAGGCTGGGCATTTTCCCCCTAAAATCAAGAATAAGGCAAGGATGTCCTCTCTCACCACTCCTATCGAACATCATACTGGAAGTCCCAGCTACAGCAATAAGAAAAAGAATTAAAAGAAAGATATACAGACTGGACAAAAAGAAACAAAAATGGTCTTTATTAGTAGATACACTGTCTATGTAGGAAATGCCAAATAATCTGTGCACACAAAAAAAGGTGAAAACCTCATTGGAAAAGGTGAGTATAACAAGGACACAGCATACAAAGAAAATATACCAAAGTCAATTGCTTTCCCATATACAATGAACAATTAGAATTTTAAATGAAATTTACATTACCATTTACAATAGCATCCCCCCAAATCAGTATTTAGTTACAAATTTGACACAATCTATGGAAACTGTAGGCAAAAAGCTAGAAAATACTGGCAAAATAAAATAATCTAAATAAATGGCAAGATAGTCCCTGCTTATCTGTTGGAAGACTTGGTATTGTTAAGATGTGAAGTATTTATAACTTGATCAGAGCAGTCCAATTCAAAATCCCAGCAGGTTATTTTTTAGATATTGATAAACTGATTCTAAAATTAATATAAACAAGCAGAAGGCCTAGAATAGCTAACACAATACTAAAGAAGATCAAAGTTGGAGTACTCAGAGTCCTTCATTTCAAGAATTACTATAAAGCTATAATAATCAAGATGGTGTGGTATTGGCAAAAAAAGGACACATAAATCAACAAATGGAGATGCCAGAAATAGACCCCCCCACACAATATAATAACCTGACTTTTGACAGAAGCGCAAAGGCAACTCAATGGAGCAAGTGAAGTCTTTTCACCAAGTGGTGCTGGAACAATTGGATGTTCATAGGCTAAATGAATCTGGACACAGAACTTGCAACTTACACAAAAAATAACTCTAAATGGATCATAAACCTAAATTTAAAATGCAAATTTATAAAACTTTTAGAAGAAAACATAAGAAAAAAATTTATGTGACCTTGGGTTTGGTGAGGAATTTTTAGATACACGACCAAAAGCATGAACCATGAAAGAAAAAAAAATAGAGAAGTTGGACTTTATTAAAATTAAAAACTTCTGCTCTACGAACAATTCTGTTAAGATAATGAAAACACAAGCTGCAGACTGAAAAGAAATATTTGCAAAACATGAACCTGATAAGAAACTTGTATCCAAAATATTTTAAGAAATCTTAAAAGTCAACAAAAAGACCATAAGTAATCCAATTGAAAAAATGAATAAATCTGAACAGACACCTCCAAATCACCACCAAAGATGATATTTGTGTGTGTGTATACATATGACATATACATATGTACATATATGTATATATATATATCTTACAAATGGGAAATAAGCATGTGAAACATCATCTGTCATTAAAGAAATGCAAATGAATACAACAATGAGCTTTCACCACACACCTATTAGAATGGCTAGTATACAAAAAACCAACAATACCAATTGCTATGAGAATTTAGAAGAATAAGAACCCACATGCGTTTCTGGTGGGAAGGCAAAATAGTACAGCTACTTTAAAAGATGTTTGGAAGTTTCTTAAAAAGTTAAATATTATTTTACTGTATGAACCAGCAAGCATACTCCTAGATGTTTACCCAACTGATTGAAAACTACGTCCACAAAATACCTGCATGCAAATGTGTGTAGCAACGTTATTCATAACCACCAATATCTGGAAAACCAGGATGTCTTTCAGTAGGTGAATAGATTAATAAACTGTAGTACATGCATATAAAGGAATACTATTCAGAGATATAAATAAATGAACTATCAGGCTATGTAAAAACATAGATAAAACTTAAATGGATATTGTTTACTGAAAAAAGCTTATCCATTTATATTATGTTCTAGAAAAGGTAGAATTATCGAGATGGTAAACGGATCAGTGGTTTCCAGGGGCCTGTAGAGATGGAAGAGTAGAGTAGGCAAAGCACAAGAGATTTTTTTTTAGAATGGTAAAATTATTGTGTATGATACTGTGGTGGTGAATACATAACACTGCATTTTTCAAAACCCATGGAATTTTACATCACAAAGAGTGAACCTTAACATATGCAAATTAAAAAAATAATTAAAGATGTTGGGGGATTCCAAGATGGGATGCTGAGTATGACAGAAGACTAACTGTATTACAAATGTATAAAATAATTCCACTGAAGGGGTGGGAGGAAAGCGTGCTGACCAAGTGGCATTGGAAGTGAGTGGAGACTGTAAGACTAAAAACATAAGGAACTGTCCACAACCCTGTATTCTAGTAGATAAAGCTCTTTCCCAAAAGGATATAAATTCTGAAGCCACTAGTCACACACTCTGAAATGTGAAGTCACTGGATGGAGGATGGTGGGAGCCAGGTTTATCTTTGTTGGAGGGGAGGCTACCAACAAGCAAGCAGGAAAGGTTGCAGTGATTCATATGGCAGTGGTTAGTGTTGGGGACATCAACGTGGAATCGAGTTCAGCTCAAAATAGATGCAGACGGATATGTACAATACACTTACAGATATGGGTTGGTATATATTTCCTTGTTCTGTCTCCTGACAGGGCCTGAATAAGTGTCATCCCAGTAGCAATGAGCACACCTACTGTTTACGTCTTAGTTTTTGATGCTGTTCTTTTTTTTTTCTTTGTAACATTTAATAAGCTCAATCTACATCCAGAATAATTTACATGAAAGGACAATATTTATTTAAACAGAGCTCAGTGGGGTAGCCATGGTATCATCAGAGTGCATCCAGAGGAAAAGAGGGAGGAAGGGCCGAAGAAGACACAATCAACGGCACTCCCACACTTTTACTGTTTGAGCCACGCTGCCAGTGACCACATAGGGTGCTGTCTTGTGGAAATCCAATGAGGTAACAAAGTGTTCATACGCATTGAGGGTCTTCATGCATTGCCTGTTCTTGTAATCCCATACGTGTAGGGTCTTGTCATCAGCACAACTCAAAATAAATTTCCCCCCAGAACTGAACAGAACTTCACGTACCCAGTTACCATGACCCACGAGGGTCATGAGGCACATGCCGGTACTGACATCCCACATCTTAATAGTCTTGTCCCTGGATCCAGACAGCAAGAATGGCCCAGATTTACCACTATTTTTTAGTCTCAGAGCCTGTTGCTTCAGAGATGGAGGAATATGAGCTTTCTGGAGCCCAGGAAATGCATTCTACCACATGCTCATGTTCTCGGAGCTCACCCTTGCATTGCATTGTTGCTACAACCCATACACGCACAGTCTGGTCATTGGAACAGCTGGCTATCAGAGTGCCATCTTGATTTGGTTGTACAATATGTACCCATTCTCTCTGTCCTGTGAACATCTTCACACAGTAGCCAGTTTGCACTTCCCACATTTTTATAGTTTTATCCCTTGAGGCGGACACTATATGATCTCCACTGGCCATGATGACTACTGAGGAAACATTATGGTCATGGGGAACCATGACTATGCATGGTTCTGATGCATTCAAAGTCCTGAAAATCCCATGGTTTAATGGTCATAGCTGCAGAACAGGAAGCCAGAAACTTGCCACTGTGGTCAAATGAAATGTCCTGTACAGAGTCTCTATGTCCTTCCTTTAAGAGTTCTTTCAAAATCTCCAGTCTCATAATCCCACACCTTAACTGTAGCATCCTCTGAAGCAGAGACCATAACACTGAACACAGGATGGAAAATGACTCGAATGATTGGACTCCTGTGACCACTCAATGTGTATTTTTTCTGGCAGAAAATACCCATTCTTTTGGGTCTTGTTTCTGACCAAGAGGTCCACCTGACGTAAATTCTTCTTTTGCTTCATTTAGCGTTGATTCTAATTCCATAAACTTCTTTTGTAATCTAATAACAGATGTCCATTTTTTCCCCAAAACACCAGCCTACTTTATTTCTTCATTCATATCTAATTCAGCTTCCTTTTTAAAAACTGAATATGCCTCTTCGTAGCCATTTGAACGAAGATAATCTGCTTTAGCTTGATTTAGTTCATCTCGTTGTCTCTGGGACAGCACCATCTTGGCTGTAATGTCAAGCTTATCTCATATAGTGGTATGTCCCTCCTTTGGGAAATGAAAAAGCTTTTTGATCCGTGGACGTATAATATAAATATGACACTAAGTGTCTTCCACTCAGCGGAAAATGATTCTTTTACAAATGAATCCAACTAGTAACCAGAAGATATTCAACAAGTAAGATTCATTCTACTCTCCCGGCCGCTGGATTCTGCCACTGCCCCGCCGCTCCAGCTCTGTCTGTCACAGGAGCTGCCCCAACACCCTGACGTCACTGTGCCACCACCGCCACTGCCCCCACCACCGCCCCCACTGTTCTTAATACCATTTAATAAAAGGAAGTAAGCCTTCCTGGAGAAATGGCTGATTCTAGGACAGGCGGGGAATGTACAAAATGAGCCTGGAGGAGCATTTTACAGGGCCAGAAAGTAAGAACGTGTTCAGAAGAACAAACAATAACACACAGGTCAAGGAGACACAGTGACCACTTGAAAAAGCTTTCAATGGCCTAAGCTGGAACAATTTGAGCAATAAAGTAGTATTGGATTATAAATAACCCAAGTATAAAATAAATATGCATGATTCCATACTGATTTACATTTATATATTTAGTTAATCACATACATATGAATAAGTAAATGGCAGAGAATAGGCACATCTCCAGAGTGGTGGAATTTCAGGTAATTTATGTAATAGTGCACCCCCAAGGAGGTGGAGCATAATTCTCCCCTCCTTAAATATGGGCTGCACACAGTGACTTCCTTTCAAAGTGTACAGTGTGGAAAGGGGGCAGGGGAGAAACTTCACAGTGGAGACGTCCAACAAACACTGCCTCAGCCAGATGATCATGGTCAACATCACGAGTGACGTCATGTTGATAGGATGTGCTCCTGATAGAATGTGATGAAAGTAGCACTTTACTTCTGTGGTCTTCTCCCAATAATCATAGGAGAAAACACCAGGCAAATCCCAATGTTGGGACATTCTACGAAATACCTGACTAGTGTTCCTCAAAACTGTCAAGGTCATCAAAAACAAGGAAAGTCTAAGAAATTGTCACAGCCAAGAGAAGCCTAAGGAGATGGGACAACTCAGTGTAACATGGTGTTCTATGGTGGAAGGACAGCTGGGTCAACTAAGGATATCTGAATGAAGGGTGACTTTAGTTAATATGCATCAACATTGGCCATTAATTGTGACAAAGGTACCTCATTAATGTAAGATAGTAACAATGAGAGAAACTGGGTGTGATATCTAGGGAAACTCTCTGGACTATTCTCAACTTTTCTGGAAATTTAAAACTATTCTAAAATAAAAAGTTTATTTTTTTAAAAAGGAAGGCAATCCCCTTTCTCTCTCCTCCCTCTTTCTCCTTTCCCTCTCTTTCCTCATTTCTCCCTTTTCCTTCCTCCTCTTCCTCCTGCCCCCTCCTCTTTTCCTTTAACAATAACAATAATGTGTAGTCCATTCTCACACTGTGATAAAGAACTACCTGCAACTGGGTAATTTATGAAGGAAAGAGGTTTAATTGACTTGCAGTTCCACAGGCTTTACAGGATGCATGGCTGGGAGGTCTCAGGAAACTTGCAATCATGGCGGAAGGTGAAGGGGAAGCTAACACATCTTCACGCCGGAGAGAGAGAGAGATAAGGGGGAAGTGCTACACACTTTCAAACAGCCAGATCTCGTGAACTCTATCAAGAGCACAGCAAGGCGGAAGTCCACCCCCGTGATTCACTTACCTCCCACTAGGCCCCTCCTCCAACACTGGGAATTGTAATTCAACATGAGATTTGAGGGGGGACACAGAGCCAAACCACATCAAATGGCATCACACATGTGACCAGTACGTTGTCGTTTCCAGCTCTCTTCCCTTGCATTATTCTGCAGGAGCCCTTGCCACAGTGCAGTGCTGGATGTGGTATTCTTGAATTCACAGTTGGGCCAGGGAGGTGAAATGACCCACCTAGGAGGTAGCAGAGGTGCTAGCAGCACTCCCAAGACTCATAGTGAATTCTCCTGGGCCTGTCCGTCACCCTGTTATGCCACTTTTCATTTCCCTCTGATCACAAATGACTCAGCACACAGTGTAAGTGCTACAATTTTACTCCAGAATTTGACTTGTATTGTCCTACAGACTGCAGGTACCCTCTTGTTGCTCCTTTCCCTTGAAAAAAAATACATCATCTCAAAAGAACGCAACCAGGAGCTGGCAATGGCACTGGAATCCCTTCCTGGTCACAGAATTGATGCTCATCTGCCCAGTGCATGGCACTTTTACAAGAAATCTTATTTGGTCAACCCCCCAAATATCACAGAAGGACATTATTATTATCTCCAGTCTGCAGTTGAGAATGCTGAGGCTAGAAAGTGGTTACCACTAAAAGCAAACCTTTTCTCTCTTTCCCATTGCCTATCCACCCTGACTCTGGGCTCTGACCCATACCCACCTGCTCAAGGTCCCAGGTAGGAGTTGCCCATTCTTTTAAGTATGAGTTCATTCATACACATCACCATGTGAGGCTTGATGTGACCTCAGTAACAAGCAGGTCTCATCTGCCCTGTGCATGTGAATGTGCCTTAGGAAGCTTATCAAATCCCAAAGGAGAAATTACATCCTCTAGGAAAAGTACAGTGAGGTGACTGTCCCGTTTCCTTTACTGGCTCTGGACCACAGCTGAGTTCCCATGCACGCACTGTGGCACACGAGAGTGTGGGCAGAGGCACTTCTGCTGAGTGGGATGAAACATCTTAAGTGCTCTGAGGGTTGAAACTTTGAAGAGGTTGAGATCTGTGAGAGCTGAAGAACCTTTGAATCTCCCTTCAGCTCTCCCTACCCCAACCACAGCCCTTCTCTTGATGTAAAACATGTGTTCAGATAGAAAACAAATGAGGCTTACTTCTATGCCAGTAGGACTGTTTGGCTTTAAGCTTCCCCAGTGGTTGAAAACAGCAATCTCCGAGATTTGCCCAAAACTTTAAATGGAAGTCACTCCCATGGGTCACATCCATGGATTTGTGAGATAGGGCAGGAGGCTGTGTCTCTGCTACCCAGCGGTGGGAGCAGGGGTCTGTGCAGCCTGATTGTATTGGGGATGGGCCCCTCGTCCAGTTGCCTATGAGGATAACCTGCGGAGAAGATCAGATGGAGATACCTGGACTTATGCAGAGGCGTGTTCGGGTTAAATAGAAATGCCCAGGGTCCAATAGAGGGAACCTTCCAACAAGTGTATGAGTTGGCCTCTCACCCGACGCTGGCCACCCAGATGACAGCTTCTTGGACATGATGAATGGCCTCACTTCCACCAGAACATCTTCCTGCCAGGCCCTGCTGCTGCTTCCCCAGCTGTGTGGCCTTGGATGAGTAACATGGCCTCTTATTAAAGAAATGGATGAAATACTTTCTAAAGAATCTTCCAACTCTGAAGATCTGTGACATCTTGTCACTGAATTAATAGGAAATCAGCTCCTTATAGATTTGGTCTATGTTAGGAGACAACCTCTGTTGATGGGCTGACCGAATGTCTGAAGTGGGAAGGATTTGGGGACCAAAACAGGTAACAAGAGTAGACGAACACAAGAAATTCAGGTTGAATTAACCTTCAACAGATATTTATTGAGTAACTTCTACATGTAAGTCACCAAAATCTGGGAAGGGGAAATGGATAAAAGTACGATTCTCTCTCTGGAAAGCCTATAGTCTAATTAATTGATGTATTAAGTAATGCTGGGTGGAGGAACAATAACCCAGGACTTGTATAAACAATAGGAAACTCTGGGGGAAGAGCAAGGCTAGAAGAGACATTATCTGGGAGGCAATTCTAGAGCAGGTAGATTTCAGGAACAGGACAATCAAAGAAAAGGAGAGTGGCATTCACACATCAAGTCTAATAATATGGCCTTATTTTATGGTCCACCTGAGTACTGCAGAATTTAGCCCTAGGTACTACCAGGTCCAAAGCTGCTTCTTTAAGCTACACTTTAAGCTCCTGTCACTAGAAGGGGCTGTCAGGGTGCCAGGGATTTTGGTAGGTTCCGTGCGGACTTCCCTAGTCCTAGAGGACGTTGGAGTCACTGGGGTGTGAGGACATTGGAGAGACAGGAATAGAGTTCCACGCTGCGATGAGGAGATGGAGCCTGATGCAAAGCCACAGGGAGGCTGGCGTTGTTGGGGTGGGAGGAATTCCCACCCAGTGGGAGAGTTTTACATTGAGGACTACATACCTGGTCAGGGTATAAGGCAAAGTGGGCTCCCACTCCTGACATGTTCCTCTTTACCGATGTTCCTTGTGAACTTATTCCCCACCTAGGACAGCTAACACTTTAAGCTCTTGACTGTCATTTATACTTTATTCATGTGAATGAGTTTTTAGTTTTCTCTTGAAAGCAAGTTGGGATACTAGGAAAGTTGACAAGAGTTTGAGTTTCTATGTTGGTTGGGAAAGAGTGATGTCTCCACATGTAATTTGTAGAGGGTCCCATCAGTTTCCAAAAGAGGAAGTGGGTGTTTGTCTTGCTTTTGAGACATTTTGGGAGACTTAGACACAATATAATTTCTATTGAGAACAAAGTAGGGTTAGGATTTGGAGAAGGAAGACAGATATTTCCTTCTCTCTGCTAAAGAGATGGTCTGGAGTAGAAAACTTGTGGACTGTGTTTACAATTGTGGAGTACTACTCTTGGTTAAAACAATAAAGCAGAATCGATGTCTGTAGAACAGAGCTGGAAGGGGCCTCATGGTTGGTTTTCAAGGTAAACTAACCACAGACATCAGTTTTCCACTCCTCTGCCTTTTTAGCATCTGGGTTCATCTTCCAGGAAGGCCATAACAAAACTCCACAATCTGAGGATCTTAACAACTGAAATTGATTGCCTGGAAGTTCTGGAGGATGAAAGTTCAAGGTCAGCTTGGGCAGCGTAGGTTTCTTCCGGGTGCCATGAGGGAGAATCATTCGTGCTTCTGGTGTTTGCTGGCAGCCGCTGGTGTTCCTTGGCTGGCAGAAGCACCACCCCAACCTGTCTCTGCATCTTCACAGGGCATTCTCCCTGTCCGTGTGTGTGTCTGAATTTCCCCCTTTTATAAGGACACCAGTCATGTTGGATTAGGGGCCCACCCTACTCTAGTATAATCTCATCTTAACTAATTATACCGGCAATGGTACTAGTTCCAGATAAGGTCACATCCTGAGGAACTGAAGGTTCAGACTTAAACACATGAATGTGGGGGAGGAGACGCAACTCAGCCCATAACCACATTCTTTCTACACAGGGAGTTCAAGTTAGAGAGCCCATCAAATCATGCAGGGAAAGGAGATGAAATCCTCTGGGTCCGTCACTGTTTGAGGCAGCCCTAGACACATGCTGAGCTATTGTCCCCACTTTGCCAATGCAGACTAAGCTTGTGTCCATGGAAAAGCCCAGTGTGAACTAAGATCACTGGATGCCCACCTTGGTGCTGGGGGCCGGGGCCCACACAGAAGTCCCAGGCCCAACCTGAGGGGAGCAGGCTATACCAGGCCGAGGATGGCCCCCTTGATTTGGGTGCACACTCAAATGTACAAACTACTGCCTGCACCACAGAGACTGGCCCGGAGGTGTTATCTTCCCAGAGGGCTGGGCAAAGGGCTATCTTTGAACCAGCTGTTCCCACTCAGGCAAGAGTGGCTTTGCTGGGCCTCCACTTCCTCCACTGTAAAACGAGGGTGATGCTCTGCCCTGCCCGACCCATCTAGGGTCAGGTGAAGATCAAATGGGATAATAAGATAGAATGTCTTTTGAAAGACCCACACACGAAGGTGGCATGAGGGATTGTCTTTATGACTATCATGTTCTATGCAGCCCTGACTGTTACGTGCTAGCTGGCTGTCTCATCTCCTCGAGGTGTCCTGCGTGCCTGCTGATGGGGATGATTCCAATGACTAAAAGGTACCTGGCCTTCTCCATGCCCAGCTTTACATCCAGTAGAGGCTCAGGCCACCCTCGATGGCAGCCTGCCCGCTGCGGGCCTGCTTGTCTGCTCAAAGCAGAGGTTGACTTGCGCCCAGGTTGCATTCCAGAAGTCCTGGCCTGCTTTCTCCACATGGTTAGCTTCGAGCAGTGAGCTTGGGAGCAGCCTTTCTGCGAGTTCTGCCAGGTGAGCCAGCCCGCAGGAGTAGGGGGTATCCCAGGCACGCACCTGTGGCTCAGGTTTCTCCCTTGTGGCCCGCTCTCTCCCCACTGCTGTTTTCCAGAGCACCTCCATCCTGCAAGATTGACAGCTCACTCTTGGTAGGGAACAGAGTGTAGGAAGTGATCGTTTCAAACTTCTCTTGCAGCTCCATCTGCCAAAAGCCCCTCTACCAGTTGCCGTATTTACCCTGGCTGCCAGGCCTCTCTCAGCTGCCCTAAGAAAACAGATTACCGTCCAGAGCAAAGTCCTCGTGTGTTTCCTTTCTGGAGATGAATCAAGTTCTGAAAGAAAGGTTTCCTGTAGCCCATTACACCATTTCAGTTTGTTTTATCTGTCTCCACCTGCAGAGCAGGGAATTAACCTGCTGCCCAGGGCCGGGCCAGCGAATGCTTGGAAGGAAAGCAAAGCGCACGGGTGTGCATTTTTTGACAACAGACCATGGCCTTGTTCTCCTCAGCAGAGCATTGTCCCCATGAGGCCCAGGCCCAAATCTGAATAGGACTTTGTGTAACTCGATCTGTTTTCCTTCTTGGCTATAGTCTCTGTGCCAAATTTAACTGTGGTCTGTATATATAGTGTTGTGGGAGGGTGGGGGTAGACCAGGGAAGGTTGGGGGAGGGGAGTATATCCATGCAGTTTTTTTCCTGTCTTCCTTTTTTTGTGCTTGCCTGCTTTGCTCACTGTTTGCTATATATAACTCAACATGACTGTCCTCGCATCTCCAGTCATTAACCCTTTAGGGATAACTAATGCACCTCTTTATGTAGGCCCCTGGCTGGGAAGCGCTGGCACTGTTGGAGTTAACGACTGGCCCCTGGAAAGTGAACTTCCCCAGAAGTGCTTGTGAAGCAATTAACAGGGCCCCACTCAGATAGTAAAAATATCCCCTGGCTTACAAACAAGCAGAGAAGCGCCTCCAAGCCAAGAGTCACCGCTGTGCCCCAGGCATGTAGTGGGCGCTCCCTCTTTGAAAGTCTTGTATCTTAGACTTTGCAGAAATGCTACGAAAGCTGGTGATGCAGCAACGATTTCAGGGGAGACTGAAATCTATTGTCCAACTGAAAGCCTGTCAGGGCTGGGCCTCTCTCAGGAGGTGAACCATCCCAAGGGTCATGGAAAGAGCTACTCATTGTGGGCCTGGGGTGACAGTGACCCATCCTGGGTGAACAGAAGCCTCACTTCACTTTGCCGGAGGGAGACAGTAGGCTGACAAACTATTGTGGAATCTCCTAAAATTGGTTGCTAAAGGGAGCTTCTCACCAGGGCCAGCTTGCCTGGGCTCTTCTTTCAAAGGGTGGAGTGTTGTCTGCCAGTCCCCAGGCTCAGGGGATGCAAGTGAAAGGGCTTCGGGCTTTACTGTTCATTTCCTCAGAATCATAGAAGTGCCGAAAATTACAAAACTGCGGTCTCCCTGCAAGGGACTCAAGATGTCTTGGGTCATCTTAGGCTATATTTAGAATGGAAAATGTGTTGGCTCTGAGGAAACAGGGTATGTGTCCTTCTCCAAGCAGGATGCTATGAACCTTGCCCCATAGGCCCTCCTACCCATCCTCACAGAGCCCTGAAACTCCTCCTCCAGGAACCCTTCCAGCCAGTGGGAAGACCCCACAGATAGGACCCAGTTTCCCCTGTGAATCAACTTCTCTAGCACGTCCCACTGCCCAGGGCTGGGAAGGTCCAGTGTGCCCAGTGTGGCACTGTTTTCCAGGGCTGGATGCATGTTTGGTCCTCCAGTGGGAACTCTGCTATCGTCCCTGCTTCACCAGGAGTGATGATGGGGACAGGCACGGCAGAGAGTGGACACAGGGATCCTGGCCTTAGGGGGCAGTCACTCATCCAGCTCACACTTGTACATACGTCACCATGGACACAGAGGTTTTCAGTATGTTAACGATTTGCACAGTCCACATCAGCATCCCGTTAACTTTCTTTTTGTAACCCTCAGCATGGTTTTAAGAACCTGGAAGTTTATTGCGTAACTGTTTTGCTTGTGAAGTTGCACATGATTTCTCAGAAAGATCAACTCAAACCCACCTTGTCACCCCTCTCCACCCAGGCCCCACTTCCTGCTTTGCTGGGGCTGGGGGGTCAGAAGTAACATAGCTAGAGACAGATGTCCATCATCTGTGCTTGTGATGACAAAAGGAGGTAACAGGAGTACAGTCAGACCCTCACTCCTTGGAGCCCTGTTGTGAGCCGCTCATGGCATGCACCATTCTCTGTCCTCACAACAGCTCAGACGGGTAGGAATTATTGGATTCTTTCTCTAAACGGGAAACCAGGGGTTTTAGGTGCCTTATCCATGGACCCTGCCCTCACCTCCCTCACCCAGTGCCCCCCTGTGCCTTGCTGGCTCTATCTGTGAAATTTATCCATGGACCCTGCCCTCACCTTCCTCACCCAGTGCCTCCCTGTGCCTTGCTGGCTCTATCTGTGAAATGTCTCAAGAGTCCATCCTGTTGTCTCCCATCCCATGTCTCCCACTTGGCCCACAGTCCAGACTCTTACCTGTCCAGACTCCTACTCCAGAGAGAGCCGGCAAGATCTTTGGGAAAGGCACATTGAGCCATGTCCTTCTCCCCCTTGGAACTCAACAGTGGCTTCCTGTCACTCTGAGAACAGAATGCAGCCTCCTCCCTGTGCATGACAAGCACCTCCCTGAGGTCACAGCTGTGTCTCCCTGACTCTGCACTGGTCCAGTCCAGCCTCAAGGCCTTAAATTTGCCACTCCAGACCCCTGGTTTGGACCCTGGACTCTGAATACATTCTGGTCTTTTCCTCAGGGAGGTCGAGGCACTGTCCTAGCTTGTGACCTGCTCCCATACCTATTTTCTCAGGGTGGAAGCAGACGCTCCAACTCCCACACTGTGAGGCTGGTACCATTACCTCCAAGACCCAAAGCCTGTAGGAAGTATAGCAGGCCTCACCCAATACCCTGCAGTTCCCTCACTTGCTCCAAGTGGGAGGTGGGTCTTCACGGGTCCCCAAGATGAGGGTCAGTGGCTTTCCTCTTTCACAGGCTACAGTGGGAGCGAGTCTTCCACCATGGGACCTCTGGCCAGATCTCAGGGCTCTGTGGTTGGGGGAAAATGGCTCTCTTTCATGGGGCTTTAAGACATGAACTGACATGACATGTCCTAGAGACTATCCAGAGAGCATGTGGATCACTTTTTGCTGCTTTAGATCACCTTCTTTAAAATCAATGCATTGACATACTTTCAGCACTTAAATTTTCGTATTCTATTATCGCATCATCTCAGAAGAAAAGTCTTTCATAATTAATGAATCTCAGGTTGGGTTAAATATTCAGTGGCTGCCCACACACCACTTACTCTATTGCTTCAAAATAATTGGCTTTCACTTATCAGGTCTACTAGAATGACTGTCTTAAACCAGTCACGTGGTGGAAGCGTCACCATGTTTCTTGCTCAGAAAATACCCTTTCAAGGGCTTTTCTAGGGGAGCCGGAACAGTAGCCAATTCTAGTGGGACCTTTAAGAAACAACTTTGCCCAGGATGATATTTGAGCCCCCTAAAGGGCCAATAGGGGTCCCTCTATTCAACTTTCCCTCCGAGTCCCACCAACCTCCCCACTTTGGTTCCATACAGCTTGGATTATTGCCCTACTAGTTCAAAACTGAAAGTTTCAAATAAAAACCAAAAGACAAATGTTAAGTCACATTGAATTGATAACTGAGACAATCTGTCAAGCATATTTTGCTTTCCTGATTTTTCAAAAAAACCCTAATGTTGCACCTTCCTTGTTGTCAGTTTAGTACGTTAACATTTTTTTAATTAAACTTCAGTATCATTGAACAGGTCATAGAGTGTGAGCAATATTGTCTTTGTTCCAAAACTCCAAATGTAATGAAGCTGCCATTCACAATTGTTTTCCGCTGGGCTGCTTATTTTAAAAAAATGATTTTGATGAATAAAAATAGGTGCATTTTCACAGCGTGGGGTCCAGCAAGAATGAAAACCTTACGGATCACAGCCCGGCCCCTGGGGGTGCGGGAGGAGGTGTTGTCAGATGTCAATTTTGGCTGATTGTTTTTGAGGTCATGAGACTGCCATTCCTGTGTCCTGTGGTGCATTTTAGAGACTGATGTCACTTTTTTGAGATAAATTATTAGAGAAATGTTTATAGATGAATATACATTTCACAGTGTGCCAGAGTTGAGGAGTCTAATGAAGTTTAGAAGGGACACTGGGATGAGGGTGCTGAGCTGCGGTGCCTGTGGCCTGTGACAGACACCTCCTGCACCAGGAGGCAAGGATCCTGATGGTCAGATGCTCAGTCCCCAACAAGAGGGGGTTCAAAGCCAGTGCAGCCCCTTCCTCCCACCGCTGGGGGCAGCAAAGGACCCACAGTGGAGATTGCAAACTATAGCAGGGGCTGTGCTTTGTGTTTGTTTTCAATATTTGAGCCATCATACAAAAATCTAGTGATTTCTCATTCTCTATACAAAAACCAGAAGATCTGGGCCACAAGGTCTGCATTTTCCCCAGTATCAGTCTGCTATGGCCCCATATTAGCTGCCTAGGGCCCCTCACTCCTGCTCCTGCTAGACCCTGTGGATATTTGAGTCATGACCTTGCCTCAAGGCTTATTCATGTATTATTTGTTTATTTATTGTTAACATAGGAAGGGTCTTGCTCTGTTGCCCAGGCTGGAGTGCAGTGGCACAATCATAACTCACTGCAGCCTTGAACTCCTGGGCTCAAGTGATGCTCCTGTTAAGGCATATTTAGATGGGAGGAAACATCTTTCTTCCTTTAGAGCATCTAATTATTGGCATGGCCCTGGACAAATTATCCTAGAGCCTGGAGCCTCAATTTGCTCATCTCTGTAAGGGGGGTGACAATGCAACCTCATAGGGTGGTTGTGAGTACTACATAGAAAAAGACTCCAGAAGGAGCACAGGGCCTCCATTGGGAGCCCCTCAGCCAACACTCCCTCCTTGCTGCCTGCACAGCCTCAAGAGAACATGGAGTCCTTTGGGATGCTGAAAACTGTAAGGAAGACAACTGTGCATTCTCTGTGTAAGCAGTGTGCACACTGTCTTCCTCCTAAATGGCTAGTTGGAGGAGTGAAGACAGACTCACTCAGAAATGGGTGATTCCCTGGCTGCAGTCTCCTCTCTGATAACAAAGGACTGGGCCCAGATTAGAGACGAGGCAGGAATTATGTGCTGCAGAAAGGCGGTGGGGACATCTTGAGTTTGTTTGTAGCTAATCTCAAATAATTCAGGTCTTTTCCATTTGCAGCAAATCTGATTCCCTCAACACATCTGTGGTAAAATGTTATGAGTGCATGCGGAGACCAAGTGTGGAGGGGATTTTTTTTTCCACCACCAAATCCATAGTTACCCTCCAAGTTGTAATCTTATCATATTTAACTGGTTCCACATAAACAGATCTATGTATATTTTCAGTAGTTTCAGCTGAAACCTGTTAAGAACAGATGTGCCAATGGTTCCCTGGCACTGATCCATTTAAATATATTTTTTCCACGAACAGGTTTTTCTCTCTCCCTTTCCTTAGAGGGGAGAAAAAATATGAAAGTGGAACCACCATTAAAGTGGATATTACATGCTTCTGTGTTCTCTGCAACCAGTGTTTGCCATTGGTTTTCCAACAGCAATTTGGCACATGAGGCTATGAACACAGAGTGTGCATTTGATGGACAGTATTTGCTCTGAGACTGTGTGGCTGGGAGAATGGGCTGAGAGCTCTGTAGTTGCTACCTAAGCTAGGGTCAGCCAGGGTTAGTTTTTCCCTGCTGCTGCTGCTAAGCAGCCCCTGGGCAAAGGCTTCAGCAGGCCGTCTGCCTCTTTGAGCCTTTAGTTTTTCAGTTGCAAACAAAAAAAAAAAGGTCCAGGGAGTGGGAAGATAAAGAACTCCTATAACTCAGCAACAACAACCTGATTAGAAAATGGGCAAAGGACTTAGATAGATATTTCTACAAAGATGATATATATTAATAAATGGCCAAAAAGCATGTGAAAAGATGACTGGCATCACTAATGATTAGAGAAAAGCAAATAAAAACTAAAATGAGACATCACCCCCACACCATTAGAATGGCTAATAGCAATAAAACGGAAAATATCAAGTGTTGGCAAGGTTGTGGGGAAATTGGAACCCTTCTGCACTTTTGGTGGGAATATGAAATGCTACAGCCACTGTGGAAAACAGGATGGCAGTTCTTCAAAAAATCACAAATAGAACAACCATATGACCCAGAAGTTCCACTTCTAGGTGTGTATTAAAAAAAATTGAAAGCAAGATCTCAAATAAATATTTGCACATCCTTATTCCAATATAGCAGCATTGTTTGCCATATCCAAAAGGTAGAAACAACCCGAGTGTTTACAGATGGATGAATAAACAAAATGTGGTCTATACATACAGTGGAATATTATTCAGCCTTAAAAGGAAAAGAAACAGTGCTATATGCTACAGTATGGAAGAACCTGGAAGGCTTTATGCTAAGCGACTGAAGCCAGACAAAAAAGGACAAATACACTATAGTTCCACTTATATGAGGTACCTAGAGTAGTCCACTGCATAGAGATGGAAAGCAGAATGGTGCGCTAGGCACGGTGGCTCACGCCTATAATCCTAGCCCTTTGGGAGGCCGAGGCAGGCAGATCACTTGAGGTCAAGAGTTCGAGACCAGCCTGGCCAACATAGTGAAACCCCTCTCTACTAAAAATACAAAAATTAGCCAGGTGTGGTGGTGTGCACCTATAATCCCAGCTACTCGGGAGGCTGAGGTATAAGAATCGGTTGAACCCAGGAGGCAGAAGTGGTGGTGAGCTGAGATCGCACCACTGCACTCCAGCCTGGGTGATAGAGACTCTGTCTCAAAAAAGAATGGTGGCTTCCAGGACTGGGGAATGGAGAGTTGTTTAATGCCTAAGAATTTCAGTTTTGGGGGATGAAATGAGTTTTGGAGATTGGTCACATAACAATGTGAATGTACATAACACTACTGAACTGTACACTTAAAATGGTTAAGATTGTTGAAAAGAAGAAAATAGGGGAGAGGGTCTAATTTGTGACACCAACCTCATCGATGGGGGAAGGATTCAAAAGAGAGGTGCACATTCAGCCAGACACTGAGCCTGTTGCCCGTGGGGATTATGCCTAAGAGGAATGAGATAGGAGGGGTTATGTTTTCTCAGCTTTGAATTTCTTTCTCAAGAACACTCCTCTGTCCACCTTCCCATTGCCCACACGACAGAGTTCACCAGGCCTCCTAGCTCTCTACCAGCCTATAGCCATCTGCAGGAATGTCCTCACTGGGCCCTTTGGGCCATGCCCTGTGTCTGTGACTCTGGGGCCTAGCACTCTGACCCACTGGCCTGTGTTCCTCTCTGGTTGGAAGACAGTGCAAAAGGGACCTATTCCACCTTCAGTGGCCTCCGAGTAACCCACCTGCTCCAGTCTGCAGATTTCCATCTCACTGACTTTGCCCTGGCACTGGGAGGGGGGACGTGAGGGCTGCAGGTAGGAGTTTGATGGCAGATGAGCCTCAGGGGTTCAATGTCAGCTGGGAGAAGCAAGGCCACTTCCAGACTCAGTTCTGCCACTGTCTGGCAGTGAGGCTCTGGGCAAACCATTTTGTTTTGTCTCTGGTAAAAGAAGGCTGTGGGCAGGATTGGGCTTTGTAATTGCCAAAGATTCCAGATCTTTGAGGGGCTCTGTCTTCCTAAATTCTGTGCAGCCTGCTAGCCTCTGCAGGACAGTATCAGGGAAACTTAACATGCCTGTGTTTCGTAGTGAACAGGATATCTAGGGTTGAGAATTACTGCGAACACTGTTATGTTGTCACGTGAGCTGGGGCTCCATGGTGATGCACCCTGGGCTCCCAGAACAATGTGAAGCACTGAGATGCCCTGCACCTGGGCCTGGGTCAGAATCCTGGTAGAGGGGTCTTTGGCAAGGACAGGAGAGGACCTCCTTGGGATTGGACTCAGCTGAGCAGCAGGATGCCTGGTTGGCTTGGGAGGTGAGATTAGCTTCCTGGGGGCAAAAAGGAGCCATATTTGTCTTAATGAGGAGAAAAGAGCAAAATCAAAGCATTCAAAGAGGATAAAAGAACACTTCAAAGAGGATAAAAGAACATGTTCAGTTCACAATTACTGCCTCCCTAACCAGGCAAGTGTATGATGGAGAATCCTGTTATCCTAATTCAAGAGGACAATGCCAAAGGCTTCTCTTGCTGGCTGAGAATTGTTGGGGAGCTCCCTGCCCACGGAGGGCCTGTTTGCCAGATCCCCAGCCCCCTGCAGACCTCTGATCTGTGAGGAGCTGGTTCTAGTGATTCACACTTGCTTGTGAAAACCTTGATCTTCATCAAGCTTTTAAAAAAATCTCATCCGTATTTTTTCCCAATTATTTTCCTGCCTGCTCTTTTTTTTTTCAAAAGTAAACACTCAAAAGCCTTCATTTCTATAACTAATTCTGGAGTTTACAGAAGCAAAAATCAATAGGCTCAAAACTCCATTCCTTTATTCACTTGGCTCAGACTGGCTTGGGGCAGCACCTCTGAGCCCAAGCCAGAAATTGCCAAAAGGGGGTTCCTGTCGGAATCTTGGAGCTCATCCCCCAAACTTGAGATTACTGAGCAAGTGAGCAAGATGTCTCTGTCTGGTCCAGGAAGATGTCAGCCCCACACTGCCCCTCCCAGATAAAGAGATCAACACGGGACAGGTCAGTCTCTCCCATTCTGTCTCCACCTTTGCCAGTCTGCTTCTAGATCCCCTTCATGTACTCATGTTGCTGCCCTCCATTCACTAGATTTTCAGGATCTATTTATATCCATCCACCACATCCACCACTCTGTTTTCCAAATATTATCACAATCAGCGCAGTAGTGCTTCCCCCCGAAAGACTGGCAGCTCTCTGACCTTTCTTTTCAGCTACAAATGAAAGGGGACTTAAAAGCTGTGTGTGCATGTGTGTGCACACGCCTGACTAATGGACACACTCCTCATGAAAAACAGGATAAATTACAGAGAATGGCAAAGTAATGATTACAGAAAGGTATATGAGGCAGAACCCATTAGTGAGCTGCATTTTGTTCAAAACCGAGATACTGGCAGGCAGAATAACATGCCTTTGTACCAGAACGCATTCAGCTGTAGCAATGACTAATAAAGTAGCGAGGATCTGTGCACATTTTCCCCCTTTTGTGCCTATTTTCATAAGTTAATAACTCAAGCATGAAAATTGTTTTAAGGCTGAAGACTGGTGGTAAGATCTGGTCAAACTGTGTGGGAAACAACTTTTGTTGTTGTTGTTACTTAATTTAGTTTGGCTGTTTTTAAGTTAGAGGAGTGGAAATGTCAATGTCAATGTGAGTCTTGCAATGTGTTTTTGTTAAGCCCAAGAGCATTTGGGATTGCATCATACAAAGCACATTTTTAATGACTAGAGATCATAGTTTCTCTTCCTACAGGTGTATGTTCCTATTTGGTACAGGTTGGGATTGTTGGGGAGGGAGGAGGAGATGGAAGCAAAATCTTATAAATGACATCATCCTGGGCTTACCCTTCTTCAGCTAGAAAATTCCTATTCCACCAGCAAATCAGCCTGGTGAGCAAACAGCTGCCTTAGACAAATGGGGTTGAGTGTAGGGGTGAAACCTGCTGCAGGATTTTAGTAAATTCTCAGAGCAATGGAAGGAACAGAAATATCATGAATAATTGTCATACCTCTCATTCCTACAGGACTCAGGTTTTGTGAGCATTTTCCTGTCCATAGAACCAGAGAAAGTCTAAGTTAAGGGTACCAGATTTTGCATAACTCCTCTTTCTTCTTGCCTTTTATTTTCTTTTTATTGGATGAGAAGACTTTGAAAGACACAGAAAAACACAGAGAATAACATAAATACCTGTGTAGCCACATTCTAGGAGTAACAACTGTAATATTTTATAATGCTTACTGCAATTTATTTTTTAAAAATAAAATAACTGAAGCATTACTGATAAAGATGTATCATCTCCTTTATCTCACAGACAAGCAAAGTGGATCAGCAAAGGCTGCAGTCACCAGCATCTTTTCCAACCTTAATGAACTGTATCCTCAAAAGAACACTATCAGACTGGTAAGACAAGCATTATTGTCCCACTTCACAGATGAAGAGCTTGGGGGCCCTGTGGATGTGTAGGAGAGTCGGCCTTCCTTTTTATAGGCCTTTTGCTGAGCTCAGAGGACAGAGCAGAAGACAAAGCCGAAAGCAGCCCTAAGCAGACACTATCCCAGCCCAAGGAGCTATGCAGACAGCTCCTGCCTAGAGGAGAAACAATTCTCTCCTTCAGCCAGGCATGTGGCACAGAGGTGAACAGGAAATGCTTAGGGAGACAGTTCACAGATATATATGTACTTCACAGGGCACAATTTAATCCATAAATCAATCATGGATCACTGCTAAAGAAAACAAAATATGCTGCCACTAATTTGCCACCACCCTGTGAGCATGATTGGATGATGTTTATTTTGATTAGGAGATTGCTCCATTTATAAATCTTCAATACATCCTGTCCCCCTAAAACGGCATCTGGATCTTTTGAGGGTTAAAAAAAAAAAAAGTGAAATTGGATGAGGGATGAGAGCTGGACTTCTGTGTGTCCCGGGGTCTCTGGATCCACAGCCTGGTGCCTAGCATCAGTTAAGCCCACGCTGGGGTCGCATCACATCCCGCAAAGCCACGTGCTCTGTGAGGCCAACAGGAGCCCCGCCGGGTGGACCAGCTGGAATCTCAGAGAGCGCCGACTCTGAAAATACCCGGCTCTGCAGAAGCACGCTGGGCCCAGGGGGCTTCTAGACTGACAGCTCCATTTATCAACTACCTATTGGTTTTAAAAATTGGAGTGTCTTTTCCGCGTTGACTGATTTTGGCTCTAAGAGATGTCGCTGGTCATTTCAGAGTGACTGAACCTCCCCTCTAACAGATCCCGGGAATTGTTTTCAGGAAAGGTAAAAGGCAGCCTTTTCTGTCACAACACAACGCTGAGCCGGCAGCCTGGCTCTGTCAGGATCTGGGGCTCCAGCGCCCGAGAAGCCCAGCCTCGCCGGCGGCCAAGTTCACCGCGAGGCCACGCGCTGCCTGCGCTGCGCTCCCGGACCCGCACCGACCGCAGCGCGCGCCGCCGGTGCTTCTCCCACCCCAGCCTGGAAGCTGCCTCCCTCCGCCTATCCCTGCAGGATAAGAAGCCCGAGGAGGCGGAGCATGGAACTCGACAGTTAAAACATTTAAGAGAGAAAACCTAGTGTCTTGCTGGCCTGAAATCGAGTACGCAGCCCGGGGTGATCAGGGTCTCCCGGCCCGGATGTGTGAGACTTGCTTCCCCTGGGCAATAGGCGATACGATGCTTTAGGAGGAAGGTATCTCTCCCTCCTAAGCCCCGGAGGGGAGAACTTCCAAAGACAGAAAACCACAGGGTTCCTGGCACAGAGCTTTCCCTTTATCAGCTAAAGCAGAATCTTTTCTGGCCTTAACCTGGCCCCTTCCTCTAACTGTAGGCAGAGAGGCAGACAGAAAAGCACTTGCTGAAACACAAAGTTTTGTTCTGTCCTCAACGAACTGTCTAGAGTTGATTGCTGATAGTCGTGGTGCATTATGCCTTCCTGGTTTTCATTTAATTGGGCACCACGCTGCCTTTCAAGACGCCTTAAAGGAACCAACAACCAAATCCAAGAGAGCTGGACAGACCATTGAACACACAGTAGGCTGTGTCTCGTGGCTTTCGTTGTCTGGTGCCTCAAAGAAAACACCAGAAAGATTGTTTCTAAGCTAGAGCCACCCCAGATTGCTTAAAGTGCAAAGCTCACTGCTGTTGGGGGTACCCTTGTGAGACACTGGAAAGCTGGTTTTACCGTGGCCCTATGAAGAGGAAGACTGAAATTTAGACAGTAATACCTTTACTAGGATTGGAAAAGATTTGGTTAATGACAGCCCTGTTATTTCTAAAACCCATTATCACTGTATGAGAGATTCCTTTGCGCTGCATCCTCGACAGTGCTTCCTAAGGTCCGTCTTTTCTATTGTATTCATTTTAATGGGTGCATAGCCGTATCTCGTTGTGATTTTAATGTGCATCTCCCTAGTGACTAATAATGATGGGACGCTTTTCATATACTTGTTTGTCATTCATAACTCTTCCTTGGTGAAATGTCTGTTTAGATATTTTGTCCATTTTTTTTATTTGGATTGTTTGATTTCTTATTATTGAGTTTTGGGAGTTCTTTATGTATTGTGGATACAAGTTCCTTATTAGGTGTATGATTTGCAAATATTTTCTTCAAGCCTGTAGCTTGTTCTTTCATTTTCTTAACAATGTCTTTTGTTTTTAATTTCAAAGAAATCCAATTTGTCAATATTTTCTTTTACAGATTATGCTTTTGATGTAAGAAATCTTTGCCTAACCTAAGTCACAACAATATTCTCCTAGAAGCTGTAGAAATTTCAATCTGTAATGATCAATTTTGAACTCGTTTTTATATTTATTTATTTATTTATTCTTTGAGATGGAGTCTCACTCTGTCGCCCAGGCTGGAGTGCAATGGCACTATCTTGGCTCACTGCAACTTCCACTTCCCAGGTTCAAGCGATTCTCCTGTCTCAGCTTCCTGAGTAGCTGGGATTACAGGTGTGTGCCATCACGCCCGGCTAATTTTTTGTATTTTAGTAGAGACAGAGTTCCACCATGTTGCCCAGGCTGGTTTCGAATTCCTGAGCTCAGGCCATCCACCCGCCTCGGCCTCCCAAGGTGCTAGGATTGCAGGCGTGAGCCACCATGCCCGACCCAGAACTTATTTTTAAATATGGTGTGAGGCATGGAGCAAAGTTTACTTTTTTACATGTGTTTACCCAATTGTTCCCTCAACATTTGTTGAAAAGACATTTCTCCACTGCATTGTTTTATGTCTTTGTCGAAAATCAGTGTATTTTTGGACTCTTGATTCTAACGTTCCATTGATGTTTGTCTTGATTTATTTTTTTGGCCTTGAAACAACAATTTATTTTCATCTCTCATGATATTGGAGGTTGGCCAGGTTCAGCTGGGCAATTCTTACTTGGGTTCTCTCATGCATTTGCAGTTGGATGATGGCTGGAGCAGCAATCTGGAGGCTCAAGGAGGCTGAAGGCCACATATGACTCCTTCATTTCCATATCTAGCACCTCAGTGGAGTAGGCTGGAACAGCTGGGGAATGATTGAGCTTCTAATTCTCTCCCTACCTCCTATCTATGTGTCTAGTTTTCACTTCTTCACAGTACGGCATTCTCAGGAAAGTCAGACTTCTTAGTAGTGGCTTACCCTAGAATGACTTTTCCAAAAGCACATGTTTCAAGAGACCCAGGCAGAAGCTGCAAAGTTTCCTGTGACCTAGCTTACACATCCTATAGTTTCTTTTGCCATATTCTGTAAGGAAAGCAAGTTGCTATGGCCAGACCAGGTTGAAGGAGAAGGGTATGAGACTCTACCTCTCGATTTCAGGAGCATTATTACGGAGAGGGAAGGATTGTTGGTTGCTTCTGTATAAGCAATGCCAATAATAGAAGGCTCCACTGTCCTGATTAATGTAGCTTTATAACAAGTCTCAAAATCAAGCAATGTTAGTCCTTCAACTTTGTTCTTCCTTTACAAAGTTGTTTTGACTGTGCTAGGTCCCTTCCATTTACATTCGAATTTTAGAATCAGTTTGTCAATTTCTACCAAAAAGAAAGCCCTTATGAAATTTTGATCAAGATTGCATTGAATTTATGGATCAATTTAATGAGAACTTACAATTCAAATTATTTTAAGATCAATTTGGTGAAAATTTACACCTTAAAAATATTGAGTCTTTTGACCTATGAACCTACTTAGGTTTTCTTTAATTTATTTTAGCAATTACATTATAATTCTCAATGTATAGATCTTTCTATCTTTTATCACATTTGCCCTATTTTATACGTTTTGACCCATTATAAATGGTATTTTTAAAATTTCAATTTCCGGTTGTTCTTTGCAAGTATATAGAAACATAATTGATTTCTGTACATTAGCCTTATATTCTATATTTTTGCTAAAGTCACATTTTTAGTTCTAGTAGTCTTTTTTTCATAGGATTTTCTGCATACACACTCATGTCATCTACAAATAAAGATGGCTTTTCTTCTTTATTTCCAATCTCAATCTCTTTTGTTTCCATTTCTTGCTGTTGCACTGGATAGCACCTTCAGTACAATGTTGAATTTGTGAGAGTTTCTGATCTTAAGAGGAAAACACTCAGTCTTTCACCATTAAGAATGATGTTACCTATAGGCTTTTCATAGATGTTCCCTTAGCAGGTTGAAGAAGTTTCCATCTATTCTTAGTTTGCTAGACTTTTTATCAGGAACGTTTGCTGAGTTTTATCAAATTTTTTTCTGCATCTATTGAGACATGCAATCTTCTAGTGCCATCATTTTACAAGCTCAAGTGAAGTGTAGGGCACTTACCTTTCTTTACGTCCTACTATCCTCTCTGTTTATAATATAATTGCTTAAATATTTTCTCTGCATATATTTAGGATCACATTAGATAGTTATAATTTTTACTTCAACTGTCAACATAATTTAGAAAAGTCCAGTGAAGAAGGAAAGTCTATTATACATACCAATATTTTTGCTTACTATTATGTTAATATGTTCTTTCTTCCTTACTGATGCTCCAATATTCCTTCCTTTACTGTTTGCTTTTTGTTTAGAAAACTTTTTTTTAGCTGTTCATTTATAGTATGTCTGCTGGTGACAGATACTTTTAGTTTTCCCTCTCCTGAGAATGCCTTTATTTCCATTTTATTCCTGAAGGACCTGTGATTGGGGTGGGGCTGTGGTATTTTAAGTGGTGTTTGGCTAGAGTGGAGCGGTTATTGCCCAAAGCTTTTCTGTCTTGCTGGGCTGCCACTGTCCAGCTCCTTAGGCTGGAGAGAGCAGGCTTTTGTTGGGGCCTTCTTGGTCTCATTTGGAATTTCTGAGTTCAGTTTCTTCAACTATATATCTGGGATATACAAGACAGAAAGAAACCAGGGCACTCTCCACCATGTTGTTCCTCCAGTCTCAAGATCTCTAGACAGTCTGTCTTCTCTCCATCTTTCAGAGTCTTCTTGTGCATGTTTTTTATATAACATCTACACTTTTTAGTGGCGCTTAGCAGAAGCAATGGGACAAGTATGTCTACTGCAGCTTTCTGGAAGAGAAGCTCCTCATTTCTTTTTTTGGATACATTTCAAAAGAAGTTGCAAATATATGACCCTACACATTTCAGTATGCATATCATTAACTACAGCTCAACATTAGTTTATATTTTTCTTTTTCTTGTGTGAGATGAAAACTATACATACATTGCCATCAGGCTTTGCCCAGGCATCAGAACTCACTAGACAGCAGAATATACATCTTTGAGAGGAACCACAGAAATGTAATGTGCATGCTAAGGCTTTTACCTGAACATCAAAATGGAAACATCAGAGTATTCATATTAGAGAGCAACCTTACAATTATAATGGATGTGGTAAGGCTTTTTAAAAAATCAATGTTCAAAGACATAGAATCAACCAAAATGGCCATCAGTGATAGACTGGATAAAGAAAACGTGGTACATATACACCATGGGATACTATGCAGCCGTAGAAAGGAACGAGATCATGTCCGTTGCAGGGACATGGATGGAGCTGGAAGCCATTATCCTCAGAAAACTAACCCAGGAACAGAAAAGCAAACACCACATGTTCTCACTCATAAGTGGGAGCTGAACACTGAGAACACATGGAACCAGGGAGAGGAACAACACACACTGAGGCCTGCCACTGCAGGTGGGGGTTCAGGGGAGGGAGAGCATCAGGAAAATAGCTAATGCATGTCAGGCTTAATAAGTAGGTGATTGGCTGATAGGTGCAGCAAACTGCCATGGCACACGTTTACCTATGTAACAAACCTACAAATACTACACATGTACCCCAGAACTAAAAGTAAAATAAAAGAAAACAAATTTCAAAAAATAAAAAGAAAATTCTAGGTACATTGAAATATGCAATTCTTACGTGCACCATTTGATGAGTACCACCCACCCCTCTGTCAAGATACAGAACTCATCCATCACCCCACAAGTTCCTTCTTCCTCCTTCACAGTCTAATCCCTTCCCCAGCCACCTCGCGGGGACAAACATTGTTTTGTTTTGTTTTTTTACACCTCCTAGATTAGTTTCATCTTTTCTAGAATGCAGTATGAATAGAAGGGATATCATGCACTCTTTTCTGTCTGGCTTCTTTGTTTCAGCCTAATGTTTTTCATATTTAGCAAGTTTTATAAGTCATTTGTTTCTGTTGCTGAGTAGTATTCCGTTGTGTGCATATACCACAGCTTGTTGATCCATTCTTCTATTGATGGATATCTGAGCTGTTTCCAGGTTTTGGCTAGTATGAATAAAGCCAAAGAGAGCCATTTTAATTTGGGGCATTTAAAAAATGGTGTGAATAAACTTTCATCTGAACACAGGGTTCCGTGGTAATAATGTTTGAAAATATCACCTCCAGCTCTGACGTGCCGAGTTTGTAATTTTCGTAAATGATATAAAAAGTCATTTCTTCATCCATTCATTTGTTCACTCAACCCTTATTTAGTGGGCCTATTCCCTGTGCCAGGAATCATTCAAGGCTCAGTGGGGAAGAGAACAAATGTAAGTAAGTCGGCCTGGTGCAGTTGACATGCTAGTGAGGGAAAAGACAAAAACATCAGTTAGTGAATACCTGTTATGACGGAAAAGAAGCCAGGTAAGTGGGTAGGGCATTACAGTTGGTCCAGAGGTAGTCAGGGTGTCATTTTAGCTCTGGAAGTAGGGAGAGGAACTTAGGGAGATGGTCAGGGGAGGGACTTATATGATTTGGATCTGTGTCCCCACTCAAATCTCACACCAAATTATAATCCCCAATGCTGGAGGTGGGGCCTGGTGGGAGGTGATTGGATCATGGGGGCAGTTTCTTATGCTTTAACAACATCCCCCTTGGTGTTGTCACAGTGACAGTAAGTTATCACAAGATCTGGTTGTTTAAAAGTGTGTAGCATGTCCCTCTGTCTCTCTTCCTCCTGCTCTGGTCATGTGAAGATGCCTGCTCTGGCTTTGCATTCTGCCATGAGAAAAAGTTTCCTGAGGACTCCCCAGCCATGCTTCCTGTACAGCCTGTAAAACTGTGAGCCAATTAAACCTATTTTCTTTATAAATTACCCAGTCTCAGGCATTTCCTTATAGCAATGTGAGAATAAACTAATACAGAAAATTGGTACCAAGAGTGGGGTATTACCATAATGATACTGAAAATGTGGAAGCAGCTTTAGAACTGGGTAATGGGCAGAGGTTGGAGGAGTTTGGAGGACTCAGAAGAAGAAGGGAAGATGAAGGAAAATTTGGAACTTTCTAGAGACTTGTTAAATTGTTATGACCAAAATGCTGGTAGTGATATGAAGAGTAAAGTCTAGGCTGATGAAGTCTCAGATGGAAATGAGGGACTTATTGGAAACTGGAGCAAGGTCACTTTTGTTATGCATTAGCAAGAGGTTGGCTGCATTGTGCCCCTGCTTTAGGGATCTGTGGAACTTTGAACTTGAGAGTCATGATTTAGGGTATCTGGCAGAAGAAATTTCTAAGCAGCAAAGCATTCAAGATGTAGCCTGGCTGTTTCTAATAACCTATGCTTATTTGCATGAACAAAGAAATGATCTGAAATTGGAACTTACATTTAAAAGGGAAGCAGAGCATAGAAGTTTGGAAACTTGCAGCCTGGCCATGTGGTAGAAAAGAAAAACCCATTTTCAGGGGGAGGAATTCATGCAGGTTGCAGAAATTTACATAACTAAAAAGAAGGCAAGTACTAATAGCCAAGACAATGGGAAAAAGGCCCTGAAGTCATTTCAGAGAGCTTCATGGCAGCCCGTCCCATCATAGGCCCAGAGGCCCAGGAGGGAAGAATAGTTTCAGGGGCCAGAACCAGGGTCTCTACTCCCCTGCACAGCTTTGGGACACTGTTTCCTGCATCCCAGCTGCTACAGCTCCAGCTGTGGCCAAGAGAGCCCAAGGTACAGCTCTGGATGCTGTTCCAGTGGGTGCAAGCCATAAGCCTTGATGACTTTCATGAGGTGTTAAGCCTGTGGGTGCACATAGTTTAAAAGTTGAGGCTTAGAAGCCTCCACCTAGATTTCAGAGAATGTATGGAAAAACCTGGATGTCCAGGCAGAAGCATGCTACAGGGTTGGAGCCCTCATGGAGATCCTCTACTAGAGCAGTGCAGAGGGGAAATGTAGGGTTGGACCCCCCACACAGAGTCTTCTTTAGGGCACTACGTAGTAGTGCTGTGAGAAGAGGGCCACCATTCTCCAGACCCCAGAATGGTAGAGCCACAAGCAGCTTGCACCCTGTGCCTGGAAGAGCCATAGGCACTCAATGCCAGTCCATGAGAGCAGCTGTGGGGGTTGAACCTTGCAAAGTCACAGTGGCCAAGCTGCCCATGGCTTTGGGAGCCCACCCCTTGCACCAGCATATTCTGGATGTGGGACATGGAGCCAAAGGATAATATTTTGGAGCTTTAAGGTTTAATGACTACCCTGCTGGGTTTTGGACTTGCATGGGGCCTGTAGCCTCTTTCTTTTGGCTGATTTCTCCCTTTTGGAAAGGGTATATTTACCCAATGCTTATACCGCCATTGTATCTTGGAAGTAACTAACTTCTTTTTTATTTTACAGGCTCATAGGTAGAAAGGACTTGCTTTGTCTCAGATGAGACTTTGGACTTTAAACTTTTGAGTTAATGCTGAAATGAGTTAAAAGACTTTGAGGGACTGTTGGGAAGGCATGATTGTATTTTGCAATGTGAGAAGGACATGAGATTTGGGGAGGAGCCAGGGTCAGAATGATATGGTTTGGATATGTGTCCCCACCCAAATCTTATGTTGAACTGTAATCCCTAGTGTTGGAGGTGGGACCTGGTGGGAGGTGATTGGATCATGGGGGTGGTTTCTTATGGCTTAACACCAGCCCCCTTGGTATTGCCATAGTAAGAGTAAGTTATCACAAGATCTGGTTGTTTAAAAGTGTGTAGCACCTTCCCCCTCTCTCTCTTCCTCCTGCTCTGGCTATGTGAAGATACCTGCTCTGGCTTTGTCTTCTGTCATGAGTAAGTTTCCTGAGGCCTCCCTAGCCATGCTTCTTGTATAGCCTGTAGAACTGTGAGCCAATTAAATCTCTTTTCTTTACAAATTACTCAGTCTCAGGCATTTCTTTACAGCAATGTGAGAGTGGACTAATACAGGGACCTTTTAAGAGGAAGTCATAGGAGAGTTTTTGGAGAAGGTAAGGTTGGAAGAAGGTACAAAGAAAAAAGCTTATGTCTTTAAATCATCTTCATTCCTGATAATTCAGCACACTTTAGAGGCAACTTCCAAGTCAGCTGTTGATGGTAGTGAAGACCCAAGGCCCAGAGAGGGAGCAACTGGCCCTAGAGTTGCATGATGAGTCTTCAGTGGCAAGGCCGAGATTAGAGGTCTGTACTCAGCATTCAGCTATTGGTGGACAGAACTCGTCCTTTGCTTCCTAAGTGCGGCTTCAGTCCTGTCATGGCCCTGCACTTCCCCGATTCCCTGCCCACTCCGTCCCCACTTCTTCAGGTGCTTCCCCATGGGAACTGGTAGAATAGTGTTAGAAAGCCACATCCATAGTATGGCCTCTTGAGGATTTCTGGTTTGTGTGACTTTGAGCAAGTCCTCCCCTGATGTTGGAGGATTCTTACCCCTGAAGTTGGGGAAGGAGTGAAATCTTGATGGTAGGACATCCGCTCACATGTCCTTTGAGACTTACCACGTTTGTCACCATGTATTTAGCACAGCTGCCTTTCATCTGCGAATACAGCCTGGGAGCTCTTTATGTTTTATCTAATTTAATTCTTATAACAATCCCATGGAGTTGTTAGGTAGTAAAGTGCTCTCTCTGTTTTTACAGATGGAAATCTGGAGACTGAGTGAGGTTGAGTAATTTGCCCGAGGTTGGCAAGAGGCTAAAGTAGAATTCTAAACCAGATCTGTTTGATTCTGATGCTCTTGCTTTTAGCCACAATGTTTTAGCATCTGTTCAATTCTGAACAGACGGACAGAATTTGCAGAGGTCAGAGGGAGGTTCTAGAATAAAGCTGTTCTCTAGTTTACAGGACAGAAATGGTGGTAGTGATATGCCTGTGCCAGTTCTGGGATGTGCAGCTGGGAGGGAAGCCTTCTGTGGACCACCATGTAGGAGGGAGAGCATAGCAGGGTATGATGGGAGGAGCATGGGTTCTGGAATTGAAAAATCCTGTGTTCAAATCCACACTCTACCACAAATCCCACGAATGGAGGACATTTGGACAAATTGTTGAAGCCCTCTAAGCTTCCATTTTCATGTCTGTAAAACGGGATAATAATGGTATCTCCCTAGAGGGTTGCTGGGTAGGTACAATGAGATGATGCAAATAAAGTACTTAGACAATACCAGGCTCACAGTAAATGCCTAATAAATGCTGGCTGTTGTTTTTATTCGCTATTGTTTTGAAAAATGGCAGGCACTACAGACATACAAAGTGCAGAGAGTGGAAAGACAACAATGTGTTTTAGGGCCAGGCAGCCCAGAGCTGCCCAGGCTGGCACCCTGCCCAGAAGTGGGAGTGATCTAGCAGAGGCCAGGGCCTTGCAGGAGGATTTTTGCAGACACCCAACTTCCTGCATCAGTGGGGTCGAGTGATCTCTGGAGTGCCTTCCGACCTGGAGAGGTCATTTCAAGTCTCTGCAACGGTAGCGATGGTAGCTCCAGCAAGGGAGGGAGAAGGGGCTTCCACTGGCTCTTGGACACTCCAGCTGTCATTTTTGGGAATGTGCTTATCTGCCCCAGAGGGAAATAGATGATTGAGAAAGGAGGCAACCAGGGGACTTAGGCTTTACCAGCAGTGACCTACTAGCTCCGGTGTGTCTGCCTCAGACAGCAGGCCAAGGCTAGTGTCACGGCAGTTTAGGGGGTCCTGCACATTCACTGTGCCAACGAGCGGTATTTTGCAAACTTATTATAAACAGATTATATTTCTTATCCTAATGTGGCTGTTGGCTACCTGCCCATGAATTTTAGCCTCCAGGAGAAAAACAATTGCTTGAGCTGAGTGTTCTGTGCTTTTACTTTCCATACATTACTCAGGGCTCCTTCCAGTTCCCCCAACCCTTAATCTCTCTCTTTCTCTCTCTCTCTCGCTTTCATTCTCTCTCTCTCTCCATCTTTTTCCTTCTTTTCAGAAAGTCCTCTTTCATCTTGGGCATAACTAGAAAATCTGTAAGCTGTGCTTTCTGCCATGCATTAGCCAACAGGGTCCTTTCCTCCCAAGCCAGGGAAGAAAGCACAAAAACCAATGTCCAGGCTGGGCCTCTCAGGGTCCACAGCATCACAGGCAAAGGAAGTAACTGTCTCCATGCCTACCAACGGATCCACACACATCTCGCTGGGCAGCATCTCTGCCCCAGGAAGCAGCGCGCTTACTACACTGGGCACCCAGATGTCTGGTCTTGCGTGGCAGGCAGCCACTTTCTCCTGGCCTTTTCTTGTCCCAAAAGTCAGAGGGGCAGGCCAGTTCCAGAATGGGATTCCAGGCAGACCAGGAGACTAGGAGTGCATGTGAACAACTGCAAGGGGATGCGTCTGTCTGCCTGGTGTCCGTGTGTTCATGTGCACACCTGTGCACGCGCTCCCCCAGACTTACACACTCGTGAACACATGCTCACACAAGTTCATGCACGGGAGTAGCTCCAAGCCTCTCACTCAGCACTTTGCTATTAATAGCTCACTTTTCTAAAAAAGTCTGCTTAGCCGTTTGTAAGAATAACCACCACTGCCTGTGTGACAGCCCAGGCCCCCGCAGGGAGGACAGGGCCGGCCCTCTGCTAGGACTGCCTGACTGCCTGCCTCATGTTAGAATCCAGAGGGAGGGCCAAGAGGGGAGATGAAAACCCCTCCTGAGTGGCCAGGGCAGCCTCCAGTGCCTGTGCCCAGGGACAAGGCAACTCACTGGTAATGTCTGCGGGCAATTGGCCAGGCCCCTGAGAGCCAAGATGCCACCTTCTTCATGGTGACAGCAGGGAGCATGCTCCATGAAACCAGAATGAGCCTGTTCTCCACTCTGGGGTCCTGCTGTAAAAGCCAAGAAGCAGAGAGCCAAGCTGAGCCCACCAAGAGCTTGGCACGAGGCTGTCACCCACAACTTCTCGCTGATCCAAAAGACAGGCTCTGAGGCTGGAAATTCAAGTGTGGTGGTGCTGTGACACAGCACACAGCCACCGTGCACTTGTGTCCCTGGCAGCCGCAATCCGGGCCTGAGAGGGCCCAGTGTCTGTGGGTGTTTGTATTTAATTGCAGTGGGGTGAGAAAGGCCAATGGTTGGGTTTTATTTCAAACCTGCTTTGAGGAGAAGTAACATTAGGTGGCCCAGAGCTGTGAAATGTGTCCTGGTCATAAATGCCTCACCATCAATTAACACCTCCAGAATACCTAAGAGTTGCCAGCAACTTCCCATTCAAATAACCTCTTAAACCTTCCTCCACACCACACTGCCCATTCCCTCGCAGGCAGACCTGCATGGTTTGATGACGACTGGTCACACTGCTGGCCCTATCTGTATAAAAGTCCAGACAGTTGGGCTGTGAGGGGAAATGCCTACCTCAGAGTAGCTTAAGAAAGAAAGATATTGGTTTACTTCTGAAAAGCTCAAGACCAGCTGAGTTTAATGGCATCATTAAACTCATTAGACATGGGGCTGGGAAGTGGCTGCCAGCAGTTTGGTGCACAGCCTGTCCTCTCAGCAGCCCAGGTGGCAGGTGTCTTGGGAGTGGCAATGATGAGACCAGCTGCTCATCCTGGGCTGGTCATTGTGACTCAGATGTGGAGTGGGCTGGTTAGTGGTTCTGGGCCACTTGTCCATCTCTGGATCTGGCAGCTCCATCTACACAGTGTCGGGCTAGGCATGGGAGCATTCTGGGCCAGGAGAAAGGGGATTGGATCCTGGATGGTGGGAACCGCAGGTGTCCCCCTCCACGTGCCTGGGTCCAAGACTGCTCTGCTCTGGACCTTCTACGCCTTCAGAGGTACAAGTTGCAGTGCTACCCTTGCTGAACCTACAACCCTGTTCAAGTGACAACTTCTCTGAGTCTCATACGAGGATATTGAAAGAACCTTCTGCACAGGGCTGTTGTGAGGATTAACCGTAATAATACAAGAATATCTGGCACTTGCATTCAGCAACTCACCGCTTACTTGTTCAACCAGGTAAAAAGGTTCTGATCCCAGTGTTGCAGGACAGAAAGACCTCCCCCTCTGTAGCTGCAGATGTGACCCAGCACAGAAAAAATGGCAGGTGAAAGACAGGCAGGAAGAGCAACTAAGAAGGTGGGAGGCACCTCCATAAGATGCCTGAGGCCATGGGGATGACCGTTCACAGAGCTAGTCCCTCGAGCAATGTGTTAAATCTACTGAACTGTGATAAAGCAACTTCTGGGTGAATTTTGTCCTGCTACAAGTTGTCATGGAATGGCAAGGTGGCAGATCTCAGAAGTGGATCCAATGGTTTTTTTTTAGTTAAAGCAGAACATTCCTGGGGATGGTGTCAAACTCCCTTCCATACTGTTGAGTCTGCTGATGATTACACTGGCTTCTCCTCTTTGCCCCATCATTTCACAGGTTCCCATCTTAAAGAGGAAGAGAAAGGAAGGAGGGAACGAAGGAAGGGAGGGAGGGAGGGAGGGAGGAAGGAAGGAAGGAAGGAAGGAAGGAAGGAAGGATGGAAGGAAGGAAGGAAGGAAAGGGAGAGAGGGAGGGAAGAAGAGAGGGAAGGAAGTTATCAAACCCAAGCTCTGTGCAGAGCAGGAGACGTTTCCATGGGACCCCTAGAATAGATAGGTTCTTGCTGCTCTCCTGGTGGATGGAGATGCCCACCAGTAGCTGTGAGAGTCTCCCCGAAGGCCTGATTGTGGCTCCAAGTTCCGTAGGACTCACTAGTCTTTTTTTCCCTAGAGGGTCTTGCCATTGAGAGGCAGGTGATGTGCTGTTTCAGAAAACAAAATTGGGACATGTCCTGATATGACATCCATCAAATATATACAGATAGGTGTCACAGCCCCCGAAAAAGCTTATCTCTTCTAGGCCACACATAGCTATTTCCTCCAACTGTGTCAGACATTACAAAGTTTCTAGCAATCAAAACAAGTCAAATGCCATTCTCAGGACCCGTTGGAGGATTTTTTGCTTTGTTTTGGCTTTGTACGGTATCCATACCATTTTCCAAATTCTTTTGTCCTTACATATTTTGTTTTTCTTAAAAAAAAAAAAATCACCTATAATCCCATCACCAGACAAAACCACTAGAAAGAAACCAACATTTTAGCCATGTTTTTCTGTATATAAAAAAAGTGTGTGTGGAATTTTTCATAACAATATTGGGACCATGACATCTATCACATTTTTTATTAGGAAATGGCCTTCAACAATATGCATTTAACAATATGCTTGATGTCTGTGTAATATTTCATCTAACAAATATATCATGATTTATTTAAGTATTCCCTGATTGCTTGCTTCTAACTAGAAAAAACAATTTTTCTAAGTGTCACCACTGGGTTAGAGTAATCTCAGCCAATCCTCCTAATAGCACTGTGAGACCAGAGTTATGATAATCTTCAGTTAATGGACAAGGGACATGATGGTGTGGAAGGATAAATAAACTACCCAAAGACAACTAGCTAGTGAGACCAGCATGGACAGTCAAGCCCAGTGCATGTAATCTGTGCTCCCCTGCACTGTTGCTCATATACTTGGACCCTTGCATACATGATTTTCTTATTCATCTTGAAAGAGAAATGTTAGCTTACTGTTTTTATTTGCATTTATTTCGTTGCTTTTGAGTTTGAGCATCTTTCCATTTCTTATAGACCATTTGCATTTGTTTTCCTACAAAATGCCTGTTCATGGCTTTTGCCCATTTTTCTGTTAGCCTTGTCCTATGTATACACACATGTATATTATTAGTTCACTATCTGTCAGGTAAATTCCCCAGTTTTCTTCTTGCCTTTTAATGTTGTTATGGTCATTTAGGACTAGAAAGTTTTAAATCTTGTATGCCTATCAGTATTTTACTGTGTGACTATTCCCATTATTTTTATGCTTAGAAAGTTTTCATTCCTATCAAGTATAGATAAATGTTCAGTTCTACTATTTTATTTTAACTGTGCAGTGGGTTCATTTTTGGCATTGAATTAATTAATCTATCTGGATGTTATCATTAGTTTCCTTCTGAAAAAGTCAGTCCAGGCTGGGTGTGGTGACTCACACCTGTAATCCCAGCACTTTGGAAGGCCTGAGTCCAGGAGTTCAAGAACCAGCCTGAGCAACATGGCAAAACTGTGTCTCTATCAAAAATACAAAAATTAGCTGGGAGTGGTGGCACATGCCTGTGTTCTTAGCTACTCAGGAGGATAAAGTGGGAGGATTGCTGGGGCCTAGGAAGTTGAGGCTGCAGTGAGCCATGATTGCACCCCTGCACTCCAGCCTCGGTGACAGAGCAAGACCCTGTCTCAAAAAAAAAAAAAAATGCAGTCCAGATGTACTGGAACAAGCTTGTGTGGGATGGCTACACTCCTTTCCTGTTCCAACACACCTGTTACCTGGATGAGCTCCTATATCCTTATCCAGGTACCAGATCTGCCACACCTGGTACCGGCATGAGCCCTGTGGGGAACATACCAGCAGAGACATTATACTTCCACCGAGACAAAATAAAGCCACATTGACTTTTAGTACTCATATTATTGACTGACATTAAACCCATGGCAACTAAAATCTCGTTGTTGTTTTTTTTTTATTCTGGGGGTGAGGGTACAACTTTTAGAGAAAGTATCTCTCCCTAAGACTGCCAATCACTCTAAATTTGCATCTAACACTTCTACATAACTTTATCTACCGAGTAGGCAGTATTTACCGTCTGCTGTTTCATCTTGTAGCATAATTTTCTTTTATATTTCCAGGTGTGAAAATATTCAAACTGACCCCTAATTCTCAGCTTTCAGAGCTATCTGCTACTTCCCAGGTCACTTTGGTTTTTAAGCGCTTTCACATGCTGTTGTTGGACATCTGGGTTATTCCCAAATCTTGTTTTCACGTAGGCAGCTGTCAAGTCAAGATAGCCATGGCCCTGCCTGACATGTTCTTTAAGATTGCATTTTATTTTTATTATTTTATTTTATTTTTCTTGGAGACAAGAGTTTCACTCTGTTGCCCAGGCTGGAGTACAGTGGCATGATCTTGGCTTACTGCAACAGATCTTGACTTACTGTAACCTCCGAGTCCCAAGTTCAAATGATTCTCCTGCCTCAGCCTCCTGAGTAGCTGGGATTACAGGCACCAGCCACTATGCCTGGCTAATTTTTGTATTTTTAGTAGAGATGGGGTTTCACCATGTTGGCCAGGCTGGTCTTGAACTGCTGACCTCAGGGGATCCACCCAGCTTGGCCTCCCAAAGTGCTGGGATTACAGATGTAAGCCACTGTGCCAGGCTGCATTTTTAATACTGTGTTTTTCTTGACATATATTCCAACTAAATTCTTCTGGGTGTTGTTGGTTTGACCTCATATTCGGTCCTATTGAAATGAATTTGAATCATTCATGATTTGGTTATTTATTGCATTCATTGTCCTTCTCAGCTTCTGGTTACCCACACATTAGACACAAGTGCCTTTGGCATCTTTTTTCAAATCTACAGATGAGGAAACTGAATCCCAGAATGGTGGAGTGATTTGACGAATATTGCAAAACTATAATGGG
The DNA here is from genome assembly GCF_000001405.40 of Homo sapiens. Classification (NCBI taxonomy): domain Eukaryota; kingdom Metazoa; phylum Chordata; class Mammalia; order Primates; family Hominidae; genus Homo; species Homo sapiens. The sequence continues at coordinate 87,600,131 of NC_000002.12, forward strand.
GAGATGAGATGGGGATCCAAGTCTTGTGCCCCCAAAGACAGGGCACCAGGCAGCGTAGAGGTGGCCAGTACCAGAGCAACAGCCTAACAATGGTATGTATGTCACACACCCAGCTCACTCAATCCTGACCACAACCCCCCACTGCTCTGATTCCTGCCCCATCAGTAGCGTCTGAAAGGACATCTCCAAGTTCACCTTCAAGGACACTGTTAAGGCTGGGCCAGTAGAAGGAATATGACCCCTGGCACTGTCCCCCTTCATAAGACTTCAAAGTTCATCATTTCATTTGGGCATCATTTTACAATTTGCTAGGAATCCCTCTTATCTTATTTTCATCTGGTCCATATTCCTCCGTTTCAAAAACAAGACTATCCTGAAAAACTGTCAGCTGCTTGCTGAGGTTATTTTTGGTATACAGTACTTACCAGAGTCACCTGGTCAGCATTAATCACCCCATCATGAAAGATTTATGGTTGTTTGGGGGGTACTGAACCCATGTTGTACCCTATGTTTTTTCTGAAATATTTTCAATCTAGATGGTCAGTAGTTCTAGAATATTCCCTCAGGGATTGCCATCGACAATTGACCATTTTTATAAATGTTAGAAATGGACCGTTTGCCCAGGAGAGGGCTTCCCTGTGTTGAGTTTCTGTGTTGCTGCCAGGTCATCGAAGAGTTTTCATTGTTAAACTTGTGTAGGGCATCCAAGCACCACCTTGCTGTCTTCTCACCAGGCCAGGGGTCCACCTTTTGGAAGAGCATCTTTCTAACTAGAAGAGAGAGACGTGAAGTTGAAATTACTTGGCTCTGCCTCCTTTTTTTTTTTTTTCTCAAGTTTCTACATTTTAGCATCTTTCCTGTGTAATCCCTTTCTTGTCCCACTCTTCAAATAGCTTTGAAAACCCTTCTGAGATCACGGGCCTATTTTCAGCCTCTGCTTGGTGTGGGCTTTTGGTTTCCCAGTGTGGTTCTCACAGGTTCAGGCCCCCCCAACCCCGGTATTGACTCCATGTCAACTTCTCATCTTCTGGGTATGCCTTTCTGAAAGTCTGAGATCACCAGTGGTACCCTGTGTGGCCCACACTGGATTTTTCTAACTATTTCCTCTTTTTGGTCCTCACTGGGCTTATTCAGGATTATTGACGATACATATGCAGAATTTGGGGTTTTCTCCTAATCTCTTTTCTCACTTGGGATCTGTGTGTGTTCAGACTCCCTAGCCCCAGCCCTCCAGGTTAATATTGTGTGGCACTAGGACATTAGCCTCAGTTTCTTCAATTTGATATAATTGTGTATGATAACAGAATTTACCTCCTGGAGTTGTTATGAGGATTGAAGGAAATAGTGCTTAGTTGTGGTTAGTATTAATATTATTATCTACCTATTACTGACACACTTTGTGGTTATAAGTGACAGAAAACTACCTCAAACTGGCTTAAACACGAAAAGAGAATCTGTTGCTCAGAGAAGTTTCCCCTAGGAATTACCATCAAGCAACATCCAAAGGTAGACCTGGCTTTCGGCACAGCTGGGTTCACAGCCCTGGTAATGTCCTCAGGACTCAGTTGTGTCCATCTGGTTCCTCTGACGCTCTGTGTGGAAGGAGGAGGTGGCGCAGCAGCAGCCTCCAGCTTGGCATAGCCATGGTGGGGAGCAGGACCCCAGCGCTTAGGTTTGGCTCCTATCTCAGCAAACTGGTGCTCTGCCAAACTGAATTTGGAAGACTTGCTTTCCCAGAGAAGAGAGCACATGAGCCTTCCTGACTGCGAGTGATATTGCTGACACAAACTGGACACTTCCTCCACTCTGTAGCTAAGGGGCAGCTGGGCCTTTCAATGCAGCTCTTTTCTAGCAAGGGAGACCCCACCAGAATTGAGATGGGTAACCCCGAGCCCTGTGCACAGGTGCCTGCTTTTATTCCCTCATTCATCTCGGTCTGAACATTCCTGACCTTGACTCTTGCCTGCGACATCCTCTGCACTCCTCCACATGCTCCACTCAGCTCGCTCCTGAGAGCTGGTAATTAATCGGCCTTGTCTTTACCCTCTGACCCCACTGAGCCTCCCAGATGGGTTTCCACACCTGGCAAATGACCTTGGAGTTACTCCTAACTTTGTCCCACAGGCCTGCTGGATTGGATTTAATGTTTGCTTGCTAACTTCTCTGACTCTTGACCTGGTCTGGTCACTTGCTGTGGTTGTGTGTGACACCTCTGTGTTATACACAGTGCCGGGCATTGCTTTTTCAGCAGCCTGGAATCCACTGCCTCTTCTTTCCCCAATTCGATGTCCTTTTGTGGCACTACTCTCTCACTGGGCGCCGTCTTCATGGTAAATCCAGGTGCTTTTCCCCCTGCGTGGAAGTGGAAAGTTGTCCACAGTGTCTCCTCCCTTGCCCCAGGGTGGTCCTGAGCTGAGCTGAGCTGAGTGGTCTCAGGGGGAGGGACAGCAGGCTGTTTGTTCCCTGTAGAGGCGCTTGATGGTGGAGCGCTCTTGTCCCAGTTGAACCTGGTTCTCCAGCTCAGAATCCAGCACCCCTGTTGACCTCACAAGCTCCTTCATAGCTTCCAATTCATTCCCCTCCCTGCTTGAGTCAGCAAGGGTCGTTCCTTCTGCTTTCAAGAGTCCTAGCTCATATTCCTGTGCTGTGCTCTATCTTCCCTGGCTTTATAGATTTACTTGGGCTCTTTTCACTCCTCCCTCTGAAGTTACCAATTGCACTTTTTCTGGTCTCATGGGCTGGCCTCCTGCAGCATGCTCTGCTCTTCCCAGCTTTGGGCCAGCACTTCCTGCTTCCTGCCAGGCCCCCGCTGTTCTGAGGTGGATCTGGGCTGCAGTCCAGGAGACAAAATTCTCCACTGTGACACCATCTACATGCCCAGATGTTCCCTCCATGTACTTCCTCTTTCTCCTTTTCTTTTCCAAACTCACAACCTTCCAGTGAGAGAAGGAATGAAAACACCACCTGTAACACCAATTCCTCCAATTTCCTCCCCAGAACTTCAAAGTAAACAGAAATGTATTGGGCTTAGACTGGGACTTATGGATGGTCAGAGTTGGAAGAAGCCTTAGAAACCATCACAAGCCTTTGCTCCCAGGGCTGTCTCTGATCGTTTGGTTGTGGCTGACTGGGTTGTCACATCTGGACACAGGAAGAAAAGTGCTGGGAGTGATTCCCAATGTCTGAGTGGATGAGGGAAGGGGGAGTGACAGCATATGAGCTAGTTATTTGCCCGTCCTTTAACAATCTGCTCTGTACTTTACAAAATGGGGAAACTGAGTCACACATCTATCAAGCTGTCTAAGGCCACACAGGAAGTCAGGGCAGATTTGGGGGTAGAATCCAGGTTGTCCAGCCTTCTCTATCAACAACAATGACTTCTCTTTCCCATTGGAATTCACTGTCATAGGATGTCATCTAAGTCCACTTCCTGACAGCATGTGTGTCTCCCAGTCTGTGATGTCATGCTATACTCGGCCACCTCTGTACAGGACAGTGTGGCACGAAAGGGATCCTGCTGGTGCCTGTGGGGCTGGGGCTAATACTCTGGGACAACTTTCAGAATCACAGTTCTTCTACCCTAGGACAAGAGGGTGGTATACAGCCAAGGAAAGGTGGTCCTGGGCTCTGCAGCCATGGAGCTCCAGGGTTTGGAAGGTGCCGTGGAATCTTACTCCTTAGTTTGGACTTTTGTCAAACTGCAGCTGGAAAAAAATTAGAAATTGCTGCTCCAAATGGAACATACTCCATTTCATTCCAAATGAGAAGTAAACAAATAGACGGGTGAGCCTCCCCAAAATGATAAAACTCTTCACACTTAAGATGAGAAGTCAGTTCAAGTGCAGTCCTGGCGTGACTCACTGGGGTTTGCTGCAGGAAGATAGGGGCGAAATGTCCTCATCCTGCCTATAGAAGCCAGCTCCTTATTTTAAATCCCATCCTGCTTGACTATCAAAGTCAGACAGAGCCTTCCTAAAAGCTGAAACACACGCACAGAATGAGAAGTCCCTGCGGGAGCAAGTTCACTGTGGTGAGAACCTTGCAGAGCAGACAGCTCCAGGGGCCAGCGGCTGCCTGCAAACACTTGCTGAGCAAGTCCCTGGGAGAGGGGCCTTTCTCCCAGGCCAGGAACGCCAAAGTGGGGTTTCCTGATAAGGAACACAGAACTGCTGTTTCTTGGAGAGGGAGTTCACACGGACTGGGATCCATTCTCAGGCTGGGCCTTAGTAGTGGGACAGCATCCTGTTTTATTAAAAGCCTGTTGCTGGCAGGGAAAGCCATCTGCCTGCTGAGTGGGCAGGGGCCCAAGATCGCTGTGGGCAATTCCAAGCCAGTACTGGGAGCTGACATCAAACCAGGAAAGAACACGACTGTTTTTAGCTGATGTAGCAGTACATTTTCTTTCTTTCCTTCTTTCTTTTTTTTTTTTTTAATAGTTCTATTGCCCGGTTTCACTGTGTACATTTTGTGTGTGCAGGCATGCGTGTGACATCCTGTACCCAGCTACAGCCGAGGTTCACTCTGAGATGAGCCCACCCCACTTATTCTCCCCTTCTCCCTCCTTTCCCCACCTCCCCCTCTTCCCCATCCTTCCCCCACTGACCTCCCCAGCTCTAAAACCCCTGATAGACATAAAGAACAGAGGGAAACCCAGGCTGTAACCTGGGGTTATTCACAGGGTTGGGGTGGGTGAGAGAAGAAAAACAGACTTCTTTGTTTATCTTTTGAGTCTTGAAATTCTAAAAAATTCATTCATTTCCAAGGAAGCCTTAATTTGTAGGATTCCAAGAAATTTAAAAAAAGTAAAGGGAGATTCACTTCAAAAGAAACTAGGGGAAAAGCTGTTTTCTTTTTTAGCTGATTTGTTCATTATTCTTATTTTATTTAAAGTTAGGTTTGTTGAAGGCAGGCAAAGGTAGTCACTTTTTCATATTTGTATTACATTCTTACTTTCTTCCTCCATTGCCTTATCAGTTAAGAGGGCAAATAATATTTCAAGAGACTGATAGAATATGTTCTGCACTCTGCTCATTTCATAGCTCTCTGGGGAATTGGGGTTTTTATAAACTTTTATAATCACATTTTCTGCTGAGGTTATAGATGACTCCAAGAATCTTCCATTCATGCTGTAAATTAAAGTGACTCAAATTGCTTCCACTTTTACAAATTAAAAAAAAATGTACTTCTATACAGATTTTTAACAATTAACAAAAGGCCATTTTAACGCTCTGGTTGGTTGCCTGTACGTGATTTTTCTGGCTTTTCTTAAAATTTGGAGTGAACAGCTCCCATGTCAAATATAACATGTTAACTTATTGGCTTCTCTTTAACCCTGCACACAAACAATAAACTTTTCATGTAGAGCCAGAAAATGGTATATGTTGTGAACTTTTTTTTTTTTTTAAAGATAGAGTTTGTGGTGATAAAGGGATTTCAGAAAAAAAAATGTACTTGAAAATATGTTACTTCACATTGGAACATTCAATTTTATCTTAAGGATATAAATATTCAATTTTACCACATTAATCTTTGTACTGAGATAAGCCAAAAATAACGTAAACTGACAATTGTTTGCTATACATTCTAATATTTTACATATTTATAGGAGTTTTCCAAGTCATGAGATATCATATAAGGCACACAAAAAAAGAATGACATAAATCATGTTAAGTGCAGTCTACTTTTTCCTGAGCTATATCTTTAAGACAAAAGATATTTAACAAATTGAACTTGTTTTTTGTGGGAGGGTCCACTCTCTGGTTACTTAAGAGAAAACCAGAGGATTATCTTCGTGGTGAAGGAAAGTGTATAGAAGGCAGTATTTTTTTTTTCTGTTATAAAGGGCCAGGGCTCTATCCGTTGGTGCAGTGTTCTGCCTTTTGTGTTTTTTTCTGGTTAATTTAAAACATTAGCTCCAAGTTTTTAATGTAGTAGTTTCCCGTGAGTCACTGGGCTGAAAGCCCATCCTATCTGTGTCAGGCAAGGGTCCAAGACAAGAAACAAGGAGAACACAGATATAAGAAAGCTTTATTAGTGCAGCTAAACATTGATAATTAGGAAAGTTCCAGTTCTTCTATGGTAGTTTATTTGTAGATAAATGTAGTTGTAACCTTTTGGTGCCAAAGGAAAAACTCCTCATTCAAGACAAGGGATACGGAATAGGAAGAGCTCAAAGAAAACACAGTTTTCTGTGTTACAGACAAGTATTTACATTACTAATCAACTTTTGGTTCAGGAAAGAAGTGATAATCTGTTTAGATTTTTAAAAGGAATTCAATATCCTGTTGACTAAATGCAGAGCAGGTTCAGAGGAAGACGACTGTTGAATAATGCAATTGATTCCTTCCAAGAAAGCATAGGGTGTAGTTTTTATTATAGGAAGTGCCATCGATAGTACTTTTTCTGCTTTCTGGAAAATCACCCAGGAAATAAAATTTGTTTTAAACATTATTTTTAAAACAGGCTCTGCCGACTTCCAGTTCTGGAACAAGATGGTTAAACTCATTTTTCCCTGCTCTGCTCCTCTAAATACAACTAAGTACCTTGGAAACTATTCAGCAGACAATGATAAAGGGCTCTGAAAGCTAGAAGAAAAGGTGTACTTGCAAGAAACCTCAGGACTTGAGTAACAGCAACATGGTAAGTTTTCTAAGTTTTCTTTTCGTCTCCCATATACGCTGGGCTGTGCTGGAATCACCAACAGGCACAGAAAAAATGACAACAAAACAACAACAAAACCCCCAAGAATATCCTGTTGTCTTTGGCCAAAGTTCAGGAAAGGGGAGCCCCAACAGAGACCCAGTAGGAAGCTCTAGCCCCTGTTTTGTACAACCCAGGGTCCTTGCAGAGAGATTGATCTGCCAGCAGTGGCATCAGCAGCAATAGTAGCAGCAGCAAAGCCCTGGACAGTCCTGGCCCCCAGTCCACAACTTAGACACAGCACATGGCCTAATTCACCCACAGAAGCAGCCACTGTGAAGCCCTGTGTCTCCCCAGACTCCATCCAGTGGCATAAGGAGACCCAGGCCCTGCAGCTTCCTCCCCATCATGGAAGGCTGTCCATCTACAGAGTTTCCAAACATAATAAGCACTAAGGAAACAACATAACATGATATGCCGAAAAAAAAAATCACAATTAAATCAAAATGAAACATCAAAAAATGTCCAAGTAAACCACAGGAAGGCAAGAAAAAAGAAACAAAAGTGTAATAAACAAAAGGATCAATCAGAGAACAAATAATAATAAAATATCAGACTTAGTCCTAATATATCAATAATTATCTTAAATGTAAATGTTCTAAATGCATCCATTAAAATGCAGAGATTGGCAGAGTGTATTACAAAACATGACCCAGCTATGTGTTGTTTACAAGAAACTCACTTCAAATTCAATGATATAGGTAGACTGACAGCAAATTGATGGAAAAAGTTATAACGTGTAAACATTAGTCAGAAGGAAGCACAAGTGGCTATGTTAACATCAGAAAAAGCAGACTTCAGAGCAAAGAAAGTTACTATAGGCAAAGAGGGAAATTACATAATAACAAAAAGAATTAATTCACCAAGAAGATGTAGCTCTCCTGTTGTGATGTTATGATATATGTCGGTTTTCATCCGTGGGTCCTGGCTCATAACTCCCACATCCCGTGTTAGAGTCTTTTGTTATATTGTTGGGGGTGTTAGGCCTCAGGGACAGGCCTCTGACCTTCTCCTGCCTTCCTTTCACTCTAATGTTCTCCCACCTTTCTGCCTTTCTCATTGTGGATCTTAAGACCCTCCCATGAGACAGTCCCACCCTATATCCTGGGGGAAGGAATGCTGACATCATGAAGCTTCCATAAAAAGCCAAGAGGACAAGGTTGTTAAGCTTCCAGATAGCTGAACATGTGGAGGTTCCTGGAGAGTGGTGCACCCAGGGAGGGCATGGAAGCTCCGTGACCCTTTCTCCATACCTCACCCTAGGCATCTCTTCATCTGTCTCCTTTGCAATATTTTTTAATTATAAACCCGTAAACATAGGTAAACATTTCTCTGAGTTCTGAGAGCTGCTCCAGCAAATTAATCAAACCCAAAGAGGGGGTCATGGGAACCCCACCTTGAAGCTGGCTAGTCAGAAGTTGTGGAGGCCCAGACTTACAACTGGTGTGTGTATGGGGGCAGTCTTGGGGGCTGAACCTTCAACCTGTGGGATCTGACTCTATCTCTGGGTAGATAGTGTCAGAACTGCATTGGAGGACACCCAGCTGGTGTCCGCTGCTATATTCTAGCTGATTTTCTCCCTAGTAGTCCTAGTAGTCTTGAGTGTGGGGAGACAGTGGGGGATTGATGCCCCAACCACAATTGTGGATTTCTTCTTTCAGCTGTCTTAGTTTTTGCTTCAGATATGTGAAAGTCTGTTGTTTGGTTCATAGGTATATAGAGAAAACTCTCCCTAGCTGTGTTTTTCTTCTGCTGTCACACCATGACAACATCAACACAGAAGCCTTTCTTCATATCGTATAAGGGCACAAAAAAGGAATGACATAAATCATGTTAAGTGCAGTCTATTTTTCCTGAGCTGTTATCTTTAAGACAAAAGATATTCAACAAATAGAATTTTATTTTTTTGCGGTGTGGGGTATCCACTCTCTGGTTACTTAGGAGAAAACCAGAGGATTATCTTTATGGTGAGGGAGAGTGTATAGAAGGCAATATTTTTTTTCTTTTATAAAGGCACAGGGCTCTATCTGTTGGTGCAGTGTTCTGACTTTTGTGTTTTTTCTGGTTAATTTAAAACATTAGCTGCAAGTTTTTAATACAGTAGTTTCCCATGAGTCACTGGGCCTTTCTTCTGTGTTGATGATTGTGGTGTGACAGTAAAAGAAAAACACAGTTAGTGAGCATTTTCTCTACATACCTATGAACCAAACAACAGACTTTCACATGTCTGAAGCAAAAACTAAGACAGCTGAAAGAAGAAATCCACAATTGTGGTTGAGGCATCAATCCCTGCTGTCTCCCTGCACTCAGGACTTCTAGGACTACTAGCAAGAAAATCAGCAAGAATATAGAAAAACTCAACCACACCATCAACTGACAGGATCTAATTGGCATTCATAGCACAATCTGTCCAACAACAGCAGAATACACATTTTTTTAAAGGTCCCATGAGACATTTACCAAGATAGAGAATATCCTAGATCATAAAACAAACATTAAAAAGTTCAAGAGAATTGAAATTATACAGACTATGTTACCTGGCCATAATAAAATCAAAGTAGAAATCAAGGCAGAAAGTCAATAGGCAAATCTCCAAACCCTTGGAAACTAAACAAAAAACATTTAAATAATCCATGCATCAAAGTGGTAATCTCAAAGGAAATTTTAAAAAGACAAGAAAAGAATGAACATGAAAATATGACATGTTAAAATTTGTAAGATTAGCTAAAGCAGTGCTGAGAATAAAATTGATAGGAGTAAATGCTTACATTAGAAAAGAGGAATGATCTCAAATTACTAATCTAAGTTTCTACTTCAAGAAATTAGAAAAGTTGAGCAAAATAAACTCAAAGGAAGCAGAAAGGAGGAAATAAAAAAGAGCAGAAACTAATGAACTTGAAAACTGGAAAAAGAAAAAATGAAACAGAAAGTTGTCTCTTTAAAAGAATTAATAAGATTAATAACTTTTAGCAAGAATGGCAAATATAAAAAGAGAGAAGACATGAATCACCAACATCAGAAATGAAATAGGGGACACCACAATAGATGTCTTTAGCTATAAAAAGATAATTTAAAAACTGTAATCAACTTTATGCTCATATATTCAACAAGTTTGAAGAAATGGGCTAATTCCTCAAAAACCACAAAGTACTAAAACTTAGCCAAGGTGAAACAGATAATCTGAATAGCTGTGTAGATATTTCTAAGAATTGGATTTATAATAAAAATACTCCCCAAAAAGAAATCTCCAGGTCCAGAGGGTTTCATCCAAGAATTTTACCAAACATTCAAATAAAAATTAATGCCAATTCTATGTGTATCTTCCAGAAAATAGGAGAGAAGAGAAAATTAGGAAGTTCCCAATTCTCTTTATGAAGCCGTCATTACTCTGATACCCAAACCATCTAAAGAAAGTATGCAAAAAGAAAGCTACAGATCAATATCTCTCATGAACTTTGGATGTAAAAATCACCAATCAAATGTAATTAATCAAAATCCAACAATGTATAAAAAGACTAAAGCACCATGACCAAGTGAAATTTATGCCAGGTAGACAAAGCTGATTCAATATTTGAAAAGAAATTAATAAAATTTATCATAGCAACAGGCTAAAGAAGAGAAACCATATAATCATAGCAGTTGGCAACAAAAAATTATTTAACAAAATTCAACACCCATTAATGATGAAAATAGAAAATCCTCTCAAATACACTAGGAATAGAGGGAGACTTCCTCAACCTCATAAAGAACATCTATTAAAAAACTACATCAGACATTGTATTTCATGATAAAGACAGAATACATTGCCTTATACAATCCAAAACAAGGCGAAGATTTCTACTTTCATCAGTCTTATTAAACACAGTACTAGAAGTTCTAGCCACTGCAATAAGGCAGGAAAAGGGAATAAAGGTCATGCTCATTGGAAAATAAGAAATGAAACTGTCTCCTTTTTTAGGCAGCATGATTATTTAAATAGAAAATCCCCCAAAAAATCTATGAAAAATAGGTTGTCCTCCTTCTGTTGGCTACATTGATCAGGCAAGTGCTGCTAGTTGTTCTTAGGGGTTCTGCTTAAGTGCTGCAGGAGATGGCAGCACAGAAGCTGAGGCACAGCTTGGGCATGGTAGACCAGGGGGACACCCAACTCCATTACTCCCTAGCTCTATGCCCCTGAACACCTTCCTTGATCCAGCTGAACTTTGGTCCCCTCATCTGCAATGGTGTTGATGATAGAACCCAGAGGCCATAATTCTTGTGAGTATTAAATGAGAGCAAGTGTGTAGTAAATGTGTCATTGTACTTGCTGCGGGTACTGCTGCTGTTGCTGCAGTTGTATGTGATACTGTGCTATTTGTTCTGCCACTCCCAGGCACTGCCACTGGAGCCCTTGTTCAGTGATCCTATGACTTGTCAGCTCAGTCAATTGCTCTGACTCTTACTGCTTTCATTTATGAAATGGAGACAATAACCCCTCTCTCATAGGAAGGGTAAGACCAGAAGAGCCTACACTATGGTTGGAATAATATTTGTATACAGTGATCAAGAGAATGTTCTCTGAAACCAGACTCTCTTTAAATCTTACCTCTATCACTTATTAGTTATATGGCTAGCTGTTAAATGAGGTCAAAAGAGTGTGTTCTTCATAAAACTATACAGAAGATTAAATTAATTAAAACATGTACAGTCCTTTTAAAAAAGATCAAGTGAAACAGCATACATGAAAGTGCTTTCAGCACGCTGAGAATAACAATAGCAATGGCTAGAGATTATGGAGCACTCCCCACTGCCAGCACCAGGGGAACTTTGTACCTACAACTTTTTACTTAGTCCACATAACCATGAATTCGTCTCATTTATGTAGACCGGGAAACAAAAGCCTAGAGAAGTAATTTGCCCAAAGACCTAGCTTACAAAGCAATAGAATCCAGGTCTGGACTCTCGGGATCTGACTGTGTTCTAATGCCTCCCAGAGAAAGTAGGCTAGAGAGGGCAGGAATAGCTTGACTTAGAGATCACTTCCACTGGCACGGTGGGTACAATCTGATGTGGGAGGCTCTGGGTGCAGCCTGTGATGGCAGAGTGGAGGAGCCAGGAGTCATTCTTGGCCTCATTGTCACTGCCTTCAAACTAACAAGTTGCCTGAGAGCTAAGGTTCCATTTGATAGGACACCGGGTGGGATGTGCATCAGAATATCCATTTCCTTGAAGGATCCAATGATTAGGCTGAGGCAAAATGTTTTAGACCATTCCCAGGTCTAAAAATAACTCCATCATCACCTCTAATAAGGACTCAGTCTGGAGTGACATCACTCCTTCAGGTGCAGAAAAGGAAAGCATGACTGTGTGTCACTGACTTAAAATAGGAGTGAGGTGAGAGGGGCAGCTGGGCTCATGGACGTCAAGTGGACAGTTTCTCAGCTGGTATTTCCTATATTTCCTGTTTTGGACAGCAGGTTCCTGCCCTTCTAAGCTGGGGGTAGGGGTGAGGGAGTGTATGTTAAAAAGCTCTGTGGACTTGCTTTTTCTCTTCTCCATGTGTGTTCTTTCCATCAATAATCTGCGTTCATCTTTACTGGCTGTTCATGCATTATCTGGAGATACGCTAGTTACAGAAATTCAAACAGGCAACTCTTCCTCTTTCTCCCTAGCTTTACACTACAGATCCATGAAGTTTTCTTGACTGTCCCTGCCTAGGGTACAACAAGGAAACCACTATTTGGATAATTCCCCTGATTCCATGGTACTGTGGAAGTGGTGGGCTCTCCATATGTCAGGGTATTCTATGTCTATGAAAAGGTATCTCTTTTGAGACCAAGGGTGGACGGGATCCTAAGAGTCTACCAATTTTTAAAATAATTTAGCTATATTTAAGTCAATAAATTGTATTCAAGGCTGACTTTGTAGTGATGTATTCCATGAATTATTTCATTCAAAATAATTTTGAAAGGACTTCTGGTCCAGACAAAATAGCATAGATCCATTTCTGTCTTCTCTCCTCTCAGTTAAATGCAATTATAAAGTCTAGAAATAATGCAAGAGGTAACCAAAGGAGAACTCTGAAAGATGGAAACAGAAAGAGGAATTAGTTAGGGACCCTAAGACTGGAGGAACAATAGAGGTAGGATGTCTTACCATCACCGCATCCAACAAGAGAAGGTGACCTAGGCCTGGTATTACCTGATCCCAACTTGGCACCAAAAGACAGCCAACATAGACTCATTCCTCCTGCTTCCTGGTGAGCCTGGTATTCTCCTCCACTTCCACTGACAGACATGTAGGGTGACTGGGTGGTATCAACAATAGGAACCACATCATAACAGGCAGCCTAGTTTGGGAAGCACTCTTGGTCTCCGTAGGCCTGAGACTCCTTTTGCCCATCTAGAGGCACCAGGTGGCCCAGCCCATGGAAATTCCCTCAGCCCCAGAAAGGGGCACCAGAAAGGACCAGTGGGAGCTCCAGTAGGCTATAATAGTATGAAGGCTCTGAAATGAAGTTGCCACTGGACCTACAGCCCACTAAACTAGGCTAGGACCTTAGGTGATAGCCTGAAAAAAAAAAAAAAAAAAAGACCCAGAGTCTTTTAACATAAAAAACAGGATGTGCAAATACAATGAAAAAACACACATTATACCAAGGACTAGGAAAACTACCTAAATGAGAAAAGACAAGTGACACCAACACTGAGATGAATCAGATAGTGGAACTGTCTGACAGACTTTAAAACAGCCATTATAAAAATGTTTCAGAAAGCAATTACAAATTCTCTTGAAACAAATGAAGGAATAGAAAAATCTCAGTGAGGAAATAGAAATTGTGAAAGAAGAACCAAGTGGAAATTATAGAATTAAAAAATATAACAATAGAAATTTTAAAAAAATCACTGGATTCTACTCAATAGTAGAATTGATATGACAGAGGATAGAATCAGTGAAATTGAGGAAAGAACAATATAAATCCCCCAGTCTGAATAACAGAGAGAAAATAGACTGAAAAGCTCTACCTTGAATGATAACTTTGATCACAAACTAGTAGTATTAACCACGTGGAAGAGGAGTTGCTAAATCAACTTAAGAGAACAAATAGTTTTAGGTGAGTGACAAATAATTGGAAAATTAAAAAGTTAAATGATGTCATGTATAATAACATCAACATACAGAGAAATAAATCTAATAAAATGTAATTAAAAACTATAAAATCATTGTGAAGAGGCATTAAAAGAATCCAAAATATATATTCATGGAATAAAAGACAATATTTTTATAGTCAGTTCTGTCCAAATTGACCTATAGAGTCAGTACAATTTTACAACAAATTTTAGTGGAATTTTGTTTATTTTATTTGAGGAATAAAGTTTATATTTTATTTGGAAATTTAAAGGACTGAAACAATCTTGAGCAAGAACATTTGTTAAGACTTATTCTGAAGCTTTAGCAAATAAGACAGTGTGAGATACACACAAGCATAGACAAATAGACCAATGGAACAGAAAAGAGAGTACTAGAAAACAGACCACGCATATTCAGTCAGTTGATTTATGACAAAAGCAATACTGCCATGCAATTGGAATAGGACAGATAATGTTTGCATAAATGTTGCAGGGTCAGTTGGATCTTCATACTTAAAAAAAATGAATCTTGACTCTACCTCACACCACACACACAAATCAATCAGATAGAATGTAGATCTAAAAGTGAAAGGCAAAATAATAAAACTTCTAAAAGATAACATAAGAGAATAATTTATGACCTTGGAGTAAAATCTTTTCAAATGTAATACAAAATATACTAAGCACAAAGGAAAAGACTGATTGATGAATTGGACTTCATTAAAACTAAGAACTTCTGCCCGGGTGCGATGGCTCACACCTGTATTCCAAGCGCTTGGGGAGGCCAGGAAGGGAAGATCCCTACAAAATATTTAAAAAATTAGCCAGGTGTGGTGGCATACCCTTGTGGTCCCAGCTACTCAAGAGGCTGAGGTGCAAGAATTGCTTGAGTCCAGGAGTTTGAGGCTGCAATGAGCCCTGTTTGCACAACTGCACTCCAAAAATAATAAAAATAAAATACATAAAATTTTAAAACCTAAGAACTTCTGTTTATCAAAAGACACCATTAAGAGAGTGAAGAAGCAAGCCCTTGAGTAAGAGAAGATATTTGCAAATCATAAACCCAATACAGGGTTTGTATCTAGAATATTTAAAGAATTTCCATGAGTCATTAATAACCCAATAGAAAACATGGGCAAAAGATTTGAACAAGCACTTCACAAAAGAGGCTTTGTAATTTTCTAATAAATGCTAGCAAGGAAGTGCAAATTCAAGTCATAAGGAGATAACCTCTACAGAGCCACCAGGGTTGTCCAAAATGACAGACTAATAATACTAAGTGCCAGAGAGAATATACAGCAACTACAGCTGCCATCCTCTGGCTGGTGTGAGTGTAAATTAGTATAACCACATTGGAAAACTGGCAGGATCTACTACAGCTGAGCATTTGTGTATCTTATGACCCAGAAATTCTACAAAAATGTTCATGACTCTCTAGTTATAGTAACCAAAGACTGGAAACAATCCAAATTTCCATCAACAGTGGAATGGATAAGATGTACTGAGCAATGAAATTAAAGGACCTAATGCAACAGACAGTAACATGGATGAATGTAATAAACATCATGTTCAGTGAAAGAAGCCAGAAAACCAAGAGGGTACCCTGATGACTCCATTTACATGAAGTTCAAGAACAGACAAAGCTAATCAATGGGGTCAGGAGTCAAAGGTGATAGTTATTTTGGGTATGTGACTGGTAGGGGTACAAGTGAGACTTCTGTGGTGTTGGCAATGTCCTACTTCTTGACCTAGTCAGTGATTTCTCTGGTTTGCCTCCTTTGTGAAAATTCATCAGTGTGTTCTGGTTATTATTTGTGTGCTTTTCTCTATGTATCTTCTACTTCAGTAAAGAGTTTACTGAAAAGAACATACTTGGGTTTGCAGAGTTGAAAACACCCGCAACATCTTCATTGCCTCACAAAGACTATTTTACATGATGTTTAAAAACTTTAGAAGCTAAAATGCTGTTCTTTCATTCTGAGCTGATTACAGATTACAGATTAGTAAGAAAGTAAGTGGGCTACTTGTTTAAAGATGGTCTATGTTAAGTACCCTGATATCTTCTTTTGAAAGAGAGGTCAGTCTTCCTTTCAGCAGAGCATTCTGTTCACCTGCCTGCCCACCTACCTCATGGACCTTACAGAGCTTGGTTACCCTGACTCTAGGCCTCTCAGCTCTTGTACTGATCCTCCCAGCTGCTCTATTCTGATGCCATGACCCTGTCTGGAGACTAGAGAGGCTAGGCCACATTCAGCTCTTCCTTGTCACTGTACAACTCACCTGGTGACTTGGTTTTTTTTTTTTTTTTTTTTTAATTCCATGCCGATGTACCCTGACATGGAGAACTAAAGACAGAATTATTTAGGGATTTCCTCTCTCTCATTCTGAAAACGTATAAATAGCCTTTGCTGAGTTACTTTGTTAAAATAACCCTGACATTTTTTTAAATGAGCAAAGGGGCTCTAACATGGAAGGTAGATATACTGAAGGAAAGAGCCCTTAAAGACAAAGGGCTAGTTTATTTCATTATGAGATGTCCAGGGCTTTCCAGTCCCTTAATTCTATCAATGAACCGAGTGAGAGGTAACAATGAGCTGTACATTTTTTACAAAACCTCTCTGCGTAGTCCCAGTAGTAGGTTGCTGAAATTATGTTAAAGTCAGGTGGGGACTTCTAGAAAACCCACTGTAACCCTCTTGTTTGGATGACATTGAGGCCAGGGAGGGGAAAAGAACTTGCAAGTTGAGCAGTAATAACACAGATCCCACAGGACAGCTGGCAGTGACCCCACAACAGGGATTTGAAAACAAAGTAAGGTCTTGTTGTACCCTTGGTTCCTCTTCTTTACTTCCTACTATCAAAGTCAGGTTCTAGAAACTTCCCTAGGAGGCGGCAAGAGGCAGTCTCTGCCTCCTCCCAGTAGCAAATTGGCCACAGGAAGTCCTCATTTGGGATGGACTGGAGGAGAGAGGCAGCTGTGTGGAAAGGGCAAACCTTGAAAACACCCAAGTCCTTGATTGGGCTTGCAGAAGGATGTGGCAAAGAGTAAAGATCTTGAGTTCTGGAGGCACAACTCATAGGTTCGAATCTTTTTTTTTTCTTTTTTTTTTTTAAATGGAGTCTGGCTTTGTCGCCCAGGCTGGAGTGCAGTGGCACGACCTTGGCTCACTACAAGCTCCGCCTCCCAGGTTCATGCCATTCTCCTGCCTCAACCTCCCAAGTAGCTGGGACTACAGCGCCACTACGCCCGGCTAATTTTTTGTATTTTTTAGTAGAGACGGGATTTCACTGTGTTAGCCAGGATGGTCTCAATCTCCTGACCTCGTGATCTGCCCGCCTCGGCCTCCCAGAGTGCAGGGATTACAGGCATAAGCCACCGCACACAGCCCGTAGGTTCAAATCTTACCTGCACCTCTTAACCTCTCAGGGCCTCAGTGTCCTCTACTTGTGAAGTAGGGATAACAGTCATATTCACTTCCTGGTTTTGCTGTGCAAAATGAATAGCATGTGATGCTGAGGCACTGTAAGTCGTGAGGGCAGATGATCACCCGCTTTAGGAGCCATTCTTCCAAAATCTTAAGTGAGTGAAAAAGAAGCAGAGATAGCTTTTTGTATTTGCGCATGGAGGCAGAGTTCATCTGTTGCCTGAGCTAACAGTATACTATTCAGCCCCTAGTGAAACTCTGGCCCCAGGGCAGGACCAACTAACTAGGTAGGGCAGTGATGAAAAAGGGAGAGTCTTCTCAGTGGAGTCTGGTCTGGGTAGAGATGTCAAAGGCAAACCATCACCTCCTTGACTTGTTGGCTCTAGGTGATGATGCTAACCTGACCTGGAGGGATAGCCCTTCTATGGGGTGGGCAGGGGCAGCCAGAGGTGTTCTGAAAACCAGAGAAGTCTCCTCACTGGAAAACATTTATTCCTGGGATCTGTCAGTTGATGGCAGAAATGTTCATTGTTAAAGAGCCGTTTCTTTGGCTTATTAATTGGTCCTCTGTTAGCCAGTCAACAATACTGTACCCAGCACAGATATCCTTGAGAAATGAAGGAGAAATAAAGTCTTTCCTAGATAAGCAAAAACTGATGGAATTTATCATCACTAGACTGACCCTACAATAAATGCTTAAGAGAGTCCTACATCTGGAAGCAAAAGGGCTATATTCACCATCATGAAAACCCTAAAGTATAAAACTCATTGGTAAAGCAGACACACAAATAAGAAAGAGAATGGAACCACATGTTATCATTACAGAAAACCACCAAACTGCAAAGATAAACAAAGGAAAGAAAGAAAGAAAGAAAGGAAGGAAGAAAGGAAGGAAGAAAAAGGATTATTTAAAATTATCAGAAAACAATTGAAATGACAGGAATAAGACCTCACCTATCAATAACAACTTTTTTAAATGGCTTAAATTTCCCAGTTAAAAGATATAGACTGGCTGAATGGATTTTAAAAGTGACCTAACTCTATGCTACCTACAAGAAACTAATTTCACCTGTGGAGACACACATAGACAGAAACTGAAGGGATGAAAAAAGATATTGCATGCAAAAAAAAAAAAAAAACCAAAAGTGTGCAGGAGTAGCAATACTTACAGCAGACAAAATAGATTTTAAGTCATAAAACATAGAGAAAAAGAGGTAATTATATAATGATAAAGGGATCATTTGAGTAAGAGGATAAAACAATTATAAATATACATATACTCAACACTGGAGCACCCAGATATAAAAAGAAAATATAATTAGAGCTAAAGAGAGATAGATGCTTATACAATCATAGTTTGGGACTTTAAAACTCAATTTTCAGCTTTGGAGAGATCATCTAGACAGAAAATCAACAAGGAAACATTAGACTTATACTGCACTAGAGACTAAATGAAGCTAATAGACATTTACAGAACATTTCATCCAGTAGCTGCAGAATCACATGCTTCCCTCTTCAGTACATGAAACATTCTCTAAGATAGACCATATGTTAGGCCACAAAACAAGCCTCAACAAATTTTTAATAATTGAAATCATATCAAATATGTTCTCAGACCACAATCGAATAAAACCAGAAATCGATGACAAAAGGAACTTTGAAAACTGTACAAATCCATGGAAATTAAACAACGTGCTCCTGAATGGTCAATGGGTGAATGAAGAAATTAAGAAGGAGGTCAAAAAAGTTCTCAAAACAAGTGAAAATAGAGCTGCAACATACCAAAACCACCAGCATTTTTTTTTTAGCAATAATCTATTTTTAAATCAGGTGTGTATATTTTTTAGACATAATGCTATTACATGCTTATGGGCTACAGTATGGTATAAGCATAACTTTTATAGTCACTAGGAAACCAAAAAATTTATGTGACTCACTTTATTGCAATATTCACTTTATTGCAGTGGTGTGGAACCAAACTGGCAATATCTCAGAGGTATGCCTATAGTTAACAAGAATATATTGCATATGTTCACAAAGCTGGAAGAGAAGATTTTGAATATTCTCAGCATGAAAAAATGATATATCTTTAGGTGATGTATTTCCTAATTATCCTGATTTGATCATTATATGCATGTACTGAAATATCACTCTGTGCACCATAAATATGCGCAATTATTTTGTGTCAACTAAAAATAAAAGGAAAAATAAAAGGCAGAGCCCTCTGGGAGGAGAAGACTAATTAGGCTTAGTGATTGCTAATTCTGGGAGCTGCATGCAAGCAGGTTTTAAAGAAGGCAGAAAACTTAAGGATGTGGATGTAAAAGGAAGTTACAATGACAACACAATTTACAGAAATCACTTAGTCACCTGGAGGACTCCAATTTCAAATGTGCCATGCTTGGATATTTGCTTACATTTTGCACAATGACTTTTCTGCCATCTCCTGTGAACCTCTGAGCAATCCTGTAAAGCAGGGATCATGCCCATTTTCCAGATGAGGAAACAGAGTGCCCATGCCCTGCCCATGGTTCCAGAATGCAGAACAGTCATCCTTGGGAGATGGGGGTGTCTGGTCCGAGTACCTCCAGTCTCACCTCTGCTTTGTGTCGCAGGTGGGGAGGGGTCACTGAAGACAAAGGCTCCTTGTGGCTATAGGAAGGGTCTGCCCACCAGGAGAGGTGGGAGGGGAGGAGTCTTATTCAGGCTGCCAAGGTTAAGCCTGGTTAACCACTTAGACCCAGAGTTAACTAGCAAGGGGCACAGGTACCTGCCTCAGAGCATTTGTCTCTGCCTGGAGTGTTTGACTAGAGGTCCTGAGAGCCTGGACCCTCCGACGCTCAGGTCTCAGCTGCCACATTCCCAAAGGTCATGATCATCCTAGACCACTCAGGTGCTCTTTGTTCTTCACCCTGCTTAATTTTTGTTAGGAGTGCTTCTGATGGCTTCTGGTCCATAGCCTGCCTCTGTCTCTGCCCTGCCAACTCCGTGCTCTGTCTCAACGTTGCACCTGAAACTGTGCCTGCCATGGGGTGGGTATTCAGTAGCCAACTGATGAATGAATCAATGAATAAATGAGCAGATAAATGAATGGGCAGGAAAGCTCCTCCTGTCACTCTCTACACTAACATGTAGGAAGTGTTGGAGGGACACACGTTAGTGGATGTCGGTCACTTAGTCCTGATAAAACAGAGTAGATGGTTTTCTTAGTAGGAGATCTTGAGGGCTCTTCTGTGAAGCCTCTTGTGGAACCAGTGAAGTACCTGAAAGGCAAGGATTGGGCAAATCAATTCCTTCTGGTTGTGGAGGAGAAGCCCTTCTAGGGTTGATGTTAATGCTGCATTTTAATGAAAGTGACTTTTCAGGCTTATAATTGGATGACATCAGCTCTATTTCTGCTTTTGCTTCTAGAATTTAGTGTGATTCTATTTTAAGAGACTAAGAAGAAAAAGCAATTTTTAGACTCTCATAAGAATACTAGCAACAATGGCAATAGCTAATGTCTCTGCAGCACTTAGAAAAGACTGTGCCCCCTGCCAAGAGCTTGACCTGGGCTATCTCGTTGAATCCTTGCAACACACAGCCCCTTGTATAGATGAGAAAACTAAGGCCTGAGCCAGCTGGCCACTCATCCGTCACAGCCTCCTTTCCTTTCCAGTGTTGGGGACAGCTCACAGTGGGCTGTAGGATGCCACTGGGCATCAGCCTGGCAAGGTAGCAGGTCATCTCATTTTTCTTTTTTCTGGAGGGTGAGGTTATCCTGCAAAATGGAGGTCATGGGGCCTCCTGCCCTGGAATTTCTGCCTCATCCCTGACATCTTGGATGTTATCCCAGGCTGCTCTGGTCCAGTTCTGGCTTCATTTTCTCAACATATCAGATGCAAGAGAGGCCTGGCCTGCTAGCTCCTGTCTCCCTGCTCTGCTGCATTCCCTCCCCACGCGGTGCAGGTACTGACTCGTTCTCAAAACTGTCAGATGGGCTGCCACCTACCTGGGAGTTTCATGACATGTCCTGGGATCCTACTACGCCAGAGGCTCAATGCCTGGCAGAGTGAACACTTAGTAAGCTGCAGTTGCCCTGAAATATTTTCCTGTTGCTGATTCATTTCCTCATCTGTGGATACCATATTCCAAACTTGCTGTGCCACCCTCTGAAGGGGCAAGTTCTTTCCTAGGAGTAGATACCAAGAGAGAGGAAGCCCATGTCATGGGGACAACCACACAGGCCAAACACAGGTGTCACTGCCTGCAGGGACAGCCTGCAGGCATCAGGCCTCCCAGGAGATAGCAGGCAGGACAGGACCATTTCAGACTCATTTCAGCAGTGTGTGGACAGAACCCCACTGAGAAATGCAAGCATGAGACCTGGAGTCTATTCCTGTCTTGTCCTGGGGTTCCTTCCACTGGATGCTCATCAGGGGAAATCCTCCCTCTGGATGCTGATGTGGGGAAAATGGCCAACTAGTTTTAACCTTAAACTCATCCAAAACTTATTTTCTCTCCACTTGAGATAGTTGTCAGGAGATCTGAGTTCTCACCTTCCTTCTGCTCTTCCCTTGTATGTGACCTTAGGCAAGTTGCTTAATCCCTCTGAGACTCAGTTTCCTCTCTTGTAGCTGCAGGATGATGGCTGGGCTCTATTCTAGATCAGTGAGACTCAAACCTGCCCTGTGGCATCAGTCAGGAACAGTTTTGCCGAGTAGGCTCCAGTCCAGACCAATACATCACGATCTGTGGGAGTGAGGCCCAGGCGATTCCCAAGCACTGGAAGGGTTGGAAATTCAGGCATATGGTTTCTGCCTTAAATTCCATCTATGAAAGCCGAAGCGCTCTCTTTACCACCACCACCTCTCCTTCCCACCCTTGTCTTGTTTGCTGCTGATTTCTCGCCTGACTCAAGAACAAATGTGTTTAAGCCCCAAGCCCCTAAAAATGGGAAGCTGTCTATTTCCCTTCTGTACCAGCTCCCACATGTGTCTGGACACAGACTCTGCCAGGGAAGTCCCCTCCCATAGGGACCGTGTGCCTCCAGAGTTGTGTGGACAGGACTTGAAGACATCCAAAGCCCCCACAAGAGATGATGACAACAAAACTCTGTGTTAAAGAGTTTCCAAGATGGAGAACTCCTGCCTGTCAATTATCCTTCTCAGACACTGATTTTGTTTGTTTGTTTTCTGGCTAGAGACGATTATTCCACACAGGAATGACAGACAGTCCCTCTGTTCTTTGTCTGCTGGTCCTGGGGGCCTCTTGCGTCAGTGGGAATGGAAAGTATCAACTTTCTTATTTCTCCATGTTCCCTCTTGCCTTGCATCTTTCTTCCTGCTTTCATTTCTAATTTCTTGGGCCCTTTGACTTTCTCTTCATCTCCCTCTTCATTCTTCACACAATAATGTTTATTTAATTTTGGATGTTCTCTTCTGGCCAAAAGTTGACTTGGTCCAGACCAAATGGAAATATATGTGATTAAATCTGTTCTCTGCGGAGAGGGACTAAAACAAAGATCAATGCCAGATATTGTCGTGATGATGAAATGTCAGGGCAGAGGGCACCAGGAAGGACAGACCAGGCTCACAGAAGCGTGCCATTCTTTCACAGCACATGCAGCACACAATATGCAGAGGCATGACATTCCAACCTTCTCCAACCCACCGTTTATCAGTGTGTCCCCTGGACTGGTAGTATCAGCATCACCTGAGACTTATTAGAAACACAAATTCTCAGGCTCCATCCCAGACCAACTGAATCAGAAACACTGGGGGTGGGGTCCAGAAATCTGTTTTCACAAGCCCCAGAAGACTCTGATGCATGTGGAAGTTTGAGCACCACTGCTTCTAGTGCGTAGACGTTTTGCTTGCTATCATTGAAAACTCGCTTGACCTCTTTGGAGAGGGGCATGGCGGCCCCCAGATATCTGAGGAAGGCTGAGCAGGAGGATAAGGTGAGCTGAGGAAAAGGGAGGGAGCAATGGGGTATTCACGGCAGGGGAGCCTGAGATGGTCCCTTAAGGATTTGCATTGGTTAATGGGCAGACTGGTGCAAAAGAGGCTGAATTGAATAATTAGGAAACTGGGAGAATTCAATTCAAAGAAGAATTCTTGTTCGCAAGGTCAATTTTTATACTATTTAAGTAAAATAACTCTGGTAGGTTCTATAGCAAATGCTAAGTAAAGTAACCGCTGGTTTCTAAATTATTACGATAATCTGAGAAAATTATTTCTTTGAAAAAATTATAGAACTTTCAAATATGCAAAAAACTCTAGAGAGTAATATAACAAATGCACTTAATAGGGACAACCTTTAACATTCAGCAGAGAACATTTTACTCTATTGGCTTCAGATCTTGTTTTGACTGCAGCTTGATTCCCACAGTCCTCTCTCATCCCCACCCATCGTGGGTCCTCAGCCTCATCTCACCACCCTGAGTTGGGTATAGAATTTCCTGTCCAGGTGTTTAGAATTCTATACATTTATCTAAAAGCAATATAGGGTATCGTGTGTTGGGTTTTATATGCTGATGTAAAAGGAGTTGTTCTGCAATTTGCTTTCTTCTCTCCATGTTATTGAGCTCTATCCTGTTGCTACCTGTGGACGTAACTCGTTCTCATTGCTGGGTGGTATCTATCTTATGGTCCCTTTCTCATCATCATGAGCATTTAAGTGAAGATCGTCTTCAGGATTTCCATGTGCTCATGTGGGAGAGTAAGTCCTGAAAGTGGAACATCACCTGTAAATATATTAAAGACAGGGTTTTCCAATTTAACTGGGAAAGTCTCCAGACTCAGCTGGAGCTACATTATCTGTTTCTCTAAGAAAGAACTTTTCTGTCCATAAACTCATTGTATTAGTCCATTCTTGCACCGCTATAAAGAAATACCTGAGACTGGGTCATTTACAAAGAAAAGAGGTTTACTTGGCTCACGGTTCTGCAGGCTGTACAGCGAGCGTAGTGGATTCTGCTTCTGGGGAGGCCTCAGAAAGCTTCCAATCATGGCAGAAAGCAAGGGGGAACAGGTGTCTTACATAGCAGGAGCAGGAGCAAGAGAGAGTGAGAGGGGAGATGCTTCACACTTTTAAAGACCAGATCTTGAGAGAACTCAGTACCACGATAACAACACCAAGAGGGTAGTGCTAAACTATTCATGAGAAATCCACCCCCATGATCCAACCACCTCCCACCAGGCCCCACCTCCAACACTAGGGACTACGGTTTGACAAGAGATTTGGTGGGGACGCAAATCCAAACCCTATCACTCATTTTTTTCTCCCTTCAATCATTCAACCAACAATTGCTGAGCAACTCCTGTAGGTCAGGCACTGTGCTGGGGGCTGGGAACCAGTGGGAATAAATCCTATGGGTCTCTGCCCTTGTGGAGATTCCAGAGTAGGGCTGCCCGGATGTTCTTGCATTGTGCACAGTGCAGAGACAGGAGGCTCCCGGATATTCTGGCCTAGGCAACTCTAACCCTGAAAAATGAACAAGCCCATCACATTCTATTCATGTGGTTATAGTTTACCTGAAACCTCAACTGCTCCACAGAATCAGATCTCTCCGCAGCTCCCAAAAGTGTCCCAAGGGTTAGCACTGACCAGCTTGCTGGGTTTGAAGGAACCACAATGCATCGGGTGTGGCTCTCTTCCTGCTAGCTGCTCCGAAGTGAGCTCCTACTGATTCTATTCAGTTGGACGCTCACATTCAGCGAGTCCAGGGGGTTTTTCATGCTTTGAGCATTTTTAAGAGTCTGCTATTTGCCCAGTTCAGTGAGGGGCACTCAGGATGTATCAGTGGTTCAGGCTGACTTGGTTCCTGCCTAGGGGAAGACCCACAAGACCAGTACCCAATGCAGGGATGGCATGGATGGTAGGGGAGGCTTGGAGGCCCTAACCCACTCTTGAAGGGATGACAGAAGCCTCCCAGGCTGGGATTGGAAGGATGAAAGGAGCAGACAGGCCAGGGTAGAGGGCATTGAGTCCCAGTTTGAGCGAAGGGCTGGAGCAAGAGAGAGCCTGGTCTCTGCAAAGATCTGAAAGAACCTCAGAGCAGGGGCCAAAGGGTAAGGGTGTCAGGGCAGAGGCTGTGCCAAAAGAGGTGAGCCTCATCCTAAACTCTGTTCTTGATTTGGGGTGGAAGTGTCCCTGGAAAGGCAGATCAACAAAGGAAGGAGCATGAGCCAATTCTCACCACACCTCTTGTGCTTCAAGTCCTCTCTTGGGTTGGGTGATGTCATACAGGGACCCACACTTGATTGGACTGCCCTCCCCACCTTTTAAACCTCTCCTGTCACTGAGGGGGTACACCACTGGAGCCTGGCAAAGGTAGCCAGTACTCAGGGGGTGTGCACAAACCTCACACCCATGTTTATAAGGCCATTACAAATGCTGGCCCAGTTGGTGACCAGACACCAATCCTTGTCCTTCCACGTAGCCAACAGTGGGCTAGTTGGCAGGTGCATGGCAGGCGCTCAGGGCTATAGACAATGCAGGCTTTAATCCCATGAGTGGAGTCGGTGCCAAGTCTAGAATTCAAGGATGACTCTTCACCCAACTGACCCTCTTACCCAACAAACCAATGAGAACAGCTTGAGGTCTGGAGGACCCGTGCTTGATATCTGTCCACTCTTGTATTTGAGTAAGGTAGTGGAGGTCACAGGCTCACATCATAAACTTTGTACTTTATTTGAAACACTTTTCTGGCTCTGTTAGTGGCTCCAACACCATACTTAAGCTTACTTCAAAATGACTTATACATCTCTATTTTCCTTAAAGTATGCGCACAGATAAGAAAAGATGGGGTGAATTTTTTTTTTTTTTGAGAAGGGGTCTTGCTCTGTCACCCAGGCTAGAGTGCAGTGGTGCGATCTCAGTTCACTGCAACTTCCGCCTCCCGGGTTCAAGCAATTCTCCCACCTCAGCCTCCGAAGTAGCCAGGATTACAGGGGCGTGCCACCACACCTGGCTATTTTTTGCATTTTTAGTAGAGATGGGGTTTCACTGTGTTGGCCAGGCTGGTCCTGAACTCCTGACCTCAGGTGATCCACCTGCCTCAGCCTCCCAAAGTGCTGGGATTACAGGCGTGAGCCACGGCGCCCGGCCAAGATGGGGTAATTTTGATGTCCAGACACAAGTTGTCATTTAAGATGAAGCTTCGATTGTAACTCTATGAAGCCCTGCTGAATATTAAAAGCTTATAGAAAGCAGCTTTTCTCCCCCAGGCAAAAAGAGCCCTTCGATCTGTGGTGGGACTTTGCAAAAAGCTGAGCTGCCACTCAAAGAAATAATTCCCCGCTAACTGCAAGTTTCTGTCTTGTTTATGGAGGGCCTGTTGAGAAGGCCCTCCAAACCTTTGGTTCCAGGGTCTGGCAAGGGGAATCTGTCATCATTCATTGCAAACTACACCTCCACCCACTGGGCTGAAGACCTGTGCAAGGATAGACCAAGAACTTCCTCTGGGGTGGCTGTGCTCATGGATGCTGATTTGACAATTTCCAACCTCCCTCATTACCAAGATCCCCTTCCTTCACCTGTGAAACCAAAATTCCATCTTCTTCTCTTCCCTCCTTTGTGACAGAGTGGGGAAAGATGGGGACTGAGGGAAAGGAGAGTAGAAACTCAGTCCCTTGAGAGATGGGAGCTGATGGGAAGGAGGTAGAAACTTGGTCCTTTAGCCAGGAGGCTCTGCAGGCATTCAGGCCTGATCTACCATGTAAGGTGATTTCTTTCTTTTTGGAAAGCTCCCATTTCATGGGGTGGACAGGTCCAAGGACTGCTCTGGACCACTTGGTGATCACATGGGCCGAAGTAGGGGTAGAGGACCCCAAATTGAATGTGTGGAGGGGACTCTGAAGCAGGTGTGAATGCCAGGAGAGGTGGGAGGAAGGACAAGGGTGGTGCATCAAGACCACAGAAGCCGGCCCGGCCAGCCTTCCCACAAAGTTACTTGAACTGAGCTCTCCATAAGTACACATGCGCACACACCCAAGAATAAACTGGACAAATGGCAGCAGAAAGAGAAAGAACAGAAAAGAGAGCTGATGAATACATCCATAATCAGCACTAACACAGCCCTGGAAAGAAAAGCAAAAAGAAAAGGCAAGCGCTGTGGTGTGCAGCTCTTATTGTCTAATAAAAGAAAATATACCAATTCTTTGGGGAATTTAATTTTTTCTGGAAATAAATTCTTGGAAGAATTTATGTGACAGAACACCCCAGGGGAACATCCTTGCGTTGGGAAGGAGGCCACCTCGTCTGGCGGCCTCGGGCATTCCAGTGATGCAGGGGAGGGGCCCAGGCAGCTGTGCTGGTCCAAGGGGCTCCAGGTAGAATGAGCTGTATCCTTGGCCAGAGGATGTTGCGCATCCTCTGGGGGGATATGACGGGAGAATGATGGGGGGAGTTGGGGAGATGTCCCCAGGTATTACAAGTGGAGGCTGGGGACTACCACTGTCAGTTCATTGTCAACTATGTCCGCCTCATAGACAGGGCACAAGCCTATCCTTAGGGACACACGTGAAGAGGGGAGGCAGGAAGATTCAGGCGCGCTCTCCGGCCTAGACTGGCTGAAGGAGGGAGATTTTAATGCTTGGCATAGGTGGTGAGGGGTCCACCAAAGGTAGGAACACATCCCTGGGGCTCTGGGAGGAAGAAGCGTCAGGACTGCAGCTCCAGCCTCTTCAGGCCCAGGGTCCTAGGGCGGAACAAGGCTGGAAAACTGGTGCATGGAGGAAAGAAAAAAAATGGGAAGGGAGAATGGACAGGTAGGAAGGAAGGAAAGGAGGAAAGGGAAACGGAGGAAGAAAGACATGGAAAGCTGGGAGGACAGAGGGCAAGGCAGAAGGTAAAGGAGGCAAGGCCAAGGCTGTGAGGAGGAATTCCGCTTTTATTCTGCTGTCTGGCTTCATGCCATTGCATGGGGCCCTGTAAAATAAAAAATGATACCTCCCAGGGCTATTGGTTTTTATCTTAGAGGACTCTGTGGGGAGATGTGGAAAGCTGTTCAAGTGGCAAGCCTTGGGAGCTGAGTTTCATGACGATGGCCGTCTAGGGCTGTTCAAAGTTAAGATGACAGATTGGCAGAGTGCAGGGAGGTGAGAGAGTATTGGGGAAGTTTTCCATACAGGGGACCATGTAGTGTTTTGCTGGGAAGATAGACCTGGGTGGAGGTGAGACTGGTGGGTGCCACAGATGATTCTAACTCCTGCTCCTTCTCTTGTCCTTCCAACAAACCAACCACACATGTAACATAGTCATAAGAGCTTGCAGGGAGGAGAAAAGAGAGATATCAACAGACCAAGGGAGACAGAGGGTGGAGGGCCATGCTGTGGACAGTGAGGGGAGGAGGTCCTTCCTCTCCGCCACTGCCCTCAAGGCTGCTTGAGGCTCCCACGCTGAGGTGTCCACCTGGCTGAGAGGCTGCTGCTTATCTGTTCCCCAACTTCTCCACCTGCTGGTGCAGCTCTCCCTTGCTGTGCTAGGAGAGAACCCACTGGGAGGGTCTTGGCATCTCCAAGTGGGGCCCTCCTGCTGAGACACTGGGTGGCTGTGGAGGGAGCTCAGCCCTCATTCCTCCCCGAGCTCATATCTACAGAGCAGCAAGTCTCCCCACTCCACCAGAGGAGAGCACAGGAGAGCTAGGCAGCTGCCTCCACCAAGACTTCACCCAACCACGGTCCTTCACTCCCACCAGGACAGGACAACCCAGCCTCCCGGGTCCCAGGAGGACTTGGCATGGCTGAGGACACCCAAGAGGAACCACCAGCCTATCCCTGAAAAAGCAAAGACACTTTGGGGAACAGAAGAACGTCTTAAAAGATATCAACTTTGACTCAGAGATTTCAAGAAGACGCTCTATCCGAAAACCAAAGAAGAAGTGTCAAAGCTGTTGTAAATGTTTAAAAGAATAGCCACCTTGATTGCATTTTGAGTGAATTGTGAATTCCCTCTCCCTGGGTCTTCCTCATTCTTCTACATCCTCCCCATTTCTGTACTGAATTTATAGCAGACTGAATTTGGAAGTTGATTTGAATGTTTAAATATATGAGACACTCTTTGTTACTTTGGAATGAGTAAGGCATTAATTCTTTTACGTTTTGATTTTTAAAGGTTTTATAGAAAATTGCATGTTTCATCAGGAAAAAAGTTATCTAGTTCTACTCAAAATAACATCTTATGGAAACTTTCAGAGTTTCACCAGACAAAATGCCCCAGGCTTTGGCTTTGCAGCTGGTGTCTACAGCTGAGCCTAGTCCTTGAAGTAATCATGACTCAGCTTATTCAAAATAAACTCTTCAAGAATTGCAAACTCTCCTCTCAGCGCATGCCCTGTGACCTCCATGTCCCTCCATTACATCTCCTCAGAGTAAGGCCCAATGCCACTGACTCATGGGGGAACCACAGGCAGCAAATGGCCAGAGCTCACACAGAGGGATGAGTGCACTTCACCTGCAGTGTGACTCAGCAGGCCAACAGATGCTATCAGGGAAGAGCACTAAAAACCAAAGGGTGGCTGGCTGCGTCTCAGCATCTGTCCGCGAGAAACACGATGCCATGGTTATTTTGTGATTTTGGTGGTAGGCTGCTGGTCAGGTGTCTCCAAGCAAGTTGGTCAAAATGGGAACAGTTGTTTCTCTGGGCGGGCAGGGGTCAAGGCTGGTCTGGAAAAGGCCGAGGCAGCTGCACCCTCTTGAGCCACTGGCCAGCACCTGTGCCCTGTCTGGGGCTTTCCTCTGCCCACAGGAGACCCTTCTCCATGCAGGTGCTGCGTGGCACCAGGCATGAGTCTGAAGTTCCTTCTGCCACAAGCACCCTCGTTATTTGTGATTGTGCAAAAAAGGAAGTCTCTGCCAAGAAACTAACTGAATGTTAGTGCCTGTTCTCAGGACTTTCCATAACCCTGCTCTACTAGGATTCCTTTCACCCTCTTTGAAAGCAGCCAAAGGGTTAAGTCATCCCAGGTGCATCTCAAAGCAGGGCTGCGAGCAGCAGGAGTTTGAGCTTTGTTGCAATTAGAAGTTGAGTGTGAGAAAGGACATTCAGGCACAGCTTATCTTTGAATACACATGCAGGAGTATCAGGAGCAGTTAGAGATAAACAGCTGGCTAATAAACACATGAAAAGATGCTCAGCATCATTGGTCATTAGGGACAGGCAAATCAAAACCACAATGAGACTCTACTTGACTCCCATTAGGATGGCGACAACACAAACAAACAAACAAAAAAGAAGGTAATCAGTGTGGATGAGGATGTGGAAAAGTTGGAAACTTCAGACATTGCCGTTGAGAATGGAAAATGATACAGCTGTTTTGGAAAACAGTTTAATGTTTCCTTAAAAAGTTGAATAGAGAATTAGCATATGACCCAGCAATTCCATTTTTATGTTTGTACCCCAAAGAATTGAAAGCAAGGACTCCAATAGAGACTAGTATACCAATATTTATTGCAGCATTATTCACAATAGCTTAAAAAAAGTGTAAACAACCCAAGTTTCTGTTGGCAGATAAACAAAATGTGGTATGTACACACAATGGAATACTATTCAGCCATAAAAAGGAATCAAGTTCTTATATATGCTACAACGTGGATGAACCTTGAAAACATGCTAAGTGAAATAAGCCAGGTACAAAAGGACGAATATTGTATAAAAACACGTATATAAGGTACCTAGATTAGTCAAACTGATTGAGACAGAAACTAGAATCGAGGTTGCCAGGGGCTGGGGAGAGGGGAGAATGGGGAGTTATTGGTTAACAGGTACGGAGTTTCAGTTTGAGGTGATGAAAAATGTTTTGGAAACAGTGGTGCTGGTTGTACAACATTGTGAATGTACTTAATGCCACTGCATTGTATACTTAAAATAACTGGGTTAGGGGCATTTATGGATTTTCCTCTCATTGTAGGTCACTAAGAACATGGTGGGAGGAGGAGCCACTGCCTTTATAGGCCCCGACTGCCCCAGAGCTTCATTCCTCACCAGGATGAATGACAGGATTCTGGACTAGAGGGCTCTTGCCTGAGCCACCAGGGCATCCGGGGGATCCCTGTGAGCAGGGTGAGGGTGAGCACCCAGGTTCCACAGGGCTCTGTCCTGGGCAGGCCAGCAGATGCAGTGATTGCAAATCCTCCTTGTACAAATGGAACAGGCACGTGCATTTGTGGCACACTCAGAGCTGCTGGCCACTAGTGTGCTTTGGAGAATCAGTTGTCTCCCAGGCAGGGAAGGTCCCTCAGACATAAAATACTCACCCATTTAGAGGAATGACAACAGCAAACGAAACTATATTCTGCTAATTTACTGGTAAGAGAGGAAAAACTCTGTCATGCATACACAGACAGAGGCTCTGCCAAAAGAGAGAGGCAGCAGATACAGATATTAGCAAATGACTCCTCTCCAGAAGAAACACACCAGCCAGGAACGGCACTCACACCTGTAATCCCAGCACTTTCGGAGGCCAGGCGGTAGGATGGCTTCAGACCAGGAGTTTGAGACTAGCCTGGGCAACATGGCAGACTCCGTCTCTACAAAAAATGAAAAAAACAAACAAACAAACAAAAGATCAGTGTGGTGACACACACCTGTAGTCCCAGATATTCCAGAGGCTAGGCAGGAGGATCTCTTGAGCCCAGGAGATGGAGGCTGCAGTGAGCTATGATCCTACCACTACACTCCAGCCGGGGCAACAAAGCAAGACCCCATCTCTTTTTTAAAAAAAGAAAGAGAAAACGAAAAGAAAAAAAACACACACGATTTCACCTGCTTGAAGGCCTGTGCTTCTCTTTGTTGTCCCCATGACACTATACCCAGGCCACTGTCAGGGACCCTGGGGGGCTTACAGTGGCTTACTGAAGGCTAGACAGTATCCCCTTGCAGTATCAGTTAGGATTCTATCATCATGAGAAAGAGGCTCCAGCTCGCTCAACGGAGCAAACTGGAAGGTAATGAGGGGCTCAGGGAATTTGTCCTGGGAAGGCAGGAAGCACAACCCTGTCTTATGGCAGAGGCCATCAGTCCAGGGTCCCAGCTGGACCTGCTGATCCTCTGTCCCTGTCTCACTCATTGCAGATGCCACCTCTTCGGTGAGGGCCTGTGAGCTAGGGTTAGGTCACCTACCCTACCCTGTGTGACCACAGGCAGGGAGAGACAGGATTTCACTTCCTAGACTTCCACGGTGGAGGCCAGGCACCTAAGATTATTCTCCCACCCACACCAAACACAGTGGGGGAAAACTCATCCCCAAAAGGAAACTGGGGCCAATAGGCAGGGGTGGATGTGGGGCAGCCCAAAAACCAACACACAGCCACCGACCCCATCAGCCATGATTTATATCCATGCCTTTCCTGGACAAAAAACCAAATCCCACTGCCCTGGGCATCAGCGGGCAGGGCCCACACAGGCTTCATAGATGTCTCCTCTCCGGGAAGTGGAGGGTGTGTTTGTGCATTCGGAGTAGCTGGTGCCTGGTAGAAAATCAGTGCGGTTTTGGCTTTGGCAGAGCAGCCCAGGCTCCCTTTGCATTCCCACAAATCGAGGCAGCTCTGCTGTGCTACTATCACAGTTTTGGCGGCTTTGACCGCAGGTCCTCCTGAGGCCGGGAGACTGCTGGGGCGTGGTATATCAGTTGTTGGGGGCCGTGCTTCCCCAGGGCAGATGCATGCAGGGGCTCTGGGGCAGAGTGACCGTGGAAGTTCGATGATGTCACCCCTTCTCATGCAGCTGATCGTTGGGTCAGGAAACGACTCTCCTGGCATGAACCTGTTCCTGGTCTCAGCAACCCGCACATTGTGCTGGTGCCAGGTCAAAGGCAGGGCAGGAAGCCAAGGGATGGGGCAGGCCCAGGGGGCAGAGAAGGGCAGGTGGGTGGGATGTCGGGGGCAGGTGAGGGTAGAGCATGTGTATTTACCCAGGCAAGGGTCCGGCCAGGCTCGCAATCAGAAGAGAGAGAGAAGACCCTGACTCCAAGCCAAACCCTTCACCGAGGGAAATGCACCAACACTCAGAGGGTTCTTGTTTAGTAGGTGAGCAAGCAGCCAAGCATTGGCCTTCCCCAGGGCAGGGGCATAAGGCCGGTGAGCAGCTGAGCCAGGATTTGAACAGCAGTCACCCTTGGTGAGGCAGAAGCAGATGAGGATATGAATGGGGATGGCTAAGGAAAGGTGGGCTTGCTTGCACTGGGGAGAGGCCTTACTGGGGATTCAGAATTGAGGGCTGGGGTTTGCTTCCCCGGAGGGTAATGGTTTCAGCTGCCTGAGTTTTTATCTCACCCCTTCTTACCTCCTCCTGCAATGACTGACCAACTTCCACTTCAAAGAGATCTTTGATTATGACTCCATGACATCAGTAAGCTTTCAAGTCAGTGAATTTACCTTCTAATGGTGATTGGAACTCAAAGCCAGTTCACAGCTTGACCTGCATACATCAAGCAGCTGGGTGACTGTCAGATGTGTCATCTCATGTGGGAGGAGAATTTGTTAAAGTAGGGAGAGAGGACCTCAGGAAGAGGCCTCTTGAAAGTCTGTGGGTGCCTGAGGCTGGAGGCCACACCTGGCCTCTGGCCTTCAGGACAATCCTCAAAAAGGGATTAGGATTAGCCCACCTGGTTCTCAGTTGGCTGATTGGTTAAAAACGTGAACACCAAATATTAATTTGCTTTTGTTTTTATCAAGCGATTCTATTTGGGGTGGGATGGGGGAGAACGAGAAACATTTTAAAAGTTAGAGTAAAAACCCAGCGCTACATTGCCAATTTCAAGATGAAGTAATAAAGAACTACCTGGGAGGGAGAATCATTTCTAATGAAGTTAACTTTGCAAACTGAGCATTATGCATTTTTCACTCTTGGTGGTTAATATTGGGAAAGTGTCTGGTGGTCCTTGGGGTTTAGGGTGCTGTCTAAAACCTAGAGCTGCCTGGTTGTGGCCAGTTTTTGTTTTTAACCACGAATTAAGCTTGGATCATTCAGAACAGACTGACTTACTCATCAGGGATGCAAACTCCACACGCCCAAAGCAGTCTCGAGTCTTCAGTCCTGGGTCTCGGCTTCTTTCTGTGTTTCGCAGGCACTCACACCCCCGTGGGCTTGGTTCTCCAAACAAGCCCTTATGGAAACCAGGCCAGATGTAGGGATTAAAGTTCCCGAATTTCAGCAAAGTTAAATAATAATAGTAGACACAAAACAACCAACCAACACCAAAAGACATA
Organism: Homo sapiens; assembly: GCF_000001405.40. Taxonomy (NCBI): domain Eukaryota; kingdom Metazoa; phylum Chordata; class Mammalia; order Primates; family Hominidae; genus Homo; species Homo sapiens. Next base: position 87,634,556 of record NC_000002.12, read on the forward strand.
GGTGCAAACTATGCTAATCCCAGCAGTGGAGAGGAACAGGCCTTTGATGATGATGGCCCTGATGGATGGAGGACGATGGAATGCTCTAAACACGAGGCCTCAGGGGACAGCCCCGGTCCTCCTTGTCAGAGCCTGCTCTAGTTTGGGATCCAGCAGGAACCTCAGGAGCCTCCTTCACTTTGGTGGAGAGGACTGAGACTCAGAGCCCCCAAGCGCACCTTGGGACGGTCCCCACGCTTCCCTAGGGTGGGTCTGGGGCAGGCCTGGGGCATTTCTATACTGCTGTTTGGGAGAGCGCCCCAGACCTAGTGTCCTGGCTGGGGCAGATGAAGCCAGGGCGCTCTGGCTGGTAGAGGCAGGAGGGGAGGCCAGCCAGGCCCCGCTTGACCCCGCATTGACAGGAAGGAGAACGGACACTTTCTTTCAAGGTGCTCAAATGTCCCACATCACTTCTGTGAAAACCCAAACACAGAAGCCACCCCTCTCAGCTGCTACAGGCCAGAAATGAAAATTACTGCAATCCCCAGGAGCCTGGGAAGACCTCTGCTGACATTCCCTATGACCACTGTGACGGTGCCCCCTTCGGCTGCCTCCCCCCTCCGTATGGAGAGCGTTCCAGCCCCAGGCTCCCAGCGCCTGCTCCCAGTGCCTGCTCCCCGGCCTCCATCACTCCACGCCCCAGGGACCTAAAGTAGAAAGCTTAGTTTTCTCCTTGTTTGAGTGCAGTTGGGATAATTTTTAATACATTCCTTTTTGCTCTTCATCAACTTCAAATGTCTCAAGATGTCCTGAGGGCAAAAGAGCTGATTTAGCTCTCAGATTAAAAGAGAGTGGCCTAACGCCTCACTCATTTTGAAATACTGACATTAACGGGGAAAATTACTCAAGCTCTCCTGTTACTTCCTGTGCTTAATTAAGTGGCTCTGCAGGTGACTCACTCCCTTATTTTTCAGAATGACATCAGACTTATTTTCCATTTTAATAGCCTGGTTACTTCATTGATTTTTTAAAAAATCCAATTTCACTTTCTAGTGCAATTTCTTTATCTGATTTTTTTTCTCCACACTAGGAAATGCTAACTCTCGTAGTGGTAAAACTTCGACTTACGAATGCCTCAATTTTTTTTTGAGTCTAGGGCCCCAAATCAGAATTTAAAGAAGAAATTAGAGGTGTAATCTTTATTTGCTAATTACCTAAATAATTTCACGAAGTGTTGGAGTTGTTAATATTATTAACTATTCCTGAGAAGGGGCCCCCGGGGCCACCAAATGAATACTTTGTCTTGGAGGCAGGTCTGTGTCCCTGCAAGAAGCCACATCTGGCTCTCGGCACCCTCCACACCCACAGAAATGCCTCCACTTTTGTCACTTTCTCCATCAATTTGAGAAGGATGATTCCAAATTCAGAAGCTTGTTTTGAGCTCATTCAATATGCATCAGGTGGCGGTAACATCTGGAGGTCAGTTTTTCTTGCAGTTTGGTAAATTCTGTTGTCTAAAGAGAGATGTGAGAATTGCTCATCTTCATATACCACACTTGGCACTCGTAGGTTTGTGAAGCAGCAGATGCAAATGTTTCACGTGGTGCTTGGCATTTATTTATTGTTTATTTGTTTATATTTTGTTTTTGGTTTGTTTGTTGGGTGTCTGGGCTGGCCAGGTGAACTTCATTTTCTGCCCTCACTGAGAGGTTTTCCTCCATTCAGCTCTGACTCTGTTTCCCCATAGGAGCCACACCGGTGAGGGCAGGGAGAGGGTGCTGGTTCTGAGCCAACTTTGCATGGAAGGCCCAGCAGACCACGCTCATTACTTACAGCCAGCATCATCGGGGAACTCCGGCACAGACCTGTAGTCAGTGCCCCACAGCGCCCCAGCCTTCTCTCCCGACAGGAGTGGCCAGGACAGGGAGCAGAAGGTGACTGCTGTGCTGCCTGGAGCTCTTCTGTCCGGAGGCTTAGTGAAACTAGAGAAACTCAGTGGACACACTACAAGACTTCAGAGATACTTTTTGTAAACCCAGGAAGAATCAAAGATATGAAACATGCAGTAGGCACTCACTAAATGTTAATTTTCTTCCTTTTTAAATATATGCATTATGATAGTTAAATTAATGACTGCACGACTGGAAGAATACACACTCTAATGATTCTTTTCCCTAAAATAAATGTGTCCACTATTTGCTGTCTACCTTCTTGAACATCCTGCTTCCTCTAAATAACTAAGGAGATTGATTCTACACTAACATCCAGTTGAAGCAAAGTTGCGTCATGATAAAATCTGGCATGGGCTATCCCTTCAAAAAGTTCTTTCTGAACCATCATGACCATAAATTGCACTAGGCAGGAGGTGGTGCTGGAGGGACAAAGAAATGCCAGCCAGTCCCTGCACTGGAGTTGCCAGCAATCACACGGGAAGGCCTCTAGTCTAGAGAGACGGGTAGGAGAGAGACGGGAGCACATCAGAGGAGCGCAGATGCTAGTGCACGGGTTAAATAGTCTCTTACACATCTGGTTAAGATCACCTCAAATTGCTGTGGGGTTCCATAGCTCTCTACAGCCCAATTCCAAGCTTCTGCTCTCACTGGATTAGTTCCACGGATACATGGTCCTCTGCATTAGCTGGGTTCTCTATCTTGGGTGACATCAAACCTAGAGATGAACTCTAGCCCCTCACTGATACCTCACAACTCAGTCTCAGAAGACATTTTTGCATGGAACAGACTTTAATGAATGGTGGGTGAGGGGGTGCCTGCTATTGAATGAATAAGTATGGGGGGAATTAGTCACAGGACTTCATACTGAGCATTAGAGTCCGGCGTCTTTGTTCTTGGAAGTCTTCAGCTCCCGCCCGGTCCCTGAGGATCTTCCCCCGACTGCTTGATCTTGCATCATTGCCCTCCCTCCCCGAGGGAGCAACACAGAGCGGCCCTAGTCCACTCTCATGATGCCTCCATTAATCCCCCGGTCAGGGACCTTCCAGCCCTGCCCACAGCAGTCGATGCCTTCAGTGCATCTCAGTCTTCCACCCCCAAAAGCCGTGGGGGGTCTCTGTGCGGGATCACCCCTCTCCTAATACCCCTGGTCCCAGGAGATGGGGAGGATGGAGACAAGGCCGGTGTGGGAATGAGGTGGCAGGCTTCTCAGGACATGAGCTGCCTTGCTCTGCCCCCTTGGGCCTCATGGACCCCATTCTCCCTGCTGGAGTTGATGTTCTGGCAGACTGGGCTGCCCCTTGGCCCAGTTCCTGGAATACCAAGTAATTAGGTCATCATCGGGGCAGCGGAGGCCAGCCTCTGATATTCTGCGGCATGTTACTTGCTCTTGGGGCCTCTGTTTATTGGGGCTACATTGCCCTTTCTTTGCACAGCTGGCTTTGTGCTTGCTACTAATTTTTTTTTAAACTGAAGAATCCATTGTTTAGAGATCACACATAAATGGTAAATTATAAAGAAAAACAAGTGGATGACCGACATAAAAATCAGGAGGTTTGCTAGCCCTGGTGAGGGAGGGAGGAAGACACCATGTGAGAGAAACACAGGACCGTTTTGTAAGATGCTGCTTTTTTGTTTTGTTGTTTTGTTTTGTTTTGTTTAGCATTGGGTGTGGATACTCAAATGTTCATCTTATGATTATTCTTTAAATCGTTCAGGTACATTTTGTACAGTCTTCTGTATGTGTGATGCATTTTATAATATGAGTGGTATATTTCACAATCAAAAACACTTTTAAGAAGCTCTTTTGCCTTGGCTAACTCTCGTTTGCCGTTTCCCCAGGGCCAGCCAGCCCGGCGGAGCATGGGGAGGACCTGAATCTGCCCCGGCACTGTCCTACCCTCCACAACATGCTCAAGTCACATCCTGTCCTGCTTTCCATTGCCTCTGGTCACTGTCACTTGCCAACATTCTGAACATCCCACTGCCTTCAACCCTCCCCACTTGTTCGGCACAATATGGAAAGTGAAAAAAAAAATGAGTTGCAGAGAGCCTTGCTTCCGGGTTTGGAATCCAGCTCCATCTTGAGTCTGTTTAGAGAGGTATGAGTGCTTTCTGACGTAGGGCACTTATCACTTTAGCACACAGGGGGCTGTGTGATGGCCCAGTAAGAGCCTGAGCTTTGGAGTTACAGAGCCTGGGCCTTCTCAACTCCATCCCTCATGGGTGGTATAGATGGTTCTTCCCTCCCTGCTTTCCCTGACTAGGATTAACTTCCCCCTGAGCCCAGGACACTTGTTACTCTTGTGCCCTAACCTTCACGTCATCTTTCCACCATCTTCCATCTGCAGCTTTCTCAGGTCATCCGCTCCATGGAGGTCCCCGTTCCTACCTTGGCCTTGCCTTTCCCCCTGCATGTAACCTTGGTGAACTTTTCACAAGAGTCTGCGCAGTCTTCTTGTAAGCAGATTAATGCCGAGGAAAAGCCTTGGTGAATGCACACCCCACCTACCACCTCCAACCTTGCACAGCTGGCCGGGGCAGTCGGTGCCAAGGATGCCTCATGGCCCTTCGGACTCTGAACCTGCTATGGGTCCCACTGGCCAGACACGTGCTTTCCTTTTGGAAGTGCTTGTCTCAAACATAGACGCATTGAACCAAACCATTGTGTGTGGGCTATTGGAAGGGGTGCACAGATTCATTTGTTGGTTGCAGCAAATGCTTGGTTTGGCAAATGCTTGAGGGCCTTGTGGCTGGAATAGCTCCACTGCATGTCTGCAGATCTGTCACGAGGATCCCAGCTCAGGTGGGAGAGGATAGGGGCTATTGGTCAGACTTTCTCAGGCCACCCTATTCCCTTCCTCCATGCAAGGCAGCGCGGTATGAATGCTTTAGATGGGCCTGGGTGCAAATCACTGTGTGATCTTGGGGAAGTTGCTCAGCCTGTCTGAGCCTCAGTTTCTTGAAGCATCAAATGAGGATGATAATCTCTGTTTCTCAGGGTCAGCAAGGGACTTAAGTGAGAAAATTGAGGTAACCCATGGGCAGAGCACAGGGCACTTTGTGAGCACTCAGTAGGTGCAGGCTCCTTTCTCCTCCCCTCTGCCTTTCTCTCCCCACTTACTCCTGTCAAGTAACTTCACCTCTCAGAAAGCAGCAAAAATTGTCCAGTGTCTCCCTCATTCCCAAGACCCCCACTGGCCCCTCACCCAGTGGCCTCTCAGGGCACTCCCCCGTCCTCAGAAGTCCTATCCCAGCGGAGATGGAATCCACATAGCTGGCCCTTTCCTCCACACGACCCTGCCAGCTCAACCCTTCCCCGTATGATTACGATTTGTTTCTGGTTGTTTACCATGAGAAGCTCACTGAAGCAACGAAGGCTTCCTAGGTGCCTCTAAAGAAGCAAGGTAAATTTTAGAACCTTGGTTTAAAAAAATGCTGCGCTGTGCAGAGAAGCCCGTGGAGAGAGCCCCGCTGGTGAGGAAGCACGGGGACCCTGCTGCAGGGCTGGTGGAGGGCTCCTTCTGCAGACTTCTGAGCTTGGAGCACAGATGGGCAGCACACAGGTGAAATGTGATCCTCTGTGGGGCTGTGTTTTCTGCCCCAGGAAGAAAGAAGAGTCAACAACTTAATTATTTCGTCATGGTTTTGTACAAAGCTTGAGAGGAGGAAAAAGGTTCCCTTTTTTGAATAATAGACAGGAGTTACAGCCTGAAGGGAGCCTGCTCAGGGCGGGCAGGGCTGCTGCTGTACCATTGGCATCAGAGACGTGCTGCTGTCCCGAAGGCTCCGCCCTCCTCTGACTGGCTGCTGGCCCTGGCTCCTGCACTACTATGGCCTTTTGGCTCAGGTGCATCCTTCCTGGAGGCTGGAACTCATCCCCCGCCCCCGGCATCACCTCCATAGCCAGGGGGCCACCCAGGAAACGCAAGCCAACATCTGGGGAGGCCAGCCATCTCCAGGCAAGTTGGAGACCAAGAGAATTGTGTGAATTTAGACTCTTGGTAGATGCTGCCTGACCCTGGGCTGCCTGGAGCACTGCATCCCTGTTGCCTGGCACACAGTAGGGTTATTGTCTCTGAGTAGCTGGGTGAATGTAGGTCAGAGCTGGGAGGCGCTGTGGGCTTTCATAGTCAAGGTCACATGGCTCATTAGGGACAGTGCTCGAAACATTTCAGTAGGGACTCACCATTCAGTCAACAAATTTTGGTTGAGCATGTATTATGTGCCCGCCACTGCATTAGGAGCTAAGAGTACAGTCAGGAACAAAAGAGCATTCAGTGTACTCCAGACAGATGTTAAACAAATACATAGAAGCCAAATTATGTACAGTGCTAAGAGGAATGGCATCCAGGCCAGGGCAGGGTTCTCCCAGGTGGTGGCATTTCAGGATGAGTGACATTGACCACGTGGAGAAGTGAGAAGAGGGTCTCAGGTGAGGGAGCAGCTTGTGCAAAGGCCCTGGGGAGGCCCACACTGCAGGAGCTGGGGAAAGGGAAATGTGGTAAGAGGTGAGGAGGAGAAGGACCTGATGGTGAGGATATCACAGTCTGATTTTTATTTTTTAAAGGACACCTTGGTTCCTGCAAAGGTGGGAGGGGAGGAGAGGGGCATTGGTGAGTCCATAGGTGATGATTGCAGGGGGTGGTGGCTTGTGGTGCCCTGTCACTCACCAGATCAGTGACTGTGGCAAGCAACTGGCCTCCCCAGGCTCAGCTTCCTCCATGTGACTTGGGGACGCATGCTTCACAGCACTGTTGTGGGGCATATATTATTGCAAGGGGCTGGTGCTGGGAGGGAGCCAACACTGCCACTCTTCCCATGCATACCATCCTATGCTTCCAGGGGGAATGATTCACAACCTGGGAAACCTAGACTTTACACACTGGCTTTTCTTCTTGTTTTAAGGTAGAGAGAAATTCTTAATTGTAATGTGGTCAAGTGTGTCAGCCTTTTGTCGCTTGGTTTGTGCTTTTTGAGTCTTCCCCAAGAAGTCCCTCCTTCTCACCATGAGGTCATAAAGGTGTTCTCTCGTGACTGGAAATTTTCACGTTTCCACTTAGGTCCTTGAGCCATCTGGAATTTGTGTCTGATTTGGTGCAATCCAGCTCTCCTACAGCCTGGCTGGGAGACTTGGAGCAAGTCGGGCTCCCTGAGTCCCCAGCTAACAGATGAGAAGATTAATTAGGCCATCTCTGTGGCATCTTCATCACCTACAGTTGCAAACATTCAGTCTTCCTTGCTGCAGCCTGTGACCAGGGTGATAGTCCAGTCAGCGTGATAATAAAATAATCCCGCCGACTTCCATGCTGCAAAAATGCAGCCACGCTGACATAGCATTGGCTGTCCTCCCCAGCTCTCTTCCAGAAACAAAACAAAGCACCTCAAAGCAGGTTTCCCAAGGCCCACTCACGGCCAGAACTTTGCTTTAAATCATTCCCCTTCGACAGTTTAGTTTTAACTATACTGTATGTACCCAAGCCAAGGATGGGAGGAGAAGCCTCAGTAACTAGAATTGTTATTAAAACCATATATCCAACTCCACTGGCTTTTCTGGAAACCTCTACCTAAAGGACGTTTAAGTCGTCTATTAAAATATTTCAGACTTGCCCTGAAGGAGGCACCAAGAAGTGCCACAACTTTGCAGGCTAGTGACCACACAGATGGAAATGTGTCTCTGGAAGCAAGTGGCTGGTGTTAGAAACACACACACACACACACACACATACACACACACACTCCCACAAATAAAAATCTAGTCTTCCGTGTTCACTCGAATTATTGTAATAATCACTGAGGATGTGAGACTCTGTATTTAGTCAGTTCTCTAAGTATGACCCAGCCCAGCCGTAAGAAAACATGGGAGGGATGGGTGAAGACCCCACAGAGGAGGGAGAGCCTGACTGAGGGGAGCCAGCCTTCACAGGGGTCCCGGTGGGGATGCAGGCAAGAAACTCAGCCCAAGCTCATCTAAGGTGGAAGGTATGCGTCTGATCAAGATACAGGGGCAGGGAGGGGTGGTGTCCTACAATTCTCAAGGGCCTGAGAAGGAGGCCAGGAGCAAAGTTGTCTGCCCATCAGGTCCCCAGGTCCTACCAAGGCAGAGACCAGCTGGTCTCTCTGTCCCAGTAGAAAATTCCTCTGGAGAGAGAATCTGATTGGCTTGAGATCTGTGATTAATTTTATGTGTCAACTTAACTGGGCCACAAAGTCCCCAGATATTTGGTTAAACATTATTCTAAATAGGAGGCTGGGTACGGTGGCTCACGCCTGTCATCCCAGGACTTTGGGAGGCCGAGATGGGCAGACCACAAGGTCAAGAGTTTGAGACCAGCCTGGCCAACATGGTGAAACCCTGTCTCTACTAAAAATACAAGAATTAGCTGGGTATGGTGGCGGGTGCCTGTAATCCCAGCTACTAGGGAGGCTGAGGCAGGAGAATTGCTTGAACTCGGGAGGCAGAGATTGCAGTGAGCCGAGATTGTGCCACTGCACTCCAGCCTGGGTGACAGAGCAAGACTCCATCTCAATAATTAATTAATTAATTAATTAATTAATTAATAGGGGTTTTCTGGATGAGATTACCATTTAGATCAATAGACTGGGTCAAGCAGATTGCTACTGTGGTGGGCCTCATCCGATCAGTAGAGTCTTGGGTAGAACAAAAAGGCTGACCTTCTGAGGGCAAGAGGGAACTCCCCCTGCCTGAGTACCTTTGAACAGGGACACTGGTTCTTCCTGGGTTGGGAGCCTGCTGGCCTTGGAACAGGAGCTACACCATTGGGCCTTCTGGGCTCAGGCCTTTGGACTCCAACAAAGGCCTGTGTGAGAAATGATGTCGAGAACTGGTCAGTTCTCCTGGGTCTCCAGCTCGCTGGCTGCAGGTCTTGGAACTTGTCAGCCTCTGTAATCACATGAGCCAATTAATGCACATCCTACTCTTCTCTCGGCTCTGTTTCTCTGGGGGACCCTGACTAATCCAAGGTCCCACAGAACACAGGTGACTCCTCGAGGCTCATCTCTGTGGATGGGAGAGGCAGTTCCCAGACAAGGGAACATCATGAGTGGGGCAGACACCCACAGAGGCCTACAGTGGCCACTTCACTCCAGGAGCCGCACACCTAGCTGCAGGAACCCGAGCCCCAGTGACTAGCGCTCATGGGAAGGGCCTGCATCCCAGATATGTGATGACAGCCCATCCCAAAGGCCAGCTCAGAAAATGCTAGGATTTGCCTTCACCCCCAGTGGGGTCATGTGTATGAGGGGGGCAAGTGGGAAGGGAGACTTTGGACCCCAGGCCCTGCCCATCAGCCACCCCATGGCTGAGGGGTCACCCCCATAAGCTCTTGAATGCCAGCACAAGGCAGTCTGGGGAAACTTGGTGACGTGGACAGAGCCCCTCCTTCAGGGAAGTTTCTAGACTGGGCTGTGTGCTTGGAGCCACTGTGCTGGGCACAGCCTCCCCCAGTTGACCATGGGCTCTCCACCATGTGCTCCTGCCTTAGAATCAGCCTCCTTCTCTGTAAGTGGAGATGGCCCTGGCGGCCCAGGTATGAGAGGCCCCAATCAATGGCACTTCTCCCATCCACCTCTGAGCTAGCGGGGAAATAAGACACAAGAGTGAGGCAGGAAAAGACCAAAGCAGCAACAGCCAGGGCCTCTTCCCAGTCCCCAGGGAGCCCCTCGGCCCCTACCCACTTTCAAGGCCAGCGATATAATAAGTTTGTTTTTGTTTTCCAAATAAAGGTTTATTTCTTTCTGCTTAACTCTTTTTCAAAAAATTTGATTTTATTGTGCTAAGAACACTTACCGTGCAATCTCCCCTCTTAGCTGGTTTCTAGGGGCACAATACAGTCTTGTTAACTCTAGGCAGGTGCCATGCTTCATGGCCGGTCCCCAGGGCTTATTCATCTCACTGCACTGAAACTTGAGGCTCTTTGAGCAGCAGCTCTTCAGTCCCCTCCCCCAGCCCCTGGCAGGACCATGCTCCTGTCTGTTTCTGCGAGTTTCACTATTTTATATACGGCACGTTAGTGGAATCAAACAGTGTTTTGTGTCTGCCTTCTTCACTTAGCATCATGTCCTCCAGATTGATCAATGTTGCAGCATGTGTCAGAGTTTCCTTCCTTTTTTTTGAGGCTGAATAATATTCCATTATTCCATTGCGTGAATACAACACATTTTCTTTATCCATTCATCTGTCGGTGGACATTTAGGTTGCTTCCACTTCTTGGCTATTGTAAATAGGCTTCTAGGAGCATAAGGATGCTGACTGTTTTGGATAAATACCCAGAAATGGGGTTGCTGGATCATATGGTAGTCCTCTTTTTAATTTGTGATACGTTTCATCTCTCACTCTGGCGATGTCTGAGCTTCTCCCTTGATAGAGGTAGAAAGTTCCAGAGAGGCACAGGCAGGCCCGCAGTGAGAAGGCCTGAGCCTCCTTACCAGGGTATTTCTCCCCCACGGGCTGCCTCTCGCTAACTGCACAGCTCAATCACACGTCCCTTCCCAGGGCTGCTGTGTGTCACACGCTCACACCCACACTCGCTCCATCTGTGCTGGGTCGAAGAGTGACCCTGTATCCACATCCATCCAGGACCTCAGAGTGTGACCCTACTTGGAAATAGGGTCTTTGCGGGTGTAACTCATTAAGATGAGGTCATACTCTTCATGTTGGATGGTCATAGTACATCAATGCCTGTTGTTCTTATGAAAGGAGAAAACAGCAGGGCCAGGTAGCTCATACCTGCAACCCCAGCAACTTGGGAGGCTGAGGTGGGAGGCTTGCTTGAGGTCAAGAATGTGAGACCAGCCTGGGAAACATAGCAAGACTCCATCTCTAAAACAATTTTAAAAATTAAAAAATTAGCTGGTGGCACATGCGTATAATCCCAGCTACTGGGGAGGCTGAGGCAGGAGGATTGCTGGAGCCCAGCTGGAGCTGCAGTGAGTCGTGATCACACTGCTGCCCTCTAGCCTGGGCCACAGAGCAAGACCACGTCTCTACAAATAAATAAATAAATAAATGTTTTAAAAAGAGAGCCAGGGTCTCTCTCTTCTCTCTCTCTCTCTCTTTCTCTCTCTCTCTCTCTCTCTCTCTCTCTCTCTCTCACACACACACACACACACACACACACACACACACACACACACACACACACACGAGGGAATGTGGTATGGAGACAGAGGCAGAGATTGGAGTGACTCAGCCCCTCCAAAGAGTGCCAGGAATTGCAGGCAACCACCAGATTCAGGAGGAGGCAAGTAAGGACCCGCCCCTGCAAGTTTCAGTGGGACCATGACCCTGCCCCCACCTCGATCTTGCACTTGGAGCCTCCATAGCTGAGACAGAGTAAATTGCTGTTGTTGTTAGCCACTCAGTTGGTGGGCATTTGTTACTGCAGTCCTGGGAAACAAATGAGCCGTCCACTCACTCATATACAGCCTACTTCTATTTTACTGGTGCTTTCTGCTAACTCCTCTCCTTTCCATCTACATATTTCCTCCTTCCAGATCTCCCTCACCTCCCTCAAGAGGGGCTCTGTGGCCAGGAAACTTTTAATGAGATCTGGAAAAAGTGTTACTTGCACATTAAATCCATTATTTTATGAATATCATGGCTTAAGACAAGCTGAAGTTTAAAAGTGAGTGATTTCAAGTTGATCAGAAGAAAAATATCAAGTAAATGGGGTGCATGGTGACACATGAGTTGCTGAAATTTGGGGAGCACTGGAATGCAAGAAACAGCACTGATTCAGGGTCTGTCTGTAATTCTGGGTCCAAATTCTGCTTTCCCTACTGGCACTGGGACACACAGGCATTGTTGAAGTGCTGGACCCCAGATTTCTCTTCTGTAAAATGGAATCACAGGGTCTAAATTGGAGGCTTTCTCTGAAGGATGAGAATAAAGTTAGAATGAGAATGTTCCTAGCATGGTGCCTGGCATGAGCAGATTCTCAGCAGATGGGCCCTCCTGTAATCCGCTGAGGGCTCTCCTGCAGTGCCAGCAGGGATCCTAGTCATTGTCCCCACCACTCCTGTCTGTCTTCACCCAGAACCTTGTCTGGATCCTGGGAGGAAGCAAACATCTCCTGGTGGGAATGTGAGGCCCTGCCAGGTTGTAGGAGTAACTGGAAAAGGGCAGGTGGCCCTGCCCACTATGTGGGCACCTCATGATAAATGATGGCTCTCATTAGCCCTAACTCCTCAGGCACCTTCCTACCTGGCACCATTATGCTGGGACTACCCTCTCACTCTGGGAGCTTCACGATAAACCCATCTTGGCTTACCCTGGACGCCTGTCAGCTCCTGGCAGGGTGCAGGCCAGAGGGATACCTTTTGCATCATGAGATTGTGCAACTTGGGAGGCTGAGGCGGGAGGCTTGGTTGAGGCCAGGAGTGTTCTGGCAAGTTCACGGAAAGTTCTGGCAAGTAGGCAGGCCAGCCTCTTGCTTAGACAGTGCTAAAAGGATTCTTTTTCACTATCTGCCAGTAAGGAAAGTGGCCATCTTGTTCAGAGGACGGAGTGCAGCATCCACATACCTACCAGCATGAACTTGGTGAGCAGAGGCCACCTGCATCCCAGAGCCACAGGGTCCCTGGAGCTATTGGCTTCTTGCCTGGATACTTCCAGGATTCCCAGTTTCTGGAAGCTCTGGTTGCAGTGTGCCCTGGTTCTGTGGCACCCAGCAGGTCTGCAAGGGCAGCCAGTGGGTGTGAGTCTGGAGAGTGAACATCCCTATGAGAACTGACTCGTGACCCTGAGTTTATCACCAAGGGGCCTCTGCAGAGACAGGTCCTCAAATTAAGAGCCAGGCAAACCTGTAGAGAGAGAGGCTCTGGGGGTAGACTGGGAGGAGTGGAGGATGGTCAACTGTCCCCACGCACTTCACGAGGATTCTCCACCTCCCATGTCCCCTGGCATGGGGAGTGCAAGATAACAAAAAAAAAAAAAAAGAGAAGGCAGTGAGCAGGACCCACTCTTCCTGCAGCTTCTTCACACTCTTCCTACAGCCCCAGCTGGGCCACCTGCACCAGTCTGTCTGCATCTGGGGTTGGGGTAGGTGGGTTCTGGCTGGTTTATGGAGAGCCTGCTCCTCCATGAGGTCCATATCTGTTATTTTTCCGCGGCATCAGCATAAGAGGTTTCTGGTTTTATGTATGTATTTTCTGGCTCTGGCTCCTGGTCTGCATTTGTATGCACAAGAAGGCATAAGAGAGATAGAGCACTGGATTTCCAGAGACATGTGTCTGGCAGCATTCGGGAAAATAACATTATAGCCTAGGAATCCCATCACACATATGTGCACACATGCCCACATGCAGGATCATGGTATGTTGGTGGTGGTGCAGTTTGTGCCCATGAAGGAAATTGAAAACACTTGTTGGAGAGAAAACCCAGTCGCTGGCATACTATTCCCATCACAGAAGAGGCAGAGCCTATGATTGGTGCCTCACTGAATCACAGGAAGTGTTTTATTTTATCCCCACATCATGATGGAGGGCCACAGCTGCCAGCTATGTCTATTTCTTATGCACAATATAGACCACAAGAGAGAATAAAACAACCTCAAAACTACAGTGTGGAAAAAAACCTGTCAGCTAGAAAGGGGGAGAAGGTATCTCCAGGAGCCAAGAAAATCTCTTCAAGGAAAAATAAAAAAAGTAACCCACTTTACTTTTTCCCCAAACTGACAAATTTGACTTGTCAGATGTAAGTTTAACTTGTGGACAATCCACTCAAGACTGATAATCGCCATAGTAACTGCTGTGTCACATGATCACACAGAAGCCTAGAGACGGGGAAAGTGGCTTTCCAGGCCACTTTTCTTCTGGTAAATTCTGTGATGTCAGCCTAATTAGCAGGAGTGGAATCAGGACCTTGGTTGAAGTAATTGGCAGCCCTTCTTTAAAAAGAACAAAGGTATTTTAGCACCTTCTCTTCCTGTTTATGGGGGCCTGTGCCAGGACCAACAGGGCTCTGGTGCGGAGTCTTCCTCACCCTTCTTCCTAACTGGCCAAGCTCCAAGCAGTGCCTCTAAATGTGATTCTTTGTAGAGCCATGTCTGGAGAAAAACTCGAATTTATCTCCTGAAGTTTTCAAAATATCAGAAACTGGTGAGAGAGGGGGCCGGGAATACATTTCAGGGCTATCCCGTTTCTTTTTAATTAGTATTGTACATTTCAACTTCTTTCATTTCCAACTGCTTCTCCCTGCAAAATAAAGGTATCATGTCTTTAAAGCTCTCCGTCCATGACAACATTTTGTTCTTATACTAGAAAATGCCATTCCCTTCCCAAGGCACATCTCTTTTAGTTGGGTTTAATTTGAGATGCCTCTTGCCTGCTAAAAACATTGGTGACTTGCCCCAGCAAGGAGGTGACAGGGCCACTTGTCCATGTTGGCCCCCTCCAGTGGGACTGAGTGGCCACCACCCCCAGTGGCTGCCTTTCACAGGAAGAGAACTGCCTTCTTCACCGCCGGGCATCGGCCTGTGGAAATCTGTGCCCAGACAGCTCAGGTGGCAGCTTATCCAAGTCCCCAGCACTCTGCTTTGTCTGCCCCAGGACAATTGCCCCATTGTCTTCAGGCTAATGAAGTTTCTGGTCAAAACACAATGATTTCAAACATCTCTTGAGCCTCTCTGCCCTCCATCTGGAACAGATGAGTACATCAATCCCTTCAAACCTGCCTCCTCCAAGTGCATTCTGCAGAGTTAGTGTGTGGGGGTGCATTTTAATCAACCACGTTGGCCAATGCTGCCTACCTGGAGTGACCCCAACCCCCAACTAAACTGTGAGCTGTGGAAATGAACAGAAGCCAGCCAAATGAGGAGCAAAGGCTATTTATTCAGAGCTTGTGCTAGCGAGGGAGTCAGCCACCATCCCTTGTGTTTTGGCAGAAACTCAGAGGCAGGTAGGGGAGTGGGAAAGCCTCAAAGAAGAAAGAAAGGAAGCCTTCGGGTTGCCCTGAGTGGAGGGTGTTGGCCTGGGGAAAATGAAGGTGGCTATAAGAAATGAGACTCCCATGTGATTGGTTAGGGAGCATGTTTGGCTTTCTTTCATTGGTCCTAAGTTGGAAGTGGGGACAAAAACCTAGGGAATCAGGCTGGGCATGGTGGCTCATGCCTGTAATCCCAGCACTTTGGGAGGCTGAAGTGGGCAGATCACTTGAGGTCAGGAGTTTGAGACCAGCCTGGCCAACATGTTGAAACCCCGTCTCTACTAAATATACAAAAAGTTAGCTGGGCATGGTGGTGTGCACCTGTAATCCCAGCTACTCAGGATACTGAGGTGGCAGAATCGCTCGAACCCGGGAGGCGGAGGTTGCAGTGAGCTGAGATCATGCTGCTGCACTCCAGCCTGGGGGACAGAGCAAGACTCCATCTCAAAACAAAAACAAAACAAAACAAAAAAACCTAAGGAATCGGTCAGTTATTAATCGAGTCCTAGAATTTTGGGGCTGATTGCTATAGGAGCTGTTGTTTGGCTTCTGGGATGATTGCTACAGATTGTGGGTCAGAGTCCTGTCTTTCTATATGGTCTTGACATTGTCTGTATATTGACTCTCTCAGTGTGTACAGGCTGTCTTCTCCCAGCCTGCTTAAAATTAATGAGAGTTTGAACAGACGAGTGTGTGGAGGGCACATCATCATTAGTACAAATAGCCACAGATGGAAATTCTGCATGCCTTTGACAGAACTGAGTTTGAGAGGCTCTACCTCAACAGCTTCCTCAGCCCAGCTGAAGTCTCTCTCCCTGAAGGCCCATGCACCTTTCTCAGCCATTGCTGGGAATTCAGGATTGTGTGTTGGAGGCCAACATTGGGTACCATGAGTGGAAACCATGAACTGGGGCAAGTCCTCCTGGTACACACACCCAGCTACTTTTTCCTTCCTCTTCTGCCCCATCCCAGGGAACCCTCTTTGTACCATCCCACCCACTGGCCAAACTTCAGGGTCTTGTCTTCATACTTACTGCTTTTTTCTAAGGGAAAAGTTATTGAGAAGGCAGTCAAGGTTCATTTATTTTTAACCAGGAGACAGTGCCCCCAAACAAGAACTGAGTCCCTAGTTATGGAATGTCAGACACCTCGCAGCAGGTGGTGGTTCTGAAACACCCGGATCCAGATGGCAGCCAACTCCACCCACATGTCAGGCGGGCGACAGCATTTCCGGACATATTCCTTGTTTAGATGAGGAGATTCTGCCCCCAGTAACATTCCTTCAAGCAGCAAAATGATGCTAGATCTTTCCAGAGGTCACAGACTGAAGGCTTGGGGGCTACAGTCTGGAATGTGTTTTGCTTGGCACACATGCATTTTAAGTTGTTTAATGACCTATCAAGATTTAAAGATCAGGAGCTGACCTTTCATGTTAAAAAGAAAATCTATATTTTCCAACTTGTCTTGGAAAATGGGATGCTCTGGCAACACTTGGCCATCTTCCCACCTTCAGATGCTCAGCAGAATGGCAGCTGCCCTGTGGAGAGGAAGCACCTGTTCCCTTCCTTGCCACTCTCCCTGGCTGGCCTGCAGTTTTCTCCTGTGTGTCACAGTTATGGACTGACTGCTTGTGTCCTGCCAAATTCATATGTTGAAATCCTAACCCCCAAGGTGATCATATTAGGAGATGAGGCCTTTGGGAAGTGATGAGGTCACGAGGGTGGAGCCCTCATGAATGGGATTAGCGCCCTTATGAAAGAGACCCCAGAGAGCTCTCTCACTGTCTTTCCACCATGCATGAAAATGAGATGTTAAAGTCTTCAACCTGGAAGAGGGTCCCTGCCAGAATCCGGCCATGCTGGGACCTGATCTTGGACTTTTGAGAACTGTGAGAAGTAATTTTCAGTTGTTTACAAGTCATCCCATCAATGGTATTCCACTATGGCAGTCCAAACTGACTAGGTGACTCACCTTCTTGGCCCAGTGGGCATTTGATCCAGAATAACTCATTACTGTCTGAGGAAATTCCCACTGTCTCTTTTCCCAGAAGTTTTTGTTTCTGGTGGCTTCTTGGGGGATTCCAGGCACAGTAGGGCCAAGCAATGGGTATAGAGTGACCCTACACCTTTGACTTGGCCTCCTGTGGACTTAGATGGATGGGTGTGTTTCCTAGGAGCCCTCTTTCCTGTCCTCAACCCTTTTCCCATGAGAAATGCCTCTTCTTGCCTCAGAAACAAACGAAGGGGTCAGTGTCTGCCAATGTCTGCTCAGCCCAGAGTGAATGTCTGAGAGATTCAGTGTGAATGTGCTGGTTGCCTGCTACAGATCAGGCTTGGCAGGTGGTGGTAGGTGGTTAAGGTTCCAGTTTCAGCATCAAGTATGAGTTGTTACTGCTCAGAGTCTCAGTTTTCTCATCTGTAAAATGGGAAGATTCCTAGCTCTCAAATTTATAAGGCTCCACTGGCCGTGTGTAAAATGTGGCAATTAGGGAATACTGTTGGCTGTTAACTATATCCACCAGGACAGGCTGGTTATGCTCTGGTAAAAAATAAACCCAAACTCAATGTCTGCGCCCAGCACACATTTATCTCTTGTGCATGCTATATGGCCATCTTGACTCAGCAGGGTTCTATTCTCTGTCACCTTTACTTAGGAGTGTTGGTTGGAAGAATCCCCCAAAGTAGTGCCATCAGTCTCTATGGCAGGGGAAAGGGGACATGGTGTATCAAGCCTTGGGCTTGAAGGTCTATTCCCAGAAGAGACATCATTACCGCAACTCACGTTTCATTGGCCAAAGTGAGTCACAAGCCAAGTTTAACTTCAAGGAGCATGCCCCCAAGCCTCTGATTCTAAGTGCTACCGCCTTAACACATTTGAGCTCCTGTAACAAAATGCCATAAGCTGGGTGACTTATAAACAAGAGAAATTATTTCTCCCAGTTCTGGAGGCTGGAAAGTCCAAGACCAAGGCACTGGCAGATTTGGTGTCTAATGAGAACCTATTTCCTGGTTAATAGATGGTGCCTTCTTGCTGTATCATTACACGGTGGAAGGGGCAAACAAACTCTCTGGGGCCTCTTTTATAAGGGCACTGATCCCATTAACGACAGCTCTGCCTTTATGACCTAATCACCTTCCAGAGCCCCCACCTCCTAATGCCCTCACTGGGGGCTAGGTTTCTCCATATGAATTCTGGGGGGACACAAACATTCAGACCATGGCAGCGCTCTCTTCCCTCACCGCGTGGCTGGCTCTCCAACTACAACACCATGCCCCATGGCTCACTTCCAAGGAGACTTTCTGGAGAGGTTTGTCCTAAGAGACAGAAGAATGCATCCTGCCTCAAGTTTTAGTTGCATAGGTTCACCCTACAGTGAGGTAATAGTTACACATTCTTAATGAAAAGATCCAAAAGCCCAATACATCCTGTTCTGCAGCATATAAAGCATCTTCTTCAGACCTGGTCCAAGACTACTCTGGGATTTTTGAGTCAGAAGAGAGCCAGAGCCTATTCAGTATGCTGTTTGACTCTGATCCCAGCAGCCACCACCATGTTAACAGGATGAGCAGGGCTTTCTTCAACTCAGGGTTCCTGTGAAATTAAAAAGAATTCTCATCTTGACTCAGGATTGTTGAACACTATTGATACTTCTTCCAAGGTCTCACAAGAGTTTGCCTCCTCTCATTGCCATGTGAAGACCTCTGTGGGGGAACAATGCATGGGTTCTTGGGGTATTATAGGGGACTACAGAGAAGTGTCACCTCCACCCAACAGCCTGATTCAGTCTACTCCTCAGGAGGAACACAAAGTGGTCTCTCTAGTGCCATGAAACCCCAAAAAGTGTCAACCAGTATTAAAGGCCTGCCTGATATACAACCCTCGAATGCAACACAGTGTCCTTCTGAGGCCACTCTAAAGGCCAGGAAAGGTTTGCTAAGAAGTCTGTGCTGTTAAAAACAGAAGAAAAAGACCCTTATCCCATTGCTCTGTGTCTGGTGGCTATAGGGACAGTATTTCATAAAAAAAGAAAGGCAAAAATAATTTTCAAAAATGATTCAAGAAATGCTGTCAAAGATAGCAAAGAACAGAGTCCTCAGAGAACAGTGCCCAGGACAGGATAAGCACTCAATAACATATAACACTGTGTAGTGCTGTTGAGTGCTGGCTGTTGTTGAGTGCTAGCTATTGTTGAGTGCTTGTTGTTGAGTGCTAGCTGCTGAGTGCTAGCTGTTGTTGAGTGCTTGTTGTTGAGTGCTAGCTGTTGTTGGGTGCTTGTTGTTGAGTGCTAGCTGTTGTTGAGTGCTTGTTGTTGAGTGCTAGCTGTTGTTGAGTGATTGTTGTTGAGTGCTAGCTGTTGTTGAGTGCTAGCTGTTGTTGAATGCTAGCTGTTGCTGAGTGCTTGTTGTTGAGTGCTAGCTGTTGTTGAGTGCTTGTCCTGCCTGGGCCCTGTTTTTAGCCTTTGATGTACATTTCTCCATTTAACTTCCACAATAGCCCTATTAGGCAGCTAGTATTATTATTTCTGTTTTACAGATAAAGATTGGTTTTAGCTCAGAGTAGTTCTGAATCTTATAAAAAGAAAAAAATATCCCCAGGAACTGAATCGGCTCCAAAATAGCCCCATCTTGGGCTAAATATGGGATGTGACAAAGCCACCATGAAGCTAGGCCCCCCTGTCCTGACAGCTTTCCACCCCTTCCCTGCCCCTCTCACCCTGCTTTCCAGGGGCAATGCACCTCCCCACTTCTCCTGGGAGGGGTGGGCATCCTCTCAGTCCCATAATCTGTGCCAGGCCCACATATGAGGACTTGACAGGATTCAGCAGAGATGCAGGCCTCTGCTCTGCTCTGCTCATCTCTTTGCATATAGTAATTTAATGAGGACAAAAACTGCATAGAGCTAGTAATGGCACGACCAAGCAGCAGCTTAAGCTTTGAGCCGCTAAACTATGCTGCCTCCTATTGTAATACGATTATATTATAACACAAGTTCAAGAGACCACCCACTGCTTTCTTTATTGGATCTTCCAATAAAGTGGCCATGCTAGTAGCACAATTCCCCACGGAAATAGATAATGACTATTCTAAAATAAATCCGAGGACACACCCAGCCACAAAGTGGGAGGTGTATTATACAAATGCAACCAGGGCCTCTGGATCTGGCATTTAGACCCACAGCAACAGCTTGTGTTTGCTCAGGGCTAAGAATGCAGGACTCAGACACCGAGAGCCTCTGAGCTGCTGCAAACTCATCAACCCCTCCCTATTAAAGGCCATTCTGACTACCCTCAGTTTTCCTCAAAGAGCAGTTGAGAGCTAAGGTAGGGTAGGGAGCCAAGAGGAGGCAGGGAGAGCCAGAGATGGCAGCCGGCAACAGGACACAGAAAGAAAAGGGACTTCAAAGGCAGATCTAATAACTCACAGGGCTTTTTGGTGCAGAGTCTGGAGATAATGCACAGAAATGACACCTTGAAAGGGGAAGGAAAAGAAGGAAGAACACATCATCAGCCCCGGACTTCAGGTGGCTGAAGGAGAGAATGTATTTGGCATCTACCATATCTTTGCATCCTTCAATGACACATTTGTCCATGTCACTGATCTTTCTGGCAAAAAAAAAAAAAAAAAATGTGCTGTGTGACTGGTGGGATGAAGGTAAAGGGTGGCCAGATGAATCCTCTCCACATGCTGCCACGCTGGCCACCCAGGATGTGGCCTAGAGGTGCAAGGAACCAGACACCACTGGCCTACATCAAACTCCAGGCCACAGATGGAAATAGGACTGAGATCCCTGGACCTGGGGCCCGCTCAGGTATGAAGATCAGGTGGATTGAGGATGTCACTGCCATCCCCTCCAAAAGCACCTGCAGGAAGGGGGTTGCCATGGTCACCATCTGTGAACAGGACTCCTCAAAATGTTTTCTGTTAATAAATTGCCTTCAAGTAAACTGAAAAAAAAAAAAAAAGAGGGAGAGAATTCACACAAAATGATGCCCAGTCTTGGTCTGCATGGTGAAGGGCCCAGGACTGATGGGCGGGGGCTCATTTGCATACCACAACACCAGGGAGAGTCCTGTCACCTGCCCTCCTGAGTCCTGAAGAAAACCCTTCACTCCAATTCCCTGTACACTGCTTCTAAAGGCAGGAAATGTGTACAGTTCTAGAATTACAGTCACATAAAATGCTAGAAGAATAACGTGATTTATTTAAGTGCTTAGAGGTACCCCCTTGAAGTTTGTGTTACCTGGAAGTTGGCCTCAGGGAAACACCTCATTGACCTTCTCTCAAGGATAAATGAGATGCAGGGACAGGGAAGGGAGAAAGGTTATTTTAACATTTCATTCACAGTCCCTGGGATTCTTTGGAGAGCACCTTAGGAATGTTCTTAACCTGAGTCCTCTTACTAAGTATTATCACATAGTCTGCCAGGCTGGCATTATTAACCCTACTTTGCAGCTGAGGCAACTACAAGAGATGACCCTATCGGGCTAGTGAAGTGGAATTCGCCATGTACTGCATGCAGTCATGTACTGCAGTGACCAATCCGGGTCTAATTTCTTTGATGATATCATTGACGGGGTAGCAGGGGAGAGGCAAGTGCAAGAGAAGAAATGGGGTGAAACCCACTGCAGGGAAGCTTGGGCTGGGGCAGGATCGGGGAGCCAGGGTATGGGGCATGGTTGGGACTGAAACCCTTGTTAACACTGGCTTTAGCAAAAGAAATGGGCACCACAATCCCAGAGGACTTCCAGAAGCTTCCTCCCTCCCCCGCACCTGGGCACAGAGCCTTACCTCCCCTGCACCCTGGCCCTGTCTCTCTATTTGGCAAGACTCCCATGTCATCTGCTCCTCTTTACTTCGGGTCCCTCTTGGCACTGGAAATACTAAGTGAACCCAGCAGTTGCACAGGATTCTAGGAATTTCTCCTTTCCAACTTCCTGAACTGGTTTTCTAATTCACCTCAGAGGTACCTTAACAAATCATGTTCCAAGGCCAGGCACAGTGGCTCACGCCTGTAATCCCAGCACTTTGGGAGGTCGAGGCAGGAGGACCTCCTGAGCCCAGGAGTTCAAGACCAGCCTGGGCAACATAGTGAGACCGTGTCTCTACAAAAAATAAAAGAATTATCCTGGTGTGGTGGTGTGTGCCACTACACTCCAGCCTGGATGAAAGTGAGAGATCTCTTTCGAAAAACTCACGCTCCACACAATCAGGAGGTCTGCCATCCACAGACTCCAGACAGATAGTTCCATCAGCCAGCAGGAGCGGCATGGGCAACGTCAGTAGCATGCACATCAGGTTAGCTTCTCTGAGGTCACAAAGTTGCCTGGAAGTGGGGAATCCATGAGGGCCAGGCCCTCCACAGGAGGAGGACTTCCCTCTCCAGTCACCGGCCTCCCTGATGTGGTTCCCTCCTCTCAGCCCACATGCTCCTGCCGAGGTAACATGTCCCCCCACTCTATGTTAGAAAACCATAAAGCCCCCAAGAGACGTTTCTACCAATCATCTAAATATTGAGTTTCACCTTATAAAATTTATAAAACGTAAAGAACACTTGGAACAGCCCAGTTTTAATGCCTCCAGCTTTTGTTTTCCAAAGAACAATTGGTAGACTTGGCCCCGAGGGGAGCAGAGCCCGGCTCTCAGACAACGAGCCTCACCAGCAATTCTGTATCTTCGAGGCGGCAGAGGTTTTTGTGATCTTGTGTCATTTCTAAACACGACGGTGTAGATGGGATCCTCTTCATTTTGCAAATGAGAAAATGGAAAAACCCGAGGGACAAAGGGCCTCTCTCAAGGTGCCATGGTGAGAAGGAGGCAGAAGGAAGAGGACCTCGCCCCTGCCTTGATTCCACTGACTGCTGTTTATCACACCATGAGTGTCTTCAGGGAGCAGTCGTTCTCCCGCTGGAATGTTTACATGAGGAGCAAATGTGATGCCATCACATAATTCCAGTGAGGGCTGGTCATCCCCTGCAAGGCTGAAATGACCCTGTCTGTTTTAATGCTAAGGAAGCAGCAGCTTTTCTCCCACTCCCACACAGGATGTGTGCAGCATCTTCAAGTCTCTGCCTCGCGTTTCTAGATCTGTAGTGAGCTCTCCATGGTCAGGGAGTGGATCTTTCAGTTGGGTATTTTTCTGAAGCAACTGTCAT
This sequence comes from Homo sapiens, assembly GCF_000001405.40. Taxonomy (NCBI): domain Eukaryota; kingdom Metazoa; phylum Chordata; class Mammalia; order Primates; family Hominidae; genus Homo; species Homo sapiens. The sequence goes on from NC_000002.12 coordinate 87,657,582, forward strand.
TCTTTGCTTTTTGTAACAAGACATGTTTTTAAAATCCTCTGAGAGAGAAAGAGTGTTGCCAGAAAAGGAATGAAGAGTGGGAGAAAGGTGCATTGTGGAGCTGTCTGAGCGTTGGAGTATGTCCCAATAACGAAGAGACTGCGGAGAAGCATCCCCTGTCCCCCTCCGTGTTCTAAATGTATGAAACCTAACAAGGTAATTGCATGGGAATAACACACTGTGAATGTTATGTGGGATTTGAAATTGTCATCCCAAGAGTGACCAGGTGGAGAGAGGAAGGGTGAACTCTTTCAGTCTAAAAGCTATGTTTTAAAAGGCAGGGTTAGACTATGTTTGTTTCTGCAGTGTATTTTCTCTGCATAAAGGGATTTTTTTCCTACTTTTTCTGCTGGTGGACGTTTCCCTTGGGGGAGCCTGGCCAATGAAAGGTCACACAGAGACCAGTCACTCTCAGGAACACCAGCAGAGCCGGGCAGACACATGTCCTAATTTTCCCAGGAGCAGACTGATTGAACCATAGGAGGGTCTGTCTGATGTTTATCTTGGCAGAATTCTCAGATGAGTTAGCAAATAGTGGCTGGAGATAAACTGAAACTTTGAGCAACCTCTGGACTGACTCTGATTACCCTCCACACCCTACCTGCACAGGGAGGAGAGACCACAAAGCCAGCAGCAAACAGTAAACTTTTCCAAGAATCAGAGAGGAAGGAGTTCCTGACACCCTGCAGCAAAAACAACCTCAAAATTCCCCTGAAGACAGACCCATGGGAGCTGGGGTCAAGGTGGCCTTGCGCTTCACCGAGGAGGTGTCATTACCAAACGTGCTGGACATTGGCTACCTACGGAAGAAAGATTAAGGACTGAAAGAAAATAGTGGAGAACATGCTTTTGACATGGGGGTAGGACAGGGAAGGCCTTGAGCAAGACACAAATCACAAAAGCAAATAGAGAAAGAGTGATGTCTACCTTCAATGAAATGTGAAACTTCTGATTCAAAATCGGAAACCTCTATAAGCTGAGATAAAAGACAAGCAACAGAGTTGGAGAAGATATTTCTAACATTTGTATGTGTGCAAATGTATGTGTGTAATGTGCTTATACATATACATATAGATAAATGCGTGCGTATACACATGAATTCTGGATTGTTATCTAGGCTCTATGAAGAATTCCTATCTGTTAATAAGAAAAAAGACCAAGATCAACAACCTCATAGACAAGTGGATAAAGAAGATGACCAGTTAGTCCACAGAAAAGAAAATGCAAATGGAAGTGGGAGGGCCCAGAGGAACTCTTGCTTTATCTAAATTGTGTTGATTACGGGAGCATATGCTTATATTAATTTTATAGGTAAAAAAACAGAAAAAGTACCTGAAGATTAAACCTAAGCAATGCGATGTGTCAGTTTTGACAACACACAGGAAGGGGCTCTCAGCCTGTAAAATAGGAGCCCTTTTGTGTGAAGCTGACCAGATGCGGAGAAGTTTCAACAGTCCTAGAGAAGAGGACCGCAGGGGACAGAGAGCCAGGGAACAGGGCAGGGAGGATCTAAGAGGGCACCCGGCCAAGCGGTTCACTGCAGCTGGTGCAGGGCTCAGCTATACCCTGGGGCTGGGCGCTTAGCACAGTGTGGTCAGATGAAGGCAAGCAAGCAGTGGCAGGGACTCTCCATTTGAGTCAAAGTGACAAGCAGTGCCCCCAGTCCCTGGGAAGGATGAAATCCAAATTTAATTCCCTTCTGAACAACATTCTACAATCTATGCTTCATTTAGGTATCTGTAAGCCTAAAAGAGCTGAAAAATCATTTTATTTCCCCTTCCAATGTACAATTTCTAAGACATTTGAATTATCGATGTTGAAGTTTCATTGAGAATGAGCTGAGTGTCCTGCTTTCGGCCTGAAAACAAAGCCTCAGCCACAGTCTTCGTCTCACCCTCTTTCTCTCTGTTTATTTTCTTTTAAAAAGTTTCTCCCATTTCTTTGTTCTTTAACAAAGAGTTGTGTGCATCTTCTAAGCTCCAAGTGCTGCACTGGCTTCCAGCAGACAATGGCAACCGTGGCCCTGACCTCATGGCGTGACTGAACGGAGGGTCTCGGCCAGGAACGTGAGGGACGCCAGAAAGAGGACATTGGTGGGCAATGAGGGGTCTTCCTTGCGGGGGGGTGTTGGGGGGTGTGCTGTGCTTCCCTAGCAGTCCACGACCACTGGCAGGGGACACCCCGGGCAGACCAGTGGTCCAAATTTATACCAGCGAAAAGCAAATGCTGATGCCTTCCCAATCACGGTTCCTTCAAAGGCTTCAGGGTTCCTTGGGAAGGGAAAAGAACATTAGTTCAGCTCCTGCGATGTGCTGGGACTGTGCTAGGAAGTTTCACAGATGCTAGTTCATTTAGATTGGATATGCCTCCTGGACCAGTGTGCTGTCCATTATGGAAAATCAAAACAGCCATTGCATTTCCATAGTGTTCACAAGGAGCCTCATTTCTGGGCTCAGGCAGGCTGAGGCGTTCCAGGGTTGAGAATCAGACTTGGTGACTGAGCAGGAACTGTTGTCCTTTTTCTCTTTTGAGATATGAAATTTGCTTCACATCTCAGAAGAGTGTGTGCCTCCATCCCACACTTGGGACAAGCGCCGTTATTCCTTTTTTAAAACATCTGTAGAACATATTAAATGCTCTGCTTTCTTCACGGGTTAAATCATGCTGGGGCGGGAGGCTTGTGGTGTAAGAGCGGTGCACTGTGCATCCACTAGGGCTCTCCCGTCATTCCAGTTGGTCTCCTTGCCACGCCCCAGCTCGCTGCCCCCAGGCTGTCTTGGACAGACACATTTGTGTTTTGTAATAGAGCACATCATGCACTATTATATGGGGATATTTTATAAAGGAGCCCACGTGACACAAGGAAACTAGGAGAAAACAATCCTAGAAATCCCCAAAGCTTGGAAGCAGGGACATGCAAGCGAGGTACAGCATATGCTATCAAGTGGCAATGTCCTTCCAGTAGGAAAGCCGCTGTTGTCATCAGTTTAGGCAGGTGCTGGGATTAAGCACATCTACCACTCAGAAAATAATACCAATAAGAACCACGGTCCACATCCAACATGGGTCTCCCAAATTCTCTAAAATGTGGAAGTGTGCAGATCTTAGCATCTCTGTCCTTTCTCTCGCTTCGAGGAAGTTGGGCTCCTGGGCACTGCCTCATCAGTCATGCCCAGTACCTGTGTACAGGTGCCTCCCCTGCTCTCTGGAGCATCGGGACTGGAAGGATTGGGAACAGAACGGAGCTTTGATTGATCCTCTTGTCCGCACTTGTGCCTTTCAACTCCCTGTGGTGGAGGGTGACAGTTTAGTCTCCCTGTCTTCTCCTGGGGTCCCACCGGCTCCTGAATCAAATCCTGCTCTTCCCCTGCATGTTCTGAGTGGCCTGTACACTCTGGGCTCTCTCTCTCCTTGACCCCTGGAACACCACCTCTTTGGTTCTTAGTAAACCGGAGCCTTCCTACCTGGTAGTAGCACTGACATCCTCTTCATCCACTGGAAGCTTCCAGATCCTGGCCCCCACAACCCATTCTCTCCCCATAGGGCTTCCACAGAAACACAACGTGTACTGTGTGCCAAATGACTGGCCCAGAGGATGAGTGAGTGGGGGACCAATGTAGGCTAGGGGAGGGGTCAGAAGAGAAAAGTTCCAAGAGAGTGGGAACCCAAGGAAGGCTTCTTAGAGGAGCTGGGACACATTGGGGCCTGAAGGAAGTGGACATTTAGACGATCATAAAGACTGCAGGGATGTCCAACCTTTTGGTTTCACTGGGCCACATTGGAAGAAGAAGTGTCTTGAGCCACACGTAAAATACACTAACACTAATGTTAGCTGATGAAGAACAACAAAAATAATAGCAAAAAGTCTCATAATGCTTTAAGAAAATTTATGAATTTACGTTGGCCCACATTCAAAGCTGTCCTGGGCCACATGCATCCTGCGGGCTTGGGTTGGACAGGCTTGAGCTAAAGCAAGTGTGTTCTGAGCTGGAGAGAAGGCCAGCCCCATGGTTCATCGTTCGTGGTATCACCAACCAATGATACTAGGAACAGTTGGTGGGTGCAGGCCCTGGGCAGGGCAATAATAAGAAAAAGCTTAGAAAAGAAAAGGAGGAGGAGGAGGGGAGTTGCGGGTCATGGAGGGCCTTGAAAGCGAGACTGAGGGTTTGGACCTTACCTTTTCGGCATACTACCGAGCAGGAACCCCTGTCACTGTAATTTCTGATGATTCTGCCTTCCATCTTTGGGAATAACAATGACATAGTCGACTACTCCTCTACAAAAAGAGTCGTCAGATTCTTTAACCATGTGGGGCATCTTGTTTTGGCATCCACACTAGTTCTGTTACAGCCAAAGCTGGGGGTGTTGGGGAATGTCGCATGCTTCAGGGGTATCTGTGTAGTGTGCATTTTACCCAGCTGAGCTCACAACTTTAATGTGTGAAGGTGATCCTCCAGTTCAGGAGGACAGAGTTGGTGCCCCTGCCTGTACCATCCTAAGAGAGGTTTCTGCTTCCTGTGTCCTGCTCTGTGGGCTCCCCAGGTACCCCTGTAGTTTTTGCCTAATACTTTGGAACCAACAATAATAACTTATGAAATCTTTATTTCAAACACAGCTTGAATTTCATCCATTTTCATCTTACCCAAAGAGATAGATTCTCTAGTCCGCAATCTGGATGGTCAGAATGGAGAAATCCCCTTACCTGCAAACACAGGTCTTTTATTTTGTAACCACTGTCTGTCTGGTTTTCTGTTTTGGAGTCTCCCAGGGTGATGGTGCCGCCAGATAAAAGTTCTAATGAGAGAGGGAGGGTGGGAGGGAGGTTCCGGTGGCAAGGCAGGGCGGAAGGTAAGCGGAGACCTTCTCCAATCAGAAGTCTAGAAGGCAGGGCACGCAGTAGGTCTGCAGAATGACTCAGAACCCGCGTATGAATGCTGTCTATTCATGGGTCCAGGCTTTTGTTAAAGCCTGGGCCTGCATTTTAAAGAGGGAGTCAGGGAACTGGCTGGACTGGTCTGACAACTAAGGAGTGGTGAACACTTCCCCCAGGCTAGTACTCAGGTGGATGAAGTCATCAATATTTTCTGGGCAGTCCTAATCTGTGATTAACTTTTATCTCTGCTGTGAAATAACAGCCTCCTTTTCAGCCTGCTAACAATAAGTTAACCTGGCTGCCCGGCTGGGGGATATTTTATGCTGGGCTCCAGCAGAGGCACACTTGAGAAGCCATGTGGGACTCCTGCCCTGGAGAGAGCCCAGAGTAGAGGGAGGGGTCTGTATGGTGGTGGGAGTCCTCTCAGCAATGGTCCTTGTGATTCCGGTATACTCTGATGTCCTGACTTCAAACTCAGCTTACCCAAAGCAAATGTCCACTTTCTTCCGTACTCCTTTCTTGTTTAAAGCCTCACCACTGACCAGGAAGTCTTGATAGAGCCATCTAGTAATTCTTAAGTCCTACCTCATCCAACCTTGTTTTGACTCCTGCAGTGAGCACAGCTGCCCTCACCCTCCCCTCTCTATGCCCTCACCTTTGCAGGAGACTCTCAATTTCTCAGTCCACATCAGCTCTCAGACCACCAAAGCAAGGGTTATTTTTCTAAAAGACATTTGTTCCCATTGCTCCTCTGACTAAAGTTCCTACTATGGGACATTTGCCCTTGGCACTCAAGGACCTTGCAATCAGGCTGAGAACCTCAGGTTCTCAAACTCAAGACCATGGGGAATGTAATAGGTGAATCAGGCAGGTGAAGTCCAGGACTCTTTTTGGTTTATATTTTGTTTACTCAGTTTTGATGGAGACAAGCATACCAGAAAATTCACATTCCTCTTAACTCTAGCAGTAGACAAACAACAGAGCAAGCAGGATGTGACCATTTATACATGGCCTCACTGTTGGGGAGGCAGTAGGGAGTGTTGGAGACCAGGGTCAGGACTAGGGCTAGGGCAAGGCTAGGAAGGTGCCCAGGATGCATGTTTTAAGGAAGCACTCACTCTTGGGGCTTTGCAAGTACAAGGCTAGCACTGGGAGATGAGTGCCTCCTTAAAGTTGGCTTCTTGGGCCTTGTTTGCCTGACCTAGTCTGGCCTTGGTGAGGACAGTGGAGAAATGGAGCATGGACCTACCCAAAGGGATGGCTGCTGATCAGCTTCACCTAGCTGTTGCCAAAGGCAACACTGTGGCCCCACTTTTGCCAAATCTTTTCAAACATTCTGTGGGTGCTTCCATCATAGCTATTATCACCTGGCAAGGGAGTTGTCCCCACAGGTAACCTTCTCACTAAGTGGGGGTGTCTGAGGCCAGGGAGAGCTCTACTCATTCCCCTGTGTGATCCCAGCAGTGAGCATAGAGCAGGTGCCCTGCAATGTTAAGCAAAAAAAAAAAAAAAAAAAAAAAAAGACTTTGGAAATAGAGTTATGGAGCCAGGATGGGTCTTGAGTTAGCCTCACTCTTTATTTCTTTATTCAAGGAATGGTTGTTCAGGGCCAGCGGCTCAGCCCTGGGAGCACTGACTGCTTCAAGACACAGACTCCTCTGGGATGCCAGGCAGAGTCTGCTCCTGAAGGCAGACTCCACTCTTCATGGGGCTCCCTCCATTACTCATTAGGTCACAGAATAATAGAAAAAGGCAGGAAAGATGAAAAAAGAGAATTTAAGAACAAAACACGTCCAGGTGTGGTGGCTCACACCCGTAATCCCAGCACTTTGGGAGGCTGAGGCAGGCAGTTCATCTGAGGTCAGGAGTTCGAGACCAGTCTGGCCAACATGAAGAAACCCTATCTCTACTAAAAATACAAAAATTAGCTGGGCGTGGTGGTGGGCACTTGTAATCCCAGCTACTAGGGAGGCTGAGCCCAGACAATCACTTAAACCCGGGAGGTGGAGGTTGCAGTGAGCTGAGATTGCACCACTGCATTCCAGCCTGGGTGACAGAGCAAGACTCTGTCTCAAAAAAACCCAAACCCCACCCCCCCAAAACCCAAAACACATGGTAGCAAAATAATAACAAATTGAAGTATGTCTGTAATGACAGCAAATGGGAACTTACCTACTCCAAGACAGAAAATGATTAGATTAGATTTCTAAAAAGTCCAGGTAGGTCTTGCTTCCAAGATACCATCTAAGATGAAATCACACAGGCTGAAAATAAAGGAATGGAAAAATATACACTATTTAAATGCTAGCAATAGCAGACAGATTATAATAGGAGAGAGACTATATAATAATCAAGGCACCAACCGACTCAGAAGCTGTCACAGGCCCAAATGTATATGTATGTGTCTAACATACACGCACCTCAAAATATAGTAAGCAAATTGACAGAACTACAAGTCTAAGATTACAACCCATTTAACTTGATCAAAAGTTGATAAATCAAGCAATTTAAAAAGTACTAGGTTATAAAAGATTTGAAAAACAAAAGTAACAAGCATTATCTAATGGGTGTGTGTGTGTAAAACTTTGCGGCCAAACATAAATGGTCATCATAGATCATTTAAAAACAGTTGGTGATATACAGATTATTTAAAAATTTGACCACATACTAGGTCACAAAGAACTCAACAAATATCTAGAATCATCAAATAACACAGATCATATTCTCTAAACACAACCCAATTAAATTAGAAGTCAATACTAAAATACAGTCTCAAACTCATATATGTGGGAACTAAAAAATTCACTCCCTAGTAACTAATAGGCTGAAGAAGAAATTACAACAGAAATTTGAGGAGTTTGAGACCAGCCTGGGCAACAATGCAAAACCCTGTTTCTACAAAAAATTAGCCAGGTGTGGTGGTGGGTGCCTGTGGTCCCAGCTACTTGGGAGACTGAGTTGGGAGGACTGCTTGATCCCAGGAGGTGGAGGTTGCAGTGAGCCATTATCATGCCATTACACTCCAGCCTGGGCCACAGAGTGAGACCTTGTTGAAAAAAGAAAGAATATCTAGAGGTAAATTTATAGTCTGACATGAATTTATTTCAAAATCATGAGAGGTTTAAGCGAGCTGAGTGCTCAAAATAGCAATTGTAAGGAACTTCCTTAATGTGATAAAGGTTATCTATCAAAAGTGTATAGTAAACATTATAATTAATGGTGAAACTTTGGAAGCATGCCCATCAATATCAGTAACAAGACAAGGATGTCCATTGTCAATATGTCTATTCATCAGTATCCTGGAAGCCGTACTGAGGGCAATGAAACAAGCAAAAGAAATAGGAGTATAAGAATTTAGAATGAAGCAAGAATATTTTTATCTGCAGGAAATATGATAATCTATATAGAAAATTCAAGAGAATTTTCTAATAAACTATTCAAATGAAAATACAGTCCAACGAATATATATACACAAAATTGGGTACAATTTATATGTATTAATTATAACCAATTAGAAAATATAACAGGAGAATGAGTCTTATATTTCAACTAAAGCTATAAGATCTTTCTGCATACATTAAACAAAATATGTGCACGTTGCTTGGTTTTGATTTTTCTTGGTTCATTTGGCTGGTTTTAGAGGAAACTTGGAAATACACCTGAGGGACATGAAAGAAAATATTAGTGAGTGGAGTGATTCACCACATTCTTAAATGGAAAAACTAGTGTTGATTTAAGAAAGATGTCAGGCCGGGCGCGGTGGCTCACGCCTGTAATCCCAGCACTTTGGGAGGCCGAGGCAGGCGGATCACAAGATCAGGAGTTCAAGACCAGCCTGGCCAACATATTGAAACCCCGTCTCTATTAAAAATAAAAAAATTAGCTTGGCTTGGTGGCGGGCACCTGTAATCCCAGCTACTCGGGAGGCTGAGGCAGGAGAATCGCTTGAACCTGGGAGGCGGAGTTTGCAGTGAGCCAAGATTGCGCCATTGCACTCCAGCCTGGGTGACAGTGTGAGACTCCATCTCAAAAAAAAAAAAAAAAAAAAGGAAGGAAAGATGTCAATATCATCTCCTAATTATTCTTTAAATTCACTACAATTCTATCCAAAATCTTGAAGGGGATTTTTTTGTGTGTGAAATTTGACAAGCTGATAATCATCAAGACTAATTATACATTTATAATACTTAACATAGTACAATATCGATATATAGATAGTGAATAGATCAATAGAAAATTAGAGAACTCAGAAACTGACCTATGCATCTGTGGAAATTTCATATATAACGGAAGAGTCATTACAGATTAGTAAAAAGAAGGGGTGGGCTCGTTCAAGAAATAACTTAGGAAAAATAGGTTATCCATACAAGAATAATAAAATTAGATCCTTATATCAACGCACATGTAAAAACAAATCCTTGGTTGATTACATACCTAAGTGTAAAAAGCAACAACTTCAAATAATTTAGAAGAAGATGTAGAAGACTATCTTTATGAACTCAGAGTAAGAAATTATTTTCTTAAACTATATACAAAAAGACCCTTAATGCAAAAATTAACAGACTATTTGGTTTAGTAAGCAGGATTGTATTTTAAAATTTTTAAATTATTCATAAAAAATGTTAAATGTCAAGCCAGAAACCAGTATTTGCAATGCAGTCATATAATTGACAAAGGCCAGAATCCAGAATACATGAACACTGGCAAGTCAATGGAAAAAATGACCAAAAGACATGAACAAGTTATGGATGAAGGCAGCTCAAAGGGCAAATGAGCATTTGACTAGATGATTACCTCTTAGTAATCAGAGAAATAAGCAAACAAAAAAGTATGCCACCTGTGTATTAGGGTTCTCCAGTGAAATAAAACAAATAGGATTTACATGTATATAGAAAGAGATTTGTTTTAAGAAATTAACTTCCATGATTATGAAAGTTAATATCTCTTCCATGATTATGGAAGCTGGTAAGTCCAAAATCTGCATGCTGGGCTGGCAGGCTGGAGACCCGGAGAGAAGACAATGCTACAGCTCAAGTCAAAAGGCCATCAGGCTGAAGACCCCAGGAAGAGCTGATGTTGCAGGTGAAGTCCCAAGAACAGTTTGCTGGAGAATTTCCTCTTGTTCAGGGAGCTCAGCCTTTTACTCTATTCAGGCCTTCAACTGACTGGACGAAGCCTGCCCAGGCTCTGGAAGGCAATCTGCTTTACTGAAAGCCCACCAATTTCAATGTAAATCCCCATCAGAAACACCCTCACAGAAACATTCCGGCCAAGTTGACACTCAAAATCAACTACAGAACCTCCAACACATCAGACTGGCCAAAACATTTGTCTGCCACTACCAAGTGTTGACACAAAAGGCAAACATAAGAAACTCATACTGGGCTGGTGAGGATGTAGAGCATGGATCCAGACTGGAGAACCTCTCACACATGTGCACAAATATTCACTGCATCATTATCTGTAGTGAAAAATTGAAAAGGAACTGAAAAACAATCAGCAGAAAATAGACAAATTAATTCTGATAAGGTTCATATGACTGAGTATTATACAGCAGTTAAAGGAGTTAGAGCAACAGGTATCTGCATGGATAAATCTAAAAACAATCATGAGTTTCAGGAAGATAGATACAACAGGACAGATTTCCATAAAATGGAAAACTTACAAACCAATACTTTATATTACTTAGGAATGAATACTGTAGGAAAATCTAAAAAACAGGCTTGAGATTAATACACAGTAAATTTAAGGTTGTGGCATCTCTGAGGAGTAGGGAAAGGGAATGAGATCAAGGAGGCCTTCATCTGTGTCTGTAATGTTTTATGTGTTTTTTTCTAAAGGCTTGAAACAAATATGGCAAAATATTAAGATCTGATAAAGCCATGTGGGCGTATGACATTTGTTATATTTCTCTCTATCCTTATTCATGTGTTTAAATAATTCTCCGAAAGCAGTTTACTGAGAGTTCAGCATGTCTCCTGAGACATGCTAGGAAGTTATGTGCAGGAGTGGAGAATATGATTCATTGGAAGAGTTAAGTGCCCTAAATGCCAGCCAGGCTGTGACCCCAGGACAGAAGTAGGGTGGGGGGGCCTTCTTGCTTGCTAGTGACAATCTACACCAACCAGCACCACAGGAGCCCCAGGATGACAAGGAAGGACAAAACACAGGGGGTGACAGATGCAATGAACCCCTATGTGGTACATTGAGTGGTGGAGACCGGGTGTAAAACACACGATCGGTGCAGGGAGACCAGCTATGGAGGCTTTGGGGACCATGATAATGACCATCCAGTGTGGCTGTACTTTTCTCTAGAAGAGGGTTGGCCTACATCCACTCCAGTGGATCCACATTCTCTCCCAAGAGACTGATAAGAGAGTGAAAGATTTAAGTCACCTGTGTGGGTGGCCCTCAAGACCCCTGCAATGAAAACCCAAAGGGGTATCACAGTGTTTTCTGGCAAGAATTGGCCATTGCTTAATTTTCTTGTCTGATTTTTCCTAGCAACCTTGTATTTGACCTCGCCTGGCATCCTGTGTGGTCATGAGCCACAGAGGTGGAAAAGGCAACATGGTAGAGGCAGGAGGAGGCAGGAGGTGGAAAAGAAGGGTTATCAGGTGATGAGTTCAGCCATCTCTTGCCCTGAGTTTAGTTGTGCTTTGTTTATAAAAAGTGCTTTTCTACAAAAAGTATTTGATGGTACAAAATATTATCAATATGGCTTAGATGGGTTTGAGAAGTAAGAAAAGGATCGTGGTGGTAGCAGGAAATAAGACAGAAATTTTCCATGGGGGCTCCAGGTCTGAAGGCACTGGCAGGTACTGCAGGGTGCCTCAAGCAGGCGTCACTTGATAGGGTCAAAAATCAGTAATGTCTATGCTCATCTCCAACCTCTGCAGATAGAGGAGGAAATGTTGTGAAGTATTTAGATGCATTTTCTTAGGTGCGTTGTTTTTGTTGAATTAGGACATGAAGCCAGCCACAGCCAGCTGTCTCTCCCCTTCGGTGAGAAGGGGACGACGTGAAGCACCCAAGATGTGAACCAGGACTCAATTCACATTTGGGGAACCTGATAGCCTCCTCAGATGCCCCCACAGAAATCCAGATTGACCCCTGAGGCTGAGCTTTACCCTCTGCAGGGATGACTTCCATCCAGCCTGGGATGGGCAGGGGAAACCGCTGCTCACCCGAAGTGTATTTAAGGGGTCCCAACAGCAACTTATCAACATTTTTTGTTGTAAAGCACAGAGAGAGCAGTGAATTCTGTCCATTTTGTGAGCAGCACATCTGGATAAGGCGGGTGCCCCACTGCATTCAGAGCAGCTCTGGGAATGAGGAAGGAAGAGACAACAAAAGGAACAGGAGCCTTCCAATAAGCCCAGACATTAGACCTGAGCCTTGTCCCTGTCATAGGCTAGTCATTATTGATTAAAAGGTGGACATCAGATAAACCCAAGAGGGACAGCCCCGCCAACGTCCAGAGCAATGAGGCCCTCACTCTGCCCTCACCTCTGCCAGTGTAAATTCTGGGGAATTTCTGAAACACCGTGAATACAGAGGTGTGACTCAGCGGGAATCACAGGAATGTCAGAGGACAAAGCAGTTGGTATTAATAAATTGCTTTGAGTCTGGAAACAAAGAAGTGGCCTTCTTTGTTTCCAGGCTGAAGTACAGTGCTGTGATCATAGCTCACTGTAACCTCGAACTCCTGGCCTAAAATGATCCTCCTGCCTCAGCCTCCCAAAGCACTGGGAATACAGGCATGAGACACCATGCCTGGCCTGGCCTTCAGTTTCTCTGCTCTAACTCTGCGTTGCCCTAGAAATCCTTTTCTGAATTTCTCAGGTATTAGACATTCACCCATGACATCTGCATCTTTCTCATCTTCACCAGAATCACCCTGTCTTAATTCCTTAACTCTTCCTGCTTCTTGCCAGGCTAAGAAGCTGTATTAGTTATCTATTGCTGTGTAACATGTCACCCTAAAACGTGGCAGCTTAAAACAAATGTGTGTTATCTCACACTTTCTGTGAGTCAGGAATATGGACACGGCTTAGCTGAATGCTTGTAACTCAAGGCTGCTCATGAGGCTGCAGTCAAGCTGTCACCTGAGGCTTTGGTCTTATCTGAAGGTTGACTGGCATGGGGGCATCTGTTTCCAAGCTCACTCATGTGGTTCTGTCCCTCCCCACCTAGGCATCTCCACAGGCTGCCTTGTGACATGTGGCTGGTTACCCTGGGGTCGTGTGACTCTAGAGAGAGTAGGACAGAGGACCCAAAATGGAAGCCACAGTGCTTTTTATAACCTATGAAGATGTGACATCTCATTACTTCTGCCCTATTCTAGTCATAGAAGCAAGTTACTTAGAATGATCCACACCGACAGGGAAAGGATGACATGAGGGTGAGGATACAGGGAGAGTGGGGGTCACTGGGGCCCATCTTAGAGGCTGCCTACCACAGAATCCCTAATTATTTCTCTGAAAATAAAAGGAGGAGAAAGAGACACCATATTCTACATTTCTGCTCACCTCTGTGGTGGGGCTGATGTGCATGGTTTTCATGGCTTAAAAGCACACTCCATCTCACTGGGGGTTTCCCAAATGGTCATATGAAGAGAGGAATTGCTCCCCAGAACCGCTGGGGCACCTCATTTCGTTGATGCTTTTTCTTCCTCTCCACGGAGATGCTCTGGGTAGAAGGAATGAAGCCTTCAAGGTGGACTCTGGAGGGCTCTCCCAGAGGCTTCTGTCTGAACCAGTGGGCTTAAAAATGAGCAAGGGAGAACCTTCATGAAAATCACTGTCAAGTACTGTCTCAGTTTGCTCCAGCTGCTGTAACAGAATACCATAGACTGGGTGGCTTGTGAGCAATAGAAATTAATTTCTTGCAGTTCTGGAGTCTGGGAAGTCCAAATTGAGGTGCTGGCAGATTCTGTGTCTGGTGAGGGCCCACTTCCTGGTTCATAGACAGCCTACTCCTCGCTGTGTCCTCACCTGAAGGAAGGGGCAAGGCAGCTCTTTAGTGTCTCTTTTATGATAGTACTAATCTTATTTGTGAGGGCTCCACTGTCATGACCCGAGCACCTCCCAAAGGTCCCACCTCCAGGTATCATCCCACTGGGGATCAGGCTTCAACACATGAACTTGAAGACAAACATTTGGTCTATAGCAAACACCCACCATATACCAAGCCCCGTGCTTCTCTGGGCTTGGGGGTGCTGGGATACCAAGGTAAATTAAGCCTGGGCTCCATGGCAAGCTGGTGTGATGGTTGAGAGAAGGTCTAAGGGGTCAGTAAGGGGTTCTTGCCTGGCACGGTGGCTCATGCCTGTAATCCTAGCACTTTGGGAGGCTGAGGTGGGCCGATCACGAGGTCAGGAGTTCGAGACCAACCTGGCCAGCATGGTGAAACCCCATCTCTACTAAAAATACAAAAAAGTAGCCGGGCATGGTGGCATGCACCTGTAATCCCAGCACTTTGGGAGGCCAAGGCGGGTGGATCACGAGGTCAGGAGTTCGAGACCAGCCTGGCCAACATAGTGAAACCCCGTCTCTACTAAAAATACAAAAAAGTAGCCAGGCATGGTGGCACGTGCCTGTAATCCCAGCTACTCGGGAGGCTGAGGCAGGAGAATTGCTTGAACTCGGGAGGTGGAGGTTGCAGTGAGCCGATCATGCCACTGCACTCCAGCCTGGATGACAGAACGAGACTCCGTCTCAAAAACTAAAATAAAATAAGGGGTTCTCATCCTAGTGCTATTCTCAGCTGAGTGACTTTGGGAGAGTGACTTGACCTTCATGAGCCTCAGTGTTCAAAGGATCTTTATGATTATGTTTGTGAAGCCCTCCGAGTCACCTCTGAGTCTGAGCATCCATCTAGGTGCTCCATCAGCAGTAGGTATTCCCAGTGCTATTGCAGAGAAACTCTCTAAACCCACCTCTCAAACTGGGCCAGCCTGGAGACTGGACCCAGTGGGTCTGGATGCTGACTTGAGCACACATGTACCTCGGCTCCTCAGGAAACTCTCATGCACCCCAGTGGCTGGGAGCCACTGGTCTAGAGAGTGAGCTGCATCAAGGAATGGTGGCACGTGGGAATGTGAGCAGGTGCAGGTGGACACTGGGCCAAGGTGGGGCGTGTCTGGACTCAGGGCCTCGTTGGCCAACTCTCCTAGGACTTAAGAAGGGAGAGGAGCCCAGATAGAGGAGCCAGTTTTTTTTTTATTTCCAACTTTTATTTTAGGTTCAAGGGGTAGGTGTGCAGGTTTGTTACATGAGTAAATTGCATATCATGGGGTTTTGGTATACAAATAATTTTGTCACCCAGGTAATCAGCGTAATACCCAATAGGTAGTTTTTCTGTCTTCACCCTCCTCCCATCCTCCCCCACCAGGAGTCCCCAGTGTCCTCTGCTCCCATCTTTATGTCCATGTCTACTCAATGTTGAGCCCCCACTTATAAGTAAGAACATGCAGTATTTAGTTTTCTGTTCCTGCGTTAATTTGTTTAGGGTAATGGCCTCCAGCTCTATCCATGTTGCTGTAATGGACATGATTTCATTCGTTTCTGTGGCTGCACAGTATTCCATGTTGTATATGCACCACATTTTCTTTATGCAATCCACCATCGATGGGCATCTAGGTCTTTGCTATTGTAAACAGTGCTGTGATGAATATATGCCTGTGTGTGTCTTTATGGTAGAATATTTTGTATTCCTTTGGGCATATACCCAGTAAATGGGATTGCTAGGTCAAATGGTAGTTCTAGTTTAAGTTATTTGAGAACTCTCCAGACAGCTTTCCACAGTGGCTGAACTAACTTACATTCTCACCAGCAGTGTAGAAGCATTGAGGGGCCAGTTTTAAATCCTAGTCCCTTCCTGATGCTTTATTCATGCTTTATTCCTGCCTCCTGTCACCCGTCTTAGGGATGATTCACCCAGTCCCTTGCTCCTGGCTGGAAAAACCTTTTAAGGAAAAGTCGCTAATCTGGGTACATCTAGACTTAGCTTTGCCCGTGGAAAGTCTCTTGCTTTTCACAGCCATTTGCTACCCACCCTGCACCTCCCCACACCCCTCAGACTTCATGCTTGAGTCCTGTTTACCAAATGATGGGATCCTGTTTTGTCACCTCAGTCCCCTCTGAGGGGCAGTCAGCTGGCTGGAGCAGGAGGCTGCTCAATCCCACGCTGCAGGCTCCTGCACAAGGTCAGATGTGCAGGCCATCATGAAGTGAGTGTCGAGGGTGGTGTCATCCTGAAGGTTAACACTGTAGCGGGGAGAGCATGGGGTTGCGTGTCCCTCTCCCTCCTTGTGCAATAACTATCGTGGGTAATTCTTTTATCGTCTTTTAGATAATTTTTACATCCACAAATCAGAAAAGGAATGAGAATCAAACAAAGTAATACATGTGGAAGAACTCAGAGAACAGTGTCATTCTATAGCAACAATCAACACAGAGCCTCTGCTAAGTGTCAGGCCACATTCTGAGCACAGCGGAGACAGGATTGAGCAAAGCCACCACAGAGTTCACATTATAAAAATGAAACAAATGAATGACAAGTGTCACACGGGGTAACAAGCACGATAGGGGAGACAGAATGAGGAGAGCATGTTTAACAGTAAGAGGTTCGGGAAGGAAGCCGGCCCAGACCTGAGTGAAATTAGCCATGCCTGTGCCCGGGGGAAGCAGGTGCCAGCAGGAGGAACACCGAGCCCAGCCTCCTGAGGTGGAGGGCATGGGGCATGGTAACAGGCTGCACAGGAGCTCTGCTCTGGAGCACGCGATCCGGGCACAACCAAGAGCATTGGTGGCACCACTTGAACACTTGCAGCCAGCTCATGACAGCATTTAAAGTGTCTTTGCTGATTTGTTGAAAACAAGATGTAAAAATCACTCAGTGAGAAGGTGGTATAGACCATCAGCCTAACTCCAATCCTGCTCGGGCTTCACCTCCCACCTCCCGGCTCACGTGCCCTCGCAGCAAACTTCTCATTGCTCCTCAATTTATCTCCAGCCCCAGTTCCTCTGTTGAATATCTTCTGCCCCATCATTGCCCCTGTTTTCTAAGAACCAGCTCAAACATCACCACCTCGGTGGAGATTCCCTCCTCCTGGGGTTCACCCAGGAAACTCCAACCAGGAAGCAGGAGGTGGGATTCCTTGGATGAAGAAGAGGTGAGTGAG
The DNA here is from genome assembly GCF_000001405.40 of Homo sapiens. Classification (NCBI taxonomy): domain Eukaryota; kingdom Metazoa; phylum Chordata; class Mammalia; order Primates; family Hominidae; genus Homo; species Homo sapiens. Next base: position 87,674,681 of record NC_000002.12, read on the forward strand.
TCCCCCTATGATGTGAGCTAGTGAAGGGTTGTCATCAGCTCAGAGTCATTCCAAAATACTCTTAATACATTTCTGTTTTCATTGTATCTTTAGGAATTAGTGGCGATGTTTATGCCATTGCAGAAAAAAAAAGAATGATGCTCCATTTCACAGCTTACAGAGCTGGTTTCACATACACTTGAATGGTCCAGCTATTTCTGACAGCTACAAAACACAGGCGCACACACCACCTTGCCTTCTGGGAAGCTGTAGGAGACACATTACCTCTTGACAGGATAAACAGCCACACATTAGAGGGTAAAGGCAGGGCAAGCTTCACCCCAGCACCTCCTAACCTGGCACAGGCTTGACCACATGCTACTTCAATGACTTCTTTTTGAGATCAAACACCTGCCCAGCACCCCAGTCTCCTGACTTCTTGCTTGGAGCCTGCATCTCAGCTTCCTCAGCAGCAATGAAAAAGGAAGCCAACCCCGACCTGTAGAAATAGTGTATTTCCTCAATTCCAAGGCACACAATTGTTCAAATTTTAATTATTCTGAAATCAGGATGTGTCTTACAATTAGTCGGTACACTACATGTGGGGTTTCTTTTTTCTTTCGTTTTTGTTCACCCCCTACAAGCTGTTCTTAAAACAATGGTGTGTCATACAATTGATGACATCTTAGAATCAAATAAAATAATAGTTAAAATCATGGGGTGGCAATTTAAGGTCCACCCGTGTCAGACTTCTCGAAGTCATTGTGAAACTGTGTTTTGTTCTGCTTTGAATGTCTGGTGGTGTGAACCCAGAGAGACTGGATTCCTAGATCCCTGAGGCCTCCTGGCCGAGCCAGGAGCATGGGGCAGACAAAGGGCAAAGCATGGTCCCTACCGACTTGTCAGGCCTGCCAGCCCTGCCACTGGCTTTGTGATTTTCATTCCTGAATTCATAGAGATGGCTGCCAGCAACGAGAGGTAATCTCAGGACACACAGGCCTGGGCTAGGCCTTGGAATATTCCGGAAGTCGGTGGCCAGAGTTGTATCAAGCCAGACGGGACACATATGGGAATACAATTACAGCAAAGCCTGCAAGGCTCAGTGAGGGGCAGAGGGCCTGGCCACATGAGGAGCCAGTGCTGTGGGCAGGCCTGGGTCTGAGTGCCAGCTGTGTGTCCTGCACAACCACATCTCCCAGAGTGCATTCGTCACCATCCACTCCAGATGCCCCTTGAACAAATGAATTTCACAGTTGCAAAAGGCTGAAAAATGCTCTGTGACCTGGCACCCCCTTGGGGAACCACAGTGCATTAAAGGCTCTGAGAAGTCCTGCAGTAAAGAAACCTGATGAACTTTTGTTTAAGTTAATGTTTTCCAAACTTCTTTGATCACAGAATCCTTTTATTCCAGTAACACCTTTTACAATCTTAAGATGTGAATTTTCTGCAGAACAGCCACCTGGGAACAGGCCTGTCTTGTGCAGAAGCCTGAGGGACTGGGAGCCAATCTCATCACTCCCTCACTTGATTATGGAAAGATGAAAACAGAGAGTGGAGAAATGAAGGGTAAGACCAGGGAAGAGATTCTCTCTGGGGTCCCAAAACATGGCCCTGGCTATGGACATACTTGGGGGTGGGGGGATCCACTTGCCTGCTGGCCTCTTTTGGGCAGTTGGTATTGGTTGCCCGGGTATCCCCGGGGCAGTAGCTGCAGCAGTGGCCTGATGGGTGTGCAAGCAGCTAGCTGGTGTGTCCAGCACGGTCTTGGCACACCTGGTTGTTTTGGAAAGGTCTTTTCTTGAACAGGAACTTGCATACTCAAAAACAACAGCAAAACACAAGGCCACACTCACCCCCCAAGGGTAAGTCCGTGGCTCCTCCTGCACACCCAGGAAAGATCCCGTGGAAACACAGCACCGGAGGATATGGGATAAGAGACAACAGAGAGGAGTGGTGCTTCCTGAATTTAGGAAACATAGCTGCTACTTTGGGCCCTCTAGATACTTGAAAGAAAAAATGATGGAAATCACTAGGTGAGAATTAAGTTCTTGGTGACCACTGGCTGTATGCAGGACAAATAGTACTACAAAGTACTACAAAGAATGCAAATCTGTCTGCTGCACCCAGCAACTTCCAGTTGGTAAAAGGCTATGTCCCTGGAGAGGTAATAACTGCCACTGTAAGAAATTCCTAGGGTCCAATCCTGAATCCTTCTCTCAACAGCAGGATTCTGGGAAAGGGAAGCCAGGTTGTTCATGGACATTCAGTGGAAGAATTAAGGCAATTAAATGTTAAGTTTTGCAGGGCTGGTCGACAAGAGAAGAAGGGAATCATAGGTAATGAGCACAACTAAAATGAAGGCACAGAAGCAAGACGGTCAGGCTTTGCTCAGAGAATAACTTCAATGAGAGCAGTGAGCAGGTGCTCCAGGGTCCTGGGAGACAGTGGGAGGTGGGTCACAGAGAGCAGGCTGAGGAGTTTGGATCTGCTCATAGAGAAATATCTTAAACTAACAGATTCCACGTCAGGCAAGGTCTCTTGGCTTCAAGGAGCTGGCAGTCAGGAGGGAGCGATCTAATGCTGGGTGGGGGTTGAGAGCATCTGGTGGAAAGAGGGAGGATGTGGGCAAAGAGTTTTTCCATAGGTGGTGTGGTTGTCCGAGGGGAGGCCATGAACAGAGAGAACTGAGGCAGGGAGAGGGAAGCCCACAGGCCTTGGGGTTGGGTCAGAGGAGGTGGTCAAGGAGGGAAAGGAAGGAGAGAAGACAAGGAGAAAGGAGGGGAAGAGGGAGGCACCTCCCCTCTCACTGGTGTCAGGATTCAGATTGTGACTGGGCTTTGCATAGAGCAGGTGGGCAGCTGTGACCCACACATGATATTCCACCCGAAGATGTGTTTTTCTGACATGCACAGTAATTTTCAAAAGCAGGAAAACTTTATATAGATATCTAGATTTCTCTAGATAAGTGGAAAGGCCTGGCCTTCCTGGACCTGCACCTGGCAGTGCCACCTGGAGCTGGTCACAGCTGCTCCCACAACTCCTGGACTGGGCGCTTCAGTTGGCTGTAGTCCCCACCCTTCCTACTGCCTCACACCCAGGTGACTTCACTCACGTCCACTGACACCGTCTGCCTGTCCCCAAGGACACTGAAGTTTGCAACCTAGGTGCAGATTATGTGCACACAGGGCTGCCATTCACAGGAGGGAGATGGTCAGTGGGGTAGGAGGGCGCTGAAATCCAGCTTGCATGCATGCCCATGTTCTCTGTATGTCCCAGGGAAGGAGGTCCCTTCTGTATTTGCACAAAGACATCGTACTGGCTGAAAATGGCCCTGCCCGCAAATTCTCCCAAAGGTGTGTATTCTCCATTGGTCACAATGCACTATGTAGCCCATGAGAAGGAGACCAACTCCGGGGAGCTGAGAGTGAGAGGAGACTGCATTCTCAGACACAATTGTCCAGACACTTCCTTTAAAAACTACACGCCAATGCCCAATAATGCTCAGCCTTGGAAAACAGTGAGTGTCTAATCAAGCCATTTAAAGCAGGGAGAAGATTTTAATTGGTTGCAAGGGCTGGTGTAATTATTTACAGCATACAGAGGTTTTCCTTTTGAACCTCACAGCAATCAAGTGCAGCAGCAATTTTTCTTTCCCTATTTTGCAGATGAGGAAATGGAAGCTTATGGAGGTTAAGTGATTGGCCTCAGGCCATTGCATTTAATACTACTAATAATATTAACAGCCATAGTCCATCCTGGGCAGGCCTGAGCATCTCACACACATTTGCTCATTTCCTCCTCACCCCATGAGAGCACTGATGCTACTTTTTCCTCTCTCCCAGAAGAAGACAGAGGCCTAGAAGAGTCTGGGCAGACTCCAAAGCCCACCCTTCTAGTCCCAATGTGAGACACCCCCATTAATAACACCAAAGGGCCCACACCTAAAGGCAAATCAGTCAACTAAAATCCAGGTCTTTGGTCTAGAATCTGTCACTCTTATTCCTGCATAATTTTTAACACTGGACTCATGGTGCCTTGAGCTGAAATGGTTCATGCAGGATATATCAAAAATCTGAGCATTAACCAGAGTGTTTGTAATGACAAGGAATCTGTGCCTTTTCTATGAGACATACCAGCTCTGTGTTTGACTCTGGTCAGTGTAGGCGTTAACTTCTGATCTGAATCAGCAAGACCTGGGTTCCAGCCTTGCCCTGCAACCCACCAGTGGTGTGGCCTTGGACCCATCGCCTGCCTGTCAAGGCCTCATCTTCTTCCTCTGGGACAAGGGCACAGCCACAGCCCCCGTGTTATGGCAACACATGGGTCAGGCTCAGGTCTGGCGCTTGGCAATCAGCTGATGATGGCAGGGAGGCTCTGCTTCCTGTCCCAGGCAGAGGGGATGGCACGGCCTGTGAGTAATGCAGGTTTGAGTGGTGAGCCAGTTCAGAGCAAGGCTGGGAGGACCTTTGGGCACAGTCAGGCTCCAGGGATGCAAGGCGTGGCTCCTTCAACTTGTCTCCAGCACAGCCACACACGCCACCAGTGTGGGGAGGGAGCCCCTGGTCATTTTCTGCTGGGGAGCAGAATCGCTGATGAAGGGCCCAGCGCCAGTGGGGAAGAGGCCTCCCCAACAACCCTGGGCCTCCTGCCCGCTCAAGCCACTTAAAAATCCGTACCGTGCCCACAAGGCTTTCCAGTCTCCATGTCTCAGGAAGGTCCAAGACAGTAGGTGGAGGTGGGCACATGACAGGGCTTTCTCATTGCCTCCAAACAATGCCATGTGCTAGGCCATATTTTCTGCTCTTCTAGAAGCTTCTGTGTCCTGGGCCAGGTGGGTGCTCATTGTGTTCCCTCTGTCTCTGGGATCCCCTCCTGCTCAGGATTTAGGGGGATTGGGTGCCCTGTGCCCACCTGCCAGCTCCCATTTACTCACACCACCCTGCAGGCTGGAGGCTTAGCCACTTCTCAGGAGGAGCCTAGAAAGGATATTGGTCGCCCAGCTGCTGAACCTGCCCCAGCATCCTTGAGGGTCTTGAAAAATCTATTTTATGCTGGGCACCTGTAATCCCAGAAATTTGGGAGGCCGAGACGGGTGGATCACCTGAGATCAGGAGTTCGAGACTAGCCTGGCCAAAATGGTGAAACCCCATCTCTACTAAAAATACAAAACTAGCCAGGCATGTTGGAGCATGCCTATAATCCCAGCTACTCAAGAGGCTGAGGCAGGAGAATTGCTTGAACCTGGGAGGCAGAGGTTGCAGTGAGCGTGAGCCGAGATTGCGCCGTTGCACTCCAGCCCGGGCAACAGAGCAAGACTCCATCTCAAGAAAAAGAAAATCTTAAAAAAAGAATGCCACTGTCATGTGGAAACACCTCTAACAAACATGAGGCCAGCTAAGCTGGGGTGGGGGCCAGGTGGCAGCCTCTGAGGAGGCCTCTGCAGTCCTGGGTGGATGGTTCGGGTACAGCCTGTGAATATGAGAAGCTCTTGGCCACTGCACATGGCTCAGTTCCCATCATCGTGCATCAGACACTGGAAGACAGTAGTTGGAGCTGCTGGACAGGGCTGTTTTTTCTCAACCAGACAGTATCCAGGTGCCTGTCCCTCAGCAGAGGGAGAGGTGCCACAACCGGCTACCATGATAAGGAGTCAGCTCAGAGCACCTTTGTTGGGGGGCCTGAGGAGATGAGGTGGTATGGGGATAGGATTCTGGAGGACCCTGCTGGAACAGGTAGAAGGACAAGAATAACTCCCCACTGGGACTGGAGGAGAGGAAGGCACATGGGGGCCCTTGGCAGGGTGGAGTAGGGCCATAGGTAAAAGGAAAGAGGAGAAAAGGACAGATACTGGGGAGAGTGAGAGGGAAGGGAGGGGAGGAGAAGGGAGGCGGACACCTCCAGATCTGGCATGGCAGAAGTCTCCTCGGAAAAGATGAGTGCAAGATGTGGGAGGAAGAGTAGGACGTGAGGGTCTCCAAAGTCTGCTCGAATTTTCAGGTACAAATGACCTCCCATCAGAATAGCCCCAATCTGAGTTCTGCAGAGGCTGAGAGCCAACTCAAGGGCATGGAGTTTCTGAAGCCAGAAGGGACCTTGATAAACAAGAAAGCCTGAGGCCCAAGGAAGTTAAAGTGATGTGCTGAAGATAACCCAGCCAAAAGGGGGCGCAGCCTGGATCCACACACTTCATGGTGCTCTACCCACTACACCATAAAAGGAGAGTCCAAACATGGTAAAGATGGATGGCAGACTGGCAGCCAGTGCTGTCTCCATGACAGCACTGTCATGGAGATTGACATTGACATTGACATTGACATTGTCATGGAGATTTACACTGTCATTTACAACCTGGCATGCTTTAGATGGTAAAGTAATAAAGCAGAATTGATGTGTCTAAACAAAGACCTCCAGTACCTTGGAAAACTGCACACCTTTGTTTAGCAATTGCGTTCACATTTAGTAATTGTTTTCTGAGTAATCCATTCATCATTCATTTATTCCTATGTCTGGTATTGGCAATTTAAAAATAAACACAACAGAACTCCCACTGTATAATTGCTAAACACAATGACAGCTATAATTGAGGCACTGAAGGAAGGTCAGGGGAGCCCAGGAGGGCGGGGCTGCTGCTGCCTGCTGAGCTGGGAGGGTTGGTGGCACCCCTTGCCCTGGGTTGCCATAGCAGATATCATAATCAATTACGGCCGTCTTTCATGAGGAACCTGGATCTTTCCCAAGGAATCAGTGAGAAGTTTCAGCTCACATACCATCTCTGATTTGCCATCCCTGGGATGTTAGCTGAATCCTCTCATTTTACATGGAGGAGACTGAGGGCCACAGAGTTCAATGCAGGGCCTAGTTTAGACTCCAGACCAGCTGCCAAGAGAGATGAAGGGCTGGTGGAGACCAGCCAGCAAGTGGCCATGCCGCCCGCTGCAGACCCCACTTCACACTCTCATGCCACCCCCTTGGGTTCACTGACAAAATTATGCTCACAAAAGCAGTGCTCTGATTTCTATGAGATACTGTAGAAAATAACTTGTTTTTTCTTTTTGTATTACTTTTTATTGTATGATACATATTCATTTCAGAAAAACTAGAAAATACAGCTAAATTGGAAGGGAAAATTAAAGTCACTCATAATCTAACCACTGCTATTTACATTTATACCTTATTGGATATATTTTCAATATCTTTCTAGGCATTTTTCTCTCTGCTTATGTGCCTGTGGTGTTATGATACATATGCATAGGTTTTCATTCATGGTTCCTGGCTCATCACTCTCATAGTCCTTGTTATAATGTTGGGAGCGTTAGGCCTCAGGAGACAACGTCCCTCTCTCTGAGTTTTTCCTGTTCTCCTTTCTCCTGCCCAAGGCGGGACTCTAATCCGATTGTGGGTCAAAAGACCTTCATTTCAGAGCAGGTCCTGCCCCAGCCCCTAAAGGAAGAAATGCTGCACAGAGAGGCTAGGAAAAGTCTGAACGGGCAGGTCTTGCTGGGTTTAGATTGTGTTCTTTTTGCCCAATCACATTTCTACATGGTTGTCAGTCATGCCATGTAATGAAGGCTCCATAAAAACCCAAGACGGGCCAGGTATGTTGGCTCACACCAGTAATCCCGGCACTTTGGGAGGCCAAGGTGGGTGGATCACTTTAGCCCAGGAGTTCAAGACCAACCTGGGCAACATGGCAAAACCCCATCTCCACCAAAAGAAATACAAAAATTAGCTGGGCATGATGGCTTGTGCCTGTGGTCCCAGCTGCTCAGGAGGATCGCTTGAACCTGGGAGGTGGGGGTTGCAGTGAGCTGAGATTGTGCCACTGCACTCCAGCCTGAGTGACAGAGCAAGAGAGAGAGAGAGAAATAAAGAAAGAAAGAGAGAAAGAGAAAGAGAAAGAAAAGGAAAGGAAAATAAAAGGAAAGAAAGGACAGGAAAAGAAAGGAGGAAGGAAAGAAAGAAGGAAAGAAAAGAAAAAGAAAGAGAAAGGAAAAGAAAAAAGAAAAGGAAACGAAAGGAAGGGAAAAGGAAAGAAGAAGGAAAGAGGAAGGAAGGAAGGAAGGCAGGAAGGAAGGGAGAGAAAACCCAAGAGGACAGTGTTCAGAGAGCTGAGCACGTGGAGACAGACTGGAAGGTGGAGTAGTCATCCATGTGCCGAGTGGGTGGCTGCCCCAGCTCCACGAGGACCAGACTCTTCCAGACCTTGCCCTGTGTATCTCTTCATCTGGCTGTTTATTTGTATCCTTTAAAATATCTTTCTAACAAACCTATAATTGTTAAGTGTTTACCCAAGTTCTGTGAGCTACTCTAGCAAATGGAATCCAAAGAGGGGGTCTTGGGAACCCCAGCTTGAAGTGGGTCAGTCAGAAGTTCCAAAGACCTGGACTTGAGACTGGTGGAAAGTGGGAGGCAGTCTTGTGGGACTGAGCTCTTAAGTTGTGGGATCTGATGCTATCTCCTGGTAGGCAGTGATGGAAGGGAATTGGAGGACACCCAGCTGGTGTCCACTGCTTGGTGTGTGGGGAAAATCCCCACACATTTGGTCACAGAAGCCTTCTTCTGTTGTTGATTGCTGTTGCAGTGTGAGAGCAGAGGAAAAACATGATTTGAGAGGTTTTTCCAAAATGGTTCCTGAGTGGTAATCACAGTAATCCATCCACCTTGTGAGTGTGCATGCATGCTTATGTATGTGTATATGGGATTACATAAATATGGCTCACATGTGTATGATCGTATTTGCACACTCCCTTGTCCACTTACTTATATATCAAAGTTTCCCTCATAATGTCTGTTCTGTGTCACTATGTACCCTCCCCTGTCCTCCATTCCCCACACCAAGAGTATTATGAGTATTAAATGCCACGTGGGCAGGTTCCCCAGGCAATGAGGGGGTGGGCCTGTCAAATGCAGGCCATGCAGAATGCCACAGGGCGGGAGACGGGTGAGCCAAGGGAGCCGAGAGTTCCAGATAACAGAGTGCACAGCAAATGCCATGGCCCGCGTCCAGCAACCAGGAGAAACAGAACTGCTGAGCTCAGAATAGGCCAAGGCCGTGTCTGCTAGCAGGGAGCAAGGGCACAGCCTGCTGTCTGGCCTCTTCTGCCCCATCCCTCCACTGGGACATGGCCCAGATGAGAAAGAGCTGCCAGACGGCAAGTCAAGTGTGGGGCGGGAGAGGACAACGTTTTATGCAAGAGTGGATTCTCGGAGCCTCTGCACTCTCCATCAGGGCTGCTGGCATGGAAAACACAGAGAAACCATCACCTAGGACTTGATTGAACTACTGGACTTCCCAGAAGAGTCCAATTTAAAGCAAAGAGGTCCAGAGAAAAAAGCATTCTAGTGACATTTTTATATATTTAAAAACTGGAAAAAAGAAAAAATAATTAGAACACTGAGTTCCCACTGTCTATGAAAAATGGGCCCAGCCCCACTGACAACCAACACGCCTCACCTCACACCTTCCCCTCCGCCTTCGTTCTGGCCGTGAGCCCTGAGCCGACCATGCACATCTTACCACCTGGAGAACCTCAAACTCTCCTCTTGCCCACCCCCACCAAGCCCCACATTCAAAAGGCTTGCCTGAGAGGCCTGCCCACTTCCTTGGCAGTTCTGGCCTCCAGTGCCCTGGCAGGTGAGTGACTTCTCTGTCCTGTGTAGCATTTGGTACAGGTATGTACTGCATTTATAACACTTACCATACTGGCTTGGGGTTGTGACACATCTTCAAGGGAGTCCCTGGAGAGCAGAAAGCTTGTCCTATTCATGTTTTGCCCATCTTGTTCCTGAATAATACCTGCACATTGCAAGGGATCAGCAATATTTCCAACCAAACCATAAACTTCTCCATCTCCCCTTGAAGTCTTCTCGATAACTTTCCCAGAAACTCCCAGAAACAACAATGGCTGTCACTCACTGAGACCCTCCTATGCGTTAGGCCCTAGGCCCTGTGCCAAGCCTTGGCATTCACGTGTCACTTAAACTTCAGGTAGATTGTCAGATTTAGCAAAAACAATAATAAATAATAATTTAGGATATCCAGTTAGATTTGAATCTCAGATAAGCAACAAATAATATTTTAGTATAAGTATGTCCCATACAACTTTTATACCAGGCATCCTATATTTTATCTGGAAATCCTGGCCCCAGGGCAACCCTACGTGAGAAACTTGTAGGTCCATTTTACATGTGAAGGAACTGAGGCTCGGAGAGGTTAAACAACTTTCCCACGGTAACACCTGAGATGGAATGGCAGGCAGCTGACTTCAGAGTCCCCCAACACGGCCTTTGCTTGTCTGGGAGAGGGAGCTCCAGGTGGAACTGGTAAAGGGGGTGAATCCATTGGCTGGGAGATGTCATGAGTTTGAGACTATATTGGGAGCACCCGGCACATGGTGGCCATCAAGCAATTTTTAGTCTCTCTCTCCCTTCCTTCCCTTGCGCCAAATTGGAAATTCCCTTGAGACCCTCACACGGAGTCCTCTACAAACACATTGAATTTCAGCCCTCATAGGAAAGCAGAAGGAAGAAGGATGATGTTGCAGAAGATCGCTGCCATTTGATTTATTACAACAGTCTGAGGCCTCAGAGAGCGCAGAGCAAAGAGACCCTGGAATGCAGCCCCAGATCCCTGGAAGAGACTTTACAGGTGTCACGTTGGAGAGTGGAGAGTGAGGGGGATGGTCTCAAAGAACAGGAGCAGAGATTATCAGAGACACCACAAACTTGAAAAGTCAGGATGGGTAGGACTTGAGGAGAAAAAAAAATCTTACCTTTACAATAGCTTCAAGGACCACAAATTTAAGGGCTCTCCAGAGGCTTTAGGACAGAGTCAAGGAAGTGCTTCCTGGTCGACCCTTTCAACAAAAACTGTGCCCCTGGTCTCACTGCTGCAGGCAGTGATGGTGGTGTCAACATCTGCTCTTCTCGGGCTCCCTCCACGCCTCTGAAAACATGGAAGTGCTTTTACCCATCCAGAAAGAGGGGCAGCTGAAGGAAGGAGGAAAGGGGGTGGTCCAGCGCAGGCGCAGCCTGTTGGGAACCTTCTGCTCTGTCTGAGCATTTGTGATGGTTGAATGGGCTGGCACGGGCGTCTAAGGCAAGGAACTGCAAGGGAGGCTGCAGCCTGCCCTCGTGACCCAGCACTCGTCAGATGGCCGGAGTGGGAATGCGTCAGAGATTTGCCTTTGGACAGAACTGAAAGGATATGAAGCAGGGATGAGAGAAGTTCTTTCCATAAAAATCTGAAAACCAAAGGGCCAAACTGATCAACTTGCAGAACGGGAAGGACTGACAAAAATCTCAGGAAATCACCAAGGTCACAGGGGAAGATCATGAGGAAAATGTATGTGAGGCTCCCAGCCCAGCCCTGCCACCACACAGTGTTGGCCCTGACTGCCACTCACCTGGGTGCCCCCTGGACTGCAAGCACCTGGCAGGGGCTGGGCTTTATTCCTGAAACAGTAGGGGGTCCTATAGCACAGCACCAGGAGAATATATAGCAATGGATGTCCACCCCATCCTGCAAAGTCCTGCTCAAGGGCCAGCCCCCACATCCCCAGCTAGAAGCCGCCTCTCCTTCTGCAACGTTCTACTGCGGCTCTCCACCTCTCTTGGGACTGGAAGTGAGAAGCATTTTTCACGGTGGTTCACAAGGTCTCAGTGCAGATGGAAAACAGAGAGTAGGTGAGTTGGAGAGGGTGGCACAGACTGAACCCCAGACAAGAAGGCTGCCTGGGGACTCAGCCCTGGTCTGTTAGCAGTTACGGGTACCCAGAGCAGGAAAGCAATGCAGAAGGGTCACTTTACCCCAGGCCCCACCTGGAGCCCAGCTGGGGCTGTCCACCTGCTTCTTCATTTGTCTTTCCTCCCAGATCCACATCCTCGCCTCACATCAGGAAGGCCCAGTGCTCACTTTTACCCACCATCCGCCTCCTCCCAGTTGGGCGAGTAGCCCTGGCTGCTGCACAGGGTGCCTCCCGTATGCCAGGCACTCTGCTGGCTGCAGGGCAGCTTAACCTGCAGGGCGGTCAGGACAGACAGAATCTTTGCTTTTTCTTTTCATCTGATCAGGGACTTCTGTCTGATCAGAATTAGGTGTCTGGGCTGTCCCAGGCAATGCACGACAGTCACTGGGCTCTCCTCTCGAAGATTAACCCTTTCCAGATGGCCACAATGGTGGCGGCAGCCAAGCGCCCACCTCCACATAAGTCTTCCCTCTTCTGTCCAAGCCAAATCCACTCACAGGAAAGGATCTGGAACTACATGGAGCTAAGGAGTAATAACTAGAGACAGTTCACTAGGATCTCGTGTGGAGCAGGAAATCAAAGTTGGGGACTGCATCACACTGCTGCAATCCCTATTAAACATTTGTTGTTCAAAGTTCTTTCTCAATGGCCTGCTGGAATTTTTTTTCATTCTTCCTCTTTGGCCTGTCTTCCAGCAGTAGCACCAGCCTCCCCAGCTTCTCCCGTCTCCTCCTGGACTTCCTCATAGCTGTAGGCTTCCATGTTCTCAACTCTATTATTCAGAGGAGTTCAGCTCAGTCACGTCTGCGCCAGAGCTTTGATGACCCACCTGTCAGCCACACTAAGGGCCCTGCCATGAATAAGGCCTCCGTCACTGAGGATCCTGTACCCCTCTGCCATAAACTCAGTGACCTGACTGCCAGCCACCAGGCAGAACCTACTAGACTTCTCTAAAATAGATACCGTGGCCTCCTTCCTCAATCATAGTCAAGGTCTAAGCTTCCTTATCAAAGGCAGGCAGTCCTGGGTTTTACGGCAAGAAGTGTGCTTCCTATGTGCAAGGTGCTGTGGGGAAGGGCTGAGTGTGGAGGCCATGTGTGCAGGTCTTTAGGATTTTAGCTGAGCTGCCTTTTCTTGCAGTTTAAGAAAAAAACAGCCAGCCGTTCCCTCCTTGTAATAAATGCCTCTGCATATTTGAAGACAGTAGTTAGGTCATTCTTGAGCTTTCTCATCTTCAAACTAAACAACAGTGGCCCCTGTAACCTTTCCTTGGCAAATTGTAAGGCCCATATGCAGAGGAAAAGCAAAACAAAACCATCTGATGGGGAAGGCCTCCTATCTCTAACCAAGTGTCTGTTTTGAAATGCGGTCTGCACTCAGTCTTTAATTACATGTAAATTCAGTAGCTTCAAGTGTCTGAGCCAGTGGGAGACCAGGTGCTGCTCATCAGGCCCCTTGGATATGTTCATGCTGCAAGGCTGGGTGATAGCACTTGGCAGACGCTAGGATTTCTTCTCTTCAGATTCATTTTGGGGCAGGAAAAGGGGCTTCCGTGAGTGACCCAGGAGCAGTCAGCTGACACTTCCTCCCCAGGTTCCCTGAGGGTAGGATGGGCCCCAAGAGCCTCCAGAGAGCCTGTGGCCTGCTGGAAAGGCTGCCCTCTGCCTCCACAGAAGCCAGCAAGAGTGGCTTCCAGATGTCCCTGGTGGAGGCTGGCAGCCTCATCCTGCAGCCAGCGTCTCCCAGGGGAGGCTTCCTGCTGCTGCTAACTCAGAGACAGGGGATCTGCTAAGCGCCTGCCCTCGGTGGGGGTGTTCTGATCACATCAACTTCTTTCCCATGGTTCTTTCCAGGCTCCTTTCCCACATTTGCAGTGTGTTATCTTGGGAGACCCCATGTGTTAGTCTGTTTGTGTTGCTGGGAATACCTGAATCTGGGTAATTCTTTTTTTTTTTTTTTTTTTTTTTTTTTTTTTTTTTTTTAGACGGAGTCTCGCTCTGTCACCCAGGCTGGAGTGCAGTGGTGCCATCTTGGCTCACTGCAAGCGCCAACTCCCGGGTTCACACCATTCTCCTGCCTCAGCCTCCTGAGTAGCTGGGACTACAGGTGCCCGCCACTACGCCAGGCTAATTTGAGTCTGTGTAATTCTTAAAGAAAAGAGGTTTATTTGGCTCATAGTTCTGTAGGCTATAGAAGAAGCATGGTGCTGGGCACAGTGGCTCATGCTTGTAATCCCAGCACTTTGGGAAGCTAAGGTGGGTGGATAACGAGGCCAGTAGTTCAAGACCAACCTGGCCAAGATGACGAAACGCCATCTCTACTAAAAATACAAAAAATTAGCTGGGCTTGGCGGCAGGCACCTGTAATCCCAGCTACTCGGGAGGCTGAGGCAGAGAATTGCTTGAACCCAGAAGGTGGAGCTTGCAGTGAGCCAGGATCGTGCCACTGCACTCCAGCCTGGGCAACAGAGCGAGACTCCATAAAAAAAAAAAAAAAAAAAAAAAAGAAGAAGAAGAAGAAGCATGGCCACCGGCATCTGCTTCTGGTAAGGACTCAGGAAGATTTCACTCATGACCAGTCATGGTCAAAGGGGAGCAGGCATGTTACATGTGAGAGAGAGAGCAACAGAGAGAAGGATGGAGGTGCCAGATTAAAAAAATCCAATCTTGCAGAAATAAGTAGAGCAAGACTCCGTACCGTGGGGACGGCACCAGGCCCCTCATGAGGGATCCTCCTCCATGACCCAAACACCTCCCACTAGGGCCCACCTCCAGGACCCACTGGAGATCCCATTTCAATATGAGATTTGGGGTGAATGAACATCCAAACTGTATCATCCAAGGTCAGTGCGTTTCTCTGTCCTCCAGTTTTGCCTGCCATGAGCAGCTTTCCTGTGAGCCAGCTGTCCTTTTCGTCTCCAGGGTCATTTTCTTCCTTCAGTGCCCAGTGTTTGGACTTTAGGCTGACCTTCAGGATTGTGGAGTCACAGAACAAGCTCATATAAGTGTGTAAGCAGGCAGCAAATTTTTTAAAATAAAGAAAAAGTTATTTAGACTGTGCCAGTCAGTCTGTGTGCCATCCTAGCTACAACCCAGGGTGGATGCTGAGTGGAGGGTAGAGGAGTGCATCCCTCACTCTTATCTGTGCTTGTCCTTCTTGCATACTGCTGAGGCCAGGAGCACCTAGATTTGCCCCAGTGGGACTCACCTTTTTATTTATTTTTATTTTTATTTTTATTTTTATTTTTATTTGAGATGGAGTCTCACTCTGTCACCCAGGCTGGAGTGCAGTGGTGCGATCTTGGCTCACTGCAACCTCCACCTCCCGGGTTCAAGCAATTCTCCTGGCTCAGCCCCCTGAGTAGCTGAGATTACAGGCGTGCATCACCACGCCCAGCTAATTTTTGTATTTTTAGTAGAGACGGGGTTTCACCATGTTGGTCAGGCTGGTCTCGAACTCCTGACCTCGTGATCCACCCACCTCGGCCTCCCAAAGTGCTGGGATTACAGGCATGAGCCGCCATGCCTGACCTGGACTCACCTTTGAGGAGACACGGTTTTGGCCAAAATAGCTGTTAAGTACAAGTGTTCAACTGGTGCCCAACCAAAGGGAAAGCAATCTTTTCCAACAGTGAAGAAGAAATTGGTTGTGTCTGCTTTTCAACAGCAAGGGGGTGAGTCTCAAATATGGTGCCTCCATTAAGGTGTTCAATAATTTCAACTACATGAAAAATGTGCCTTGGGAATGACTTCAGAACTTAACCCTCCAGGGAGAAATGCCTCTACTGTATGGCCCCTGGCCTGGTCTCAGATTGGATCATAAGCTCCCTCATTCTTGTATCCCCATGCCCAAAACTGTGCCTGGCACTTAAGGGCCCATAATACATATTTTTGGCTTTGTTGAATAGTTTAACTCATTAGTGATGCAAAGTCCCAACTGCATATTTAGAGATATTTATGTGTGCACTACATTATGGATCGTATGGGTGAGAAGTAGGAACTCAAAGAGAATAAATCATACTTTCCCTCCCCAAAATGTTTATAAAGCCACCAAGAAGACAGGACATAGACACATCAAATATAAATAAAATACAAAAGGATGCACCCTGACATGCCAAATATGTGTTCACAGAAACAAAGTTCCTCTTGCCAAATTCCTGTTGTCTAAAGCAGTTTTTCCTAAAACATATTCTTCAGAATACCAGTTTCTCAGAGTGCCAATGTGAGGAAAAGCTTTGGTGGTCAGATGAGTGCAGGGCTGGGTTAGGCTGATTTCTTTACCAGAGGGCTTCCTGAAGACTTAAAGAAATCTGTATTGAGATATAATTTGTATAGCATAAAGTTCACCCACTTTAAGTAAACAACTCATTGGCTTTTAGTATAGAGTTGTGTATCCATCACCACAATGTCACTGCAGAATGTTTCCATCACCACCCAAAACACCTCATGCTGTTTGCAGCCATTTCCCATCCACTTCCTTCCTAGCCCCTGACAACCACTAATTTACCTTCTGCCTCTATAGATTTGCCTATTCTGGACATTTCATACAGATGGACTCATTTACTGTGTGATCTTTTGCGACCAGCTTCTTTCATTTAACTTAATGTTTTCAAGGTTCATCCACATTGTTGCATGTATGCACTGATGGACATTTGGGTTGTTTCCACTTTTTGGCTATCATAAATAACGTCATTATAAACATTCATGAGCAAGTTGTATTTGACCATATGTTTTCAGTTCTCTTGGGTCTATACAGAGGAGTGGAATTGCTGGGTCATATGGTAATTCTACATTGAGCTTTTAGAGGAACTCCCAGACTCTTTTCCAAAGCAGGTGCACTATTTTGCATTCCCACCAGCAGTGTACACGAGTTCCAGTTTCCCTACATTCTCACCAACACTTATTATTGTCTGTCCTTTTTTATTATAGCCATCCCAGTGGGTATGAAGTAGGTATGAAGTAGTACCTAATTGTGATTGTGATTTTGATTTTTGTTTCCCTAATGACTAGTTGTTTTGAGCATTTTTCATGGGTTCAGGGCCTTTGATATGTTGATTTTTTCACAAATCTTCAAAAGGGGACACAGTCGGCAGCAGTTCCTAAATGCGTTGGACCATGGAGCCAAACTTGCAAAAGCAGCTCCTGGAATGCAAGCGCGTACCCAAAAGCTGGGAAACATTGGCTGGAAACCAGCCTGTGCTGGAAATGTGAGTTTGGTGAATGTCCTTAGGTCATTACTTCTGCAAATTTTGCTCAAAGAAAGGGAATCTGAACTCTCCACTTTTGTACATTAAGATAATAATAATAATAATAATTTTATCCCAAGATATGGCACCCTGGCATGATGAATATTTTGAATTAAAGGCCCTTGGAGACAAGCAGATGCTGGAAAAGGCTTTTGGTTATCTGTATAAAGATTGGACCCACCAAGGACAGCAATTGCTTTCCATCTGTTCCCTGAAATCTCGTACCTGGATGGACCTTTTCACAAGATAATGTCTGTTTCTCAGGCTCATTAAAATTCAAAAGAGAATAATTAACAGGTTAGTTTCTGTCCCCCCTCCCCCACCATCTATTCATTCTCACTAATACTCATTTGTTGCCCCTAACAAGAATTACCTACATTCCCCACCTCCTCTCTTTCCTATGAGGCCTTGCTGAAGGTCACCACTGTGCCTTTACACTCACCCCCCTTCCTTTCCCTACTGCTTACCTGCCCCACAAGCCAGTCATGGCCTCTCCTCTGAGCCCTGTGAGAATTCTTAGAGGTTTTATCCTCAGTATAATTCAAATGTGTTCCCTTCTCCAATACCCAAAAACATGGTATGGGATTATTTTTTCAGTAAGGAGACAAATAGAAAGGAGGCCATTCAGGTCTTCTATATTTTAAGACCACAATCTTGACTGAACCTATAGGTGACCCAGTGTGCATAAGCTGCTATTTCCTGTCCTCCTAGTCATCTTTGTGTAGAATCAAAGACACCCACCTCCTTGGTACCTCTCATTTGTCACTTTTCAACACTTCCTGGCAGGCAGGCAGCATAACTGGTCCTGCTGGGTGATCCAGACCACACTCTGCAACTCTTTCTTCTGAGCCAGGCTCCCCTACTGTCTTTTCATTTATGTCAAGGCAGGGGAAGACCTCAAAGGGCTCTTGCATCCCAGTCCCACTTCCCAGAGAGGCACGAGGCCCTCCAGGATGTGGGGACAGGAACTTTGGGGCAAGCCGGGGTTGTCCAGAAGATCACCAGGAGGGCTAAATAGTAGAAAGGAGAGTCTTATTGGTGATATGTTTGCAAACTGGGAAAAGATAGCCTCCAGTGTGGAGCAAAGATGCTCCCTCTTCAAAGAGGGCAAGGGCAGCTTGGATTTTGTGCCTTACAGGGTCGGTATTATATAATAGAGTCATGCATATTCAGTAGGTTTGGGGGGAAAGCTATATATATTTATGAGGGGAGCCAACTACATGGGCAATGGATAAACATACATGTAACACATCCCATGTTCACTTAGGGGCAGGATTTTAGCATTAAAATGAGGTGGAATTTGGCTCTTTACATCAAAAGGTGAGCTATCAGACACAAAGGCAGTTTGTGCACAAGCTCTCCAAAGGGACTTGAGGGCTACAGCTGCTCATCTGGAAAGAATCCTTGTAAGACCAGTCCTCTGTCCAACCAGAGTTAGGAGGCGTCTGACAATTTGCCTGATTAGCTCTACTGTTGGGAGTTTAACAAGGGTGTGGTTTTTCTTGTAACCATAGGAATTTAGGGAGTTGCCACGCCAGCCAAGCCCTAAACCCTGGGCTTATAGGTAACTTTTTCCCTAACCTTAAGATCTGTCTTAGTTGGTAAAGGGGTGTCTATTTTGGTCTCTCAGATCACACTAGAAACCTCTCAAGTCCTGTATTCTTATTATAAAGCTGATTATAAAGCTTTACAATTTACTTTGTGATTACTGTAGCTTATCGTAAAGCAACTGTAATCAGTAGGATTGGTGTCAAGATGGGTACACAGATGGGTAGAAAAGAATTGAGAATCCAGAAATAGACTCATATTTACATGGTCAATTTATTTTTGACAAAGGCACCAAAGAAATTTAGCATAGAAAGTATAATCTTCATCAAATGATGCTGGAAAAATTGAGTAACTATATGCAAAAAAGAAAGAAAAGAAAGAAAAAAGTGAAAACCTCCACCTCCGTCATTACTTCATACCATATAAAAAATTAACTCAGAATAGATCATAGACATAAATGTAATAGCTAAAACTATAAAACTCCTAAAAGAAAACAGGAGAAAATAGAGAAAACCTTGGTGATCTTGGTTTTGGCAGTGATCTGTTAAATTCAATAGATAAAACACAAATTAGAAATAAGGTATTGACTGAACCTCATAAAAATAAAACATAAACTTTTGTTCTTCAAAAGACATTTAGGAAAATGAAAAGGAAAGCCCCAGACTGAGGTAAAATATTTGCAAAACATATATATAATAAAGGTTTTGTATCCAGAATGTATAAAGAAGTTAAGAAGAAAAGCAACATACTTTTTTTTTAGTTGACAAAAGATCTGAAAAAGACATCTCACCAAGTCGTTTGTAGGACTGGCAAATAAGTAAACAAGAAGAGGCCCAACACCTTTAGTCATTAGAGAAATGAAAACTACAACCACAGTGAGATAATAACACCCACTAGAATGGATGAAATTGAAAAGTCTGACCATATCAAGTGTTTGCAAGGATGTGGAACCAACAGGAACTCCATTCACAGCTAGTGGGAATGGAAAATGGTTTGACCATGCTGAAGAGCATTTTGTTGTTTTTTTAAAAGTTAAAAATATATCTACCATATGACTCAGTCATTCCACACTTGGTTATTTACACCCCACAAAAAATGAAAGCATATATTCACACAAAGGCTTTTAAACAAGTGTTCATAATAGCTTTATTTGTAATTGCCAAAAACCGAAAATCACCCAGTTGTACCCCAGCAGGTGAATGGATAAACCAATTGTGACGTAGTCATATAATGGAATGCTAACCAATAATTTAAAAAAGGAACAATTGATACCTATAACAGCATTATTGAATCCAATAGAATGATGCTGAATAAAAGAACATGGACAAAGAAAGAGCACATACTATATGATTTTAGTTACATAAAATTCTAGGAAGTGTACTAATCTATAGTAACAGCAAGCAGATCAGTATTTGCCTATTGGGGGAAGGAGTCGGACAGCAGCAGGGGAAGGGTTAAAGTCACATTTTAGTTTTAAAATATTCAGCATGTATTTTGGGCTACAAAATAGCACAAGGAAACTCTTGGGTGTGATGGACATGTTCATTATTTAATTGTTATGATAGTTTCAGAGACATAAACATAAAAAACTTCTCAAATACACACTTCCATTATGTACAATTTATTATGTGGCCATTATACTTCAATAAAACTGTCACGGAAGAACGACCCTTATCTTCTGGAGGTACATGCTGAATGTCTTACAAATAAAATTATCTAAGAACTGAAATTGGCTTCAAGGTAAAGCAGGAATGGGGTGAGAAGTGTGTGTGACGTGGACACAAGGGTGATATAGAAGATTGGCATCAAGTGACAGAAGTAGACGGTAGATTCATTTTTATATATGTTTGAAATACTACATTACAAAATGCCAGTAGAAAATCTGAGTCTAACCCTAAGAATGCAGTACATCCTGCTGCCATGTTTCTTTCTTTAGAGCTGAGGAGAGGCCTCTTTACTTTGGTCGGAAACCTCATTAGGTTTGATTTAGTTCAATAAAAATGTGTATAGGTGAAATAGTCCATACGAATTCATTACAATTGATGTGAAACAAAATTAATTAATAATTAATCCATGCAAGTCTTTTGGTAGCCTGCATTTTATCAAAGAAGGGACCCATGGCAAAGGCTGGGAAGGGACCTTTAACAGGGGAGCATGAGTTCCACGGCAGAGTTGCCCTCAAGTAATGCTTTGTAGATTGGTACAGCACATGTGCATCAAAGTAGTGAAAGGATTATGAAATGTGAATAAGGAGTTAGAAGGTGGACCTTGAAGTCCTCCTGGGTACCCATTTCCCCAAGAGTGAGCATCATTATTCTTCATTCCCATACTTCTACAGGATCAATGTTGCAGCCACAGTAGGTGGAAAATTCCAACTCTGCTAACAGTTGGGAGCGTGTCCCTCTAATGAGAGGACCTGTTCATGCAATTTTCTTGATGTCTGGTGAACGCTCCCACATTATATCTTCAAAAGACTTTACTACCTGAGAGGGTTTCATGCTAACTGCTGAGTAAAACCACCCAGTGCTGAGCACGCAGAGAAGGGAGTGGGGATACAGGTCCACCACAGCCCAGGCTTTGGAGTCTGCCAAAGCAGTCAGACAACGGTGGTCAGAAAAGGTGTATGAGTCACTCGACTGACTACTTAAATCCAAAGGAATTTGTTTACATGGACCAATCGTTTTAGTAAGATGGTTTGTTATGTGCCTTTATAATTTAACATATTAATTTTATTTAGACAATATTGGAAAAGATAATGCAATCCGGTGATCTCAGCAAAATTCTCTCCTCTATAAAAATAATGAGAAAAGTGACAAAAATAATCAGAATCAACTTTTTAGAACTCTGGAAATTTACCAAAGTGTTGCAGCCATCCAAGGATTGTTTGCTCAAGCAAAACAACTGAATTTCACCTAGAATAGTGAGGTTTGTGACATTTTAACTTGCCCCATTCGCATCACCCTTTCTCCAGCTTCATGGCAGCCTCGAAAACCAGCAGCCCCCAGTCACAGAGAAAACCCGTCTAGTGGTTCTCTGAAAGACCCCACTTGCAAGGCTGTCTTTATTTAATCTGACTTGGAGTTTGCCCAGTGTGAAAAGCCATTTCTTCAGGGGCATTTGTTAAAAACATTTAGAGGCAATTGTTTAACTTCACAGATGCTTGAGATAGTGGATAATAGTTGCAACAAACAATAGGCTAATTAAAAAGCTTAAAGTGAAAACTGGAGAATGGATGTTCATAGGGGCTTTGAAAAGCTCTGACATATTCTGGGAAATCTGGAAGGCCATGAGCAGGAGTAAGATAGGCTTTGCACATGCACAGAGCTGTGTGCAGGCTTGGAAAAGATCTTAGAAGGTCCTAAACCCTCGTCAATGGCTCCCTTAAAGTTCTGGACAAGAAGATATTGTCAAAATCTAAGTTTAAGGTGGAATTGTCAACTGCTTGGATGAGTGTGGAAGACATTCCCCAACATGCATGTAGAGCACCTCAGCAAAAACTTGGAGATGTAAACCAAAAAGAAAAATCTAAGGTCGTCCTACCCCAACCATCTGAATGGAACCCTCCTCTCTGTCAAGGGCATTCCAAAGTTTACCTGAAAAAGAAGTTCAGGCCATGATGGGAAGGCAGAGCTGGACAAACCTGGTAATACCCTCCTCCTTTCTGGAGTTACTAACAGAACAGACTCTAAATCTGATAAGAAACATTTACAATCTAGTCTGTCTGAAGCCTGCTACCTGGAGGCTTCATTTGCATGACAAAATCTTGGTTTCCACAACCTCTTATCATAACCCAGATATTCCTTTCTATTGATAGTAACTCTTTCAACCAATTACCAATCAGAAAACCTTTGAATCCGCCTATGATATGGAAACCCCCACTTCCACTTGTCCCACCTTCCTGGACTGAACCAATATACATCTTCCATGTATTGATTGATGCCTTATGTCTCCCTAAAATATGTCACACCAAGTTGTTACCCAACCACTTTGGGCCCATGTTCTCAGGATCTCCTAAATGCTGTGTCATGGGCCATTGGCCACTCATATTTGGCTCAGAATAAATCTCTTCAAATATTTTACATAGTATAACTCTTTTTCATTGACAGAGACTTACTAGTTCCTGATCCTTAAAGAAATTTCTCTCCAATCATTAGATGACCATTAAACTAACAAAGCAGAGACGTCAGTGGCTACACAAGACAAAGAATACAGACTTATAACACAATTACATCAGAAAAGTTACTAAAAAACAAAAACACCAACAAACTGTAAAAACAACATAACCTGAGGAGTAGAGAAAGAATCTGATTTTTTAAAGTTGCCACATTGCATTTTTAATGTCCAGTTTTAACAGAAAATTACAAGACATGTAAGGAAACAAGAAAATATGTCTCATACACAGGACAAAATCGATTAATAGAAACTGTTCCAGAGGAAGCCCAGACATAAAACTTATTAGAAAAAGTCTTTAAATTTAGTTCAAAGGGTTAAAGAAAACCATATCTAAATAACTAAAGGAAAGGATGAAAATGGTGTTTATCTAACACAGAATATCAGTAAAGAGATAGAAATGATAAAAAAAAAAAAGAATCAAATAGGAATGCTAGAGTTAAAAAGATAACTAAAAGGAAAATTTTAAGAGGAGCTCAACAGCAGATTTGATCAGGTGGAAGATATAATCAGCAATCTTGAACATTGTTCATTTGAGATTTTCCAGACTGAGAAACAGAAAGAAAAAAAAATTATGAAGAAAAATGAACAGAACCTCAGAAACCTGTAGATCTCTATGCTTGTTTTTCTCAGGTTTGTCAAAGATCAGATAGTTGTAGGTAAGCGGCGTTATTTCTGAGGGCTCTGTTCTGTTCCATTGATCTATATCTCTGTTTTGGTACCAGTACCATGCTGTTTTGGTTACTGTAGCCTTGTAGTGTAGTTTGAAGTCAGATAGTGTGATGCCTCCAGCTTTGTTCTTTTGGCTTAGGATTGACTTGGCGATGCAGGCTCTTTTTTGGTTCCATATGAACTTTAAAGTAGTTTTTTCCAATTCTGTGAAGAAAGTCATTGGTAGCTTGACGGGGATGGCATTGAATCTGTAAATTACCTTAGGCAGTATGGCCATTTTCACGATATTGATTCTTCCAACCCATGAGCATGGAATGTTCTTCCATTTGTTTGTATCCTCTTTTATTTCCTTGAGCAGTGGTTTGTAGTTCTCCTTGAAGAGGTCCTTCACATCCCTTGTAAGTTGGATTCCTAGGTATTTTATTCTCTTTGAAGCAATTGTGAATGGGAGTTCACTCATGATTTGGCTCTCTGTTTGTCTGCTCTTGGTGTATAGGAATGCTTGTGATTTTTGTACATTGATTTTGTATCCTGAGACTTTGCTGAAGTTGCTTATCAGCTTAAGGAGATTTTGGGCTGAGACGATGGGGTTTTCTAGATAAACAATCATGTCGTCTGCAAACAGGGACAATTTGACTTCCTCTTTTCCTAATTGAATACCCTTTATTTCCTTCTCCTGCCTGATTGCCCTGGCCAGAACTTCCAACACTATGTTGAATAGGAGCGGTGAGAGAGGGCATCCCTGTCTTGTGCAAGTTTTCAAAGGGAATGCTTCCAGTTTTTGCCCATTCAGTATGATATTGGCTGTGGGTTTGTCATAGATAGCTCTTATTATTTTGAAATACGTCCCATCAATACCTAATTTATTGAGAGTTTTTAGCATGAAGGGTTGTTGAATTTTGTCAAAGGCTTTTTCTGCATCTATTGAGATAATCATGTGGTTTTTGTCTTTGGCTCTGTTTATATGCTGGGAGAACAGAACAGAGCCCTCAGAAATAACGCCGCTTACCTACAACTATCTGATCTTTGACAAACCTGAGAAAAACAAGCAATGGGGAAAGGATTCCCTATTTAATAAATGGTGCTGGGAAAACTGGCTAGCCATATGTAGAAAGCTGAAACTGGATCCCTTCCTTACACTTTATACAAAAATCAATTCAAGATGGATTAAAGATTTAAACGTTAGACCTAAAACCATAAAAACCCTAGAAGAAAACCTAGGCATTACCATTCAGGACATAGGCGTGGGCAAGGACTTCATGTCCAAAACACCAAAAGCAATGGCAACAAAAGCCAAAATTGACAAATGGGATCTAATTAAACTAAAGAGCTTCTGCACAGCAAAAGAAACTACCATCAGAGTGAACAGGCAACCTACAACATGGGAGAAAATTTTCGCAACCTACTCATCTGACAAAGGGCTAATATCCAGAATCAACAATGAACTCAAACAAATTTACAAGAAAAAAACAAACAACCCCATCAAAAAGTGGGCGAAGGACATGAACAGACACTTCTCAAAAGAAGACACTTATGCAGCCAAAAAACACATGAAAAAATGCTCATCACTGGCCATCAGAGAAATGCAAATCAAAACCACTATGAGATATCATCTCACACCAGTTAGAATGGCAATCATTAAAAAGTCAGGAAACAACAGGTGCTGGAGAGGATGTGGAGAAATAGGAACACTTTTACACTGTTGGTGGGACTGTAAACTAGTTCAACCATTGTGGAAGTCAGTGTGGCGATTCCTCAGGGATCTAGAACTAGAAATACCATTTGACCCAGCCATCCCATTACTGGGTATATACCCAAATGACTATAAATCATGCTGCTATAAAGACACATGCACACGTATGTTTATTGCGGCATTATTCACAATAGCAAAGACTTGGAACCAACCCAAATGTCCAACAATGATAGACTGGATTAAGAAAATGTGGCACATATACACCATGGAATACTATGCAGCCATAAAAAATGATGAGTTCATGTCCTTTGTAGGGACATGGATGAAATTGGAAACCATCATTCTCAGTAAACTATCGCAAGGACAAAAAACCAAACACCGCATATTCTCACTCATAGGTGGGAATTGAACAATGAGATCGCATGGACACAGGAAGGGGAATATCACACTCTGGGGACTGTGGTGGGGAGGGGGGAGGGGGGAGGGATAGCATTGGGAGATATACCTAATGCTAGATGACGAGTTAGTGGGTGCAGCGCACCAGCATGGCACATGTATGCATATGTAACTAACCTGCACAATGTGCACATGTACCCTAAAACTTAAAGTATAATTAAAAAAAAAAAATTTTTCAAAAAAAAAAAAATTTTGTCTCTAAAACAGGTAACAATTTGAATGAAGAAAACAAAAATTTAATGAATGGCATAAAAATAAATTTCAAGAAAATGAAAGGTGTGTATGATGACTTAATTAAAAGAATGTAAAGGAAAAAAAAAAAAAAAGATTTTCCAGAGTAGCTACTTGTCTCTGCCATAGAATTGTTAGATAGTTTACTGTAGGTGGACTGTAAATAAATGTTTGCTTAGTTCTAACATTTGACTGATATTGGGTTGATCCTTTGAGACTTGGTATATTGTGGATATGCCTAAAGTTTCTTTTTCTACCAAAGATGTGTTGTAATCTATGTCATTACAGAAGTAGGAGAGGGAAGGAAACTACCATTAAAATCAGTACTTAGGAGCCCAGGCACTGTTCTAGATGTTTGCA
Organism: Homo sapiens; assembly: GCF_000001405.40. Taxonomy (NCBI): domain Eukaryota; kingdom Metazoa; phylum Chordata; class Mammalia; order Primates; family Hominidae; genus Homo; species Homo sapiens. Next base: position 87,700,782 of record NC_000002.12, read on the forward strand.
TATATTAATATGATTTCATTTCATCTTTACAGTAACCTAGAAGAAAGATATTTAAATAATGACTTTCCAGATCAAAAAATGAGTTTTGATGGCTTTTCTCAGTTTTCATAATTGGCAGAACTGATTTCTGAATCCTTTAAGTTGATCAGTTGACAGGAATGCATTTATGATTTTTATCTTTTCTTTTGGGGTTACTTTTCAGTTTGACTTTGAAGGATCACTTTCCCCTGTCATTGCGCCCAAAAAAGCCTTCCGAGACTGGATCTGATGATGTAAGCATTATTATTTCTTGCTAATATAAATTAATTTATGGATATTCATACTATTCTTCCACTTCTGTGGTATTCCTATCAATTCCTCTATCTTTCCAACACCTTTCACTTTATTTATTTTAATACTGAATAGCAATTATTTTGAAGAGTAGGATCTGTTACATTTTCTATGGTCTTTAATGATTATCCAAAAATTAATGTATGTATTACTGCATGATTTCAGTTTGGGTTTGTAGACATTTTATTATCAACTGATCACCTGAAATGACAGCATTTACCTTTTTTATGCAGTGTTTTTTAAATTAAGGTTCTCAATCGTATCAGGTTCCATGGTATATTCCTTTTTTTTTTTTTTTTTTTTTTTGAGACGGAGTATCGCTCTTGTTGCCCGGGATGGAGTGCAGTGGCACGATCTGAGCTCACTGCAATCTCCGCCTCCCAGGTTCAAGCAGTTCTGTCTCAGCCTCCTGAATAGCTGGGATTACAGGCGCCCGCCACCATGCCTGGCTAATTTTTGTAGTTTTGGTAGAGACAGGGTTTCACCATGTTGGCCAGGCTGGTCTCGAACTCCTGACCTCAAGTGACCTTCCTGACCTTGGCGTCCCAAAGTGCTGGGATTACAGGCATGAGCCACTGCACCTGGCCTCCATGGTATTATTCTTAAGTGGTCCAAATATGTTTTTTTAAATTGTGGTGTAATTTACAAAAATGAAATACATCTTGAGTTTACAGTTTGATCAGTTTTAATATATGCACACTCATGTAACCTACACTCCTATAAAGACACAGAATATTTTTATAACTCCGTAAAATTTCCCCGTGCGGTTTTTTTTTTTTTTTTTTGAGACGGAGTCTTGCCTTATTGCCCAGGCTGGAGTGCAGTGGCACGATGTCGGCTCTTCACCTCCTGGGTTGAAGCTATTCTCCTGCCTCAACCTCCTGAATAGCTGGGATTATAGGCATGCGCCACCACGCCTGGCCAATTTTTGTATTTTTAGTAGAGATAGGGTTTCACCATGTTGGTCAGGCTGGTCTTGAACTCCTGACCTCGTGATCTGCCCACCTCGGCCTCCCAAAGTTCTGGGATTACAGGCATGAGCCACTGGGCCTGGCCCCTCTTGCTGTTTTTAATCAGCTTTATTCTCTTCTTCTAGCAATCACTGATCTGAATTCTGTCACCATATCTTAGTTATGCCTGTTCTAGAACTTGATGTAAATAAAATAATATAGTATGTAATCTTTGGTATAAGATTTATTCAGCATAATGCTTTTGAGATTCATTCATGTTGTTACAGATACCCGTAGTTTGTGCTTTTTTATTGCTGAGTAGTATGAATATACCATAGTTTGTTTATCCATCCTTCTTCTGCTGGTAGATATCTAGGCTATTTCCATTTTTTTTTTAAGTCTTATGAATAAAGCAAGCTACTGCCAAAATTCACTGGCAAGTCTTTGTGGATATATATTTTCTTTTTTTGGGGGGGGGGAGGACAGAGTCTTGCTGTGTCATCCAGGCTGGAATGCAGTGGCACGATCTCGGCTCACTGCAACCTCTGACTCCTGAGTTCAGGCAGTTCTCATGCCTCAGCCTCCCCAGTAGCTAGAATTACAGGTATGCGCCACCATGCCTGGCTAATTTTTGTATTTTCAGTAGAGACTGGATTTTGCCATGTTGGCCAGCCTGGTCTCAAACTCCTGGCCTCAATAATCCACCCATGTTGGCCTCCCAAAGTGCTGAGATTACAGGTGTGAGCCACCATGCCTGGCCCGTGGACATACATTTTCATTTCTTTTTTTTTTTTTTTTTTTTAAGAGACAGGGTGTCACTCTTTTGCCTACGCTGGACTGCAGTGATGCTATCGTGGTTGACTGTAATCTCGAACTCCTAGGCTCAAGCCATCCTCCTACCTCAGCCTCCAAGTGGCTAGGACTACCGGTATGCTCCATCATGCCTGGCTAATTTTTAAGTAAGACCAGTTGTCTACCAAAAAAATTTGAAAATTAGCCAGGCATGATGGCACATAACCTGTAGTCCTAGCTACTTGGAGGCTGAGTTTGGAGGATGTTAAACACTCTTTCATGTGCTCATTAGCTGCTTATGTATCTTTTTGTGAAGTTTCTGTTCAAATCTTTATCAACTTGTAAATTAGATTTTAAAAAATATGTAAGCTGGTGAAGTTCTTACATGTTCTAGACATGAATTCTTGACCATATTTTCCCTTAGAATGTGGCTTTAACAGTGTCTTTGATGAGCAGAATTTTTTATTTTAGTTATCCAATATATCAGTTTTTTATTTTATTTTATTTTATTTTTGAGATGGAGTCTCGCTCTGTTGCCCAGGCTGGAGTGCAGTGGCATGATCTCAGCTCACTGCAAGCTCCGCCTCCCAGGTTCATGCCATTCTCCTGCCTAAGCCTCCCCAATAGCTGGGACTAACAGGTGCCCGCCACCACACCCAGCTAATTTTTTTGTATTTTTTTTAGAAGAGATGGGGTTCCACCGTGTTAGCCAGGATGGTCTCGATCTCCTGACCTCGTGATCCACCCGCCTCGGCATCCCAAAGTGCTGGGATTACAGGCATGAGCCACTGCACCCGGCCCAGTTTTTTCTTTTATGGTTAGTTCTTTCTGTATCTAGTCCAAGAATTTTTAATTTAGAATAACACACTGTATTAAGCCTTATAAAAACACCAGTAAATTCCAAGACCTGGAAATAGCATAAACCACATTCTCTGAACCAAATGCAGTAAATCACAAGTAGAACCAAAATAGACTGAACATTTGGAAAATGTAGTCCAATCAGTCTGAATATAAAAATCAGTTGATTATTAGATTATATTAGTAGCCCTGGCATCTTATACATGTGGAAAGATGAATACACCAGATGAATGCAGGTGGACCTTCCTTCTTACCAAAACACAGTTCAGTGTAGTGGCCACTAACTTGCCATCTACTTTTCCTATAAAACCTAGCCTGAGATAATCTTAAATTTTCTCTCTCAATCTCTACCTAAATTGTATAATTCTTCTCCCAATGTCTTTCCTAAAAGGGCATGAAAAGATTTTTTTTAATGGTTTTTAAAGGTGGCTTGCCTTAACGTTTATAACTGGCTTGCTATTTTATAGTTACTTCATTCTTAGCATTGTCTTTTTTTTAACATACTCTTAGATCAACTTAATGTGAAAATGAAACTTGAATTGTTTTAAGTGAATTAATTTTCTTATGATATTATAAGGAGGTATTATTTTTAAAAATTAATATTCTTTTTATTCTTCTCAGGACTGGGAATATTTACTAAATTCAGACTACCACCAGAGTGTTGAGTCTCATCTTTTGAACAGATCTTTATGTCTGAGTCCTTCAGAAGCTTCACAGATGAAGGATGAGGATTTTTCACAGAATCTCAGTCTGGATTCTTCTACACTTCTCTTTACTCACATACCTGCAATTTTTTTCGTTCTTCGCCTTGTGTATGAGGAGCTTAAGTTGAATACTCTAATGGGAGAAGGAATTTGTTCACTCTTGAACTTCTCGTTCAGTTGGCAAGGTAAATTTGTTTGTAGGTTAGAAACTGCCAGGAAGTCCTGAGATGACTGTCTTTTCCATGATATCATATAGGGACCTTGTAAATACGTTTCTGAAATCTGCCTTCTCTGAAAACTATGGCATCTCTGTAAACCACAGAGTTGTTTGAAGATACTGGTTTTGTAAGGGCCTGTGAGCCATGCAGGGATTTTTAGTCTTTGTCCTGAGATTAGTGGAAGGTCACGAAAAAATGGAGATGACCTGCTCAGATTTTCATTTTGACAGGATGACTGACTGACTATACTGTGGTGGGAGTTCTAGAATAACATCTGCTGTTTTGTAATATCCACATTCAAATAGTGCTTTATAGTTGACAAAATCATAGTTTACATATAAAGTCTCAAACAAGGTAAGTTTCCTATTTTAGTGATGAGGAAACTTGCCTAAATTTGTTTCCTGGGATATGAGTGTTTGATAGTTGTGGACTCATTTTGCTATGCTATCCTTGTTGCAGTCTGAGGTTGTCCCTGTCTTTGAGGCACTCATAGTAGATCCACAATAAGATAGTTCTAATAATACGTTTCAACACCTTTCAAGAGCTTTGAAGCACCTTGTGTATGGCTCAGAATTCTAGGGTCATACTTGTGTGTTGTTTGACCTTTATGACCTTTGGTGATAAAGAAGTTGAATTTGAATTGAAATGTCAGCCTCTGAGTTAAGACATAGTACATTTTCTAATTTCTGTTGTCTTTTTTGAGATCTTGAAATTCAATCCTGAGACATGGCAGTTTTAATCAATGGTAAATATCTCTTAGGATGTCATTACTATCATCAAAATTATTTTGTAATTAAATAATTTCCAAACCATAATCATGGCTGTCTGAAATAAGTAATGTGTATGATGTTTTACATTTTATCAGGTTTTTTTTTTTTTTACATATTTTATCTTATTTACTCTTTAAAACTTCAGAGTAAGTGAGCTGATATTGCCCCATTTCCTAGAAGAAAATACTGAGGTTTATAGACATGACTTATGGAAGATCACACAGCTAATGAATAGCAGAGGAGGAACTAGATCATGGTGCTTTTACTGTAGTTTTACTTCCACAAAATTTAGCAAAAAGAGGTTGGGTTCCATTTGTCACACTGGGCACTTTAAAGTCCAAAAATACAATAGAGAGACTCTAGATTTGGTTATCTTTCTCATAAGTAAGTTTTTAAATTTAAAGATTCAACTAATTAATCCTTCCAATTCTGTTGGGAGAAAGTGCTGTAATACCTTCTTTTTTGCATGCCTTACTTACTTAAAATTGGGGCCTTATGTAGATCATTACTATAGAGACTACCCAACGCTTGTCAGAACTACTGGACAAGTGTGCACAATTGATCCAGGTAAGTAGTCGTGCTTTTAAATATTTTCTAAACAGTGTAGTGATATTTCCTTGTATTTTTCTCAATGAATAGCAGAGGATGTATTTCTTACCATTAGCTTCTAAGTCAGGGGCAATGCCTTTCCACCAGGCAGATTTTAGTTCGTAGTGCTTGTTTTCTGACACGTAGTAAGCCATAATATCTTCAGTGTATAGGGAAAATTTTACCCATCCCTAAGGTTCTGACTTGCAAAAGTCAGAGAAAGAGCTTCCAGTGTCAAGGATGCTTTTTTTTTTTTTTTTTTTTGAGACGGAGTCTTGCTCTGTCACCCAGGCTGGGGTGCAGTGGCGCGATCTCGGCTCACTGCAAACTCTGCCTCCTGGGTTCACGCCATTCTCCTGCCTCAGCCTCCTGAGTAGCTGGGACTACAGGTGCCCGCCACCATGCCTGGCTAATTTTTCTGTATTTTTATTAGAGACGAGGTTTAATCGTGTTACATAGGATGGTCTTGATCTCCTGACCTCATGATCCACCCACCTCGGCCTCCCAAAGTGCTGGGATTACGGCGTGAGCCACTGCGCCAGGCCGCCAAGGATGCTTTTAACTTAGACTTGTAGAGTACAGTTAGTACCACTAACCATATGCTACTTAAATTCAATTAAAATAAAACATATATTTCCTCAGTGTACTAGCCGCATTTTGAGAACTCAGTAGCCACATGGGGCTAGTGCTACCATATTGGACAGTGCAGATACAGACACAGAACATTTCCATCACTACTGTACTGTCCTAGACCCTGAGCTAAAGGTACTGAAATTTGGGACCCAGTTGTTGGAACAGAGCTGAATCCTGGATGTTTCTTTTGTTTTTTTCACCTTTAGGGTTAGGGCAAAATTTTTGGTTAGATTCTTCTTCTTCTTCTTTTTTTTTTTTTTTTTTTTTGAGACAGGGTCTCACTCTGTCACCCAGATGGGAGTGCAGTGGTACGATCTTGGCTCACTGCATCCTCTGCCTTCCAGGCTCAAGCGATTCTCCTGCCTCAGCCTCCCAAGTGCCTGGGATTGCCTGGGCTTATAGGTGTGTGCCACCACGCCTGGCTAATTTTTGTATTTTTAGTAGTGATGGGGTTTCACCATGTTGGCCAGGCTGGCCTTGAACTCCTGACCTCAAGTGATCCACCTGACTCAGCCTCCCAAGGGGCTGGGATTACAGGTGTTAGCCACCACATCCAGCCTTTGGTTAGATTCTTTATATGCCTTGGGAACAAGAATTTGCTAAATTTCCATCCAGGGTGGGATAAAATAGAAGTCATTTAAATTCTACATTTAATAACATAGTTCCTTATGTACTGTGGCAGAAAACATGAAGCATTTTGGAGAATATGGAAAAACGTTATTCCTTTTTTTTTTTTTTTTTTTTGAGACACAGTCTCGCTCTGTCTCTTAGGCATGATCTTGGCTCACTGCAACCTCCACCTCCTGGGTTCAAGTGATTCTTCTGCCTCAGTCTCCCAAGTAGGTGGGACTACGGGTGCGCACCACCAGGCCCAGCTAATTTTTTTTCGTATTTTTAGTAGAGACGGGGTTTCACCATATTGGCCAGGCTGTTCTTTAACTCCTGACCTCATGATCCACCTGCTTGGGCCTCCCAAAGTACTGGGGTTACAGGCGTGAGCCACTGCACCCGGCTGGAAAAATATTATTCTAGTTGTTTCAAAATGACAAGTAACTGTTGATCATCTTCCGTTTAAAATAAAATAATGTTGTCTTAATGTATTTTCGTGTCTTTTTGAATATTTATCTAATTTTAAAGGTCAAACAGGATTTATGCATCATCCATCATTTTTTACGTCTGAGCCACCAAGTATTTATCAGTGGGTGAGTTCTTGTCTGAAGGGCGAAGGAATGCCGCCTTATCCTTACCTCCCTGGAATCTGTGAAAGAAGCAGACTTGTAGTCTTGGTATGTATGTGGAGTGTTACTACCTATCTCCTTTTTCTTTTAAAATTTAGTTTTAAAAAGTACACCTAATATTAAGTTTTTCTTCTGTGTATAGTTCTGTGAATTTCAGTACGTGTATAGATTCATGTAATTACTACAATGAGGATATAGAACATTTACATCACCCTCAAAAATTTCTCTCATGATTTTGAGACTCATCCAAGTTGTTTCCTGTATCGACAGTTCATTGCATTCTATGGCTAATTAGTAGTTTATTGCATGAATGTGTCATAGTTGGTTTTTCATTCAAGATAATTGGGTTGATTTCAGTTGTTAGCAATTGTAAATATAGATGCTGTCAGCATTCATGCTTAGCGTTTTATGTGAACATAAGTTTTGCTTTCTCTAGGACAGGTACCTAGGAGTAGGATTGATGGGTCATACAGTTAAGTTTATATTTTGTTTTTAAAGAAACTGTCATCTGTTTTCCAGAGTGGCTCTTCCATTTTACATTTTTACCAGCAATATTTAAGAGATCATTTACCTGCATTCTTGTTGGTATTTGGTATTGTCACTCTTTTTTATTTTTGTCTTTCTGAGAGATGTGTAGTTATACCTCATTGTGGTTTTAATTTGCATTTTCCTAATGGCTAATGATGTTTTCAGCGTTCTAGGTATGAGGTTTTGTCAGATATGTGGTTTGCAGATATTTTCTTCTGGTTTCTACCTTGTCTTGTCTCGTCATTCTCTTAATACATCAAAGAGCAAAAGTGTTTAATTTTGATGAAGCTAGTTTATCTGTATTTTTCTTTAATGGATGTTGCTTTTAGTGTCATGTCTAATAATTCTTTGTTTAACTTCAGGTTTTGAAGATTTTCTCCTGGGTTTCTTTGCATGTTTTACATTTAGATCTCTAATCCATTTTGTTAATCTTTTATAACATGTCAGGTTTTAAGTCAAGGTTTTTATTATTTCATTTGGATATCCAGTTCTTTCAGCACTGTTTTTTGAAAAGACTATCCTTCCTCTATTGCATTTGCACTTTTGTCAAAAGTTAATTTGGCCACATTCTTGTGTGTCTGTTTCTGGACTTTCTATTCTGGTTCATTGATCTTTGTGGCTGTCTACGCTGTCATTACTGTAGCTTTATAGTAAGTCTTTAAAATTGATTAGCGTTACTCCTCCCTTCATTACTCTTCTTGCCTTTTCATATTGATTTTATTTTTATTTTTATTTTTGAGACAGAGTCTCACTCTGTTGCCTAGGCTAGAGTGCAGTGGAGTGATCTCAGCTCACTGCAACCTCCACCTTCTGGGTTCAGGCGATTCTCCTGCCTCAGCCTCCCAAATAGCTGGGATTACAGGATCCCACCACCACGCCCGGCTAATTTTTTGTATTTTTAGTAGAGACGGGATTTCACCATATTGGCCAGGCTGGTCTTGAACTTTCAACCTCAAGTGATCCGCCTGGCTCAGCCTCCCAAAGTGCTGGGATTACCGGTGTGAGCCACCGCGCCCGTCCCCTACTGATTTTATAATCCGCTTGTCTATAGCTACAAAGAAAAATCCTGCTGAAATTTTTTTCAAAGAAACACTTCTTTATTTATTTTTATTATTTTTTATTTACCTCTAGCTGCAAATCTCATGATTTATTTATTTTTAGAAATTAGTTTGTTATTACTGGTTAATACATGTCCAAGATCAAACCTTCATATAGAACCATAGGGCTGTAACGGTGAATGAGGTAAGTTTCTTGGCATACCTGTTCCTCAGTCCCCCCATCCTGGAGCAGCCTGCTCATAGGCCCCTTGTGGGCCTTTTCAGGTGGGGTCTTCCCAGGCTTGCAGGAGAACCATATGCTTTTGTCCCTTCTCTCAAATGTTGGCAGACTGCAAATGTCTTTGCCCCCTGCCCTTCTTTTTCTTTACTCTACGTTTTGCTCTGCTTCATGGTGAGAAGTGCTTCAGAGTCCCCCCATGGCTCCAAAACAGACATACAGAATGATGATTCTGTTTAAAAAACACAGATTTTTTTAATGATAGCAAAATATATATAACATAATATTTGTCATTGAAATTGTTATTATTATTATTTCTTGAGATGGAGTCACTCTGTTGCCCAGGCTGGAGTGCAGTGGCACGATCTCGGCTCACTGCAACCTCCGCCACCTAGGTTCAAGCGATTCTCCTGCCTCAGCCTCCCGAGTAGCTGGGATTACAGGCATGAGTCACCAAGTCTGGCTAATTTTTGTATTTTTAGTAGAGATGGGGTTCACCATGTTGGCCAGGCTGGTCTTGAACTCCTGACATCAAGTGATCTGCCCACCTTGGCCTCCCAAAGTGCAGGGGTTACAGGCGTGAGCCACTGCGCCCGGCCTGAAGTTATTTTTGAGTGTACAATCCAGTGGCATTGAATACGTTCACATTGTTATGTTGCCATCACCACTGTCCGTACCCAAGACTTTTTCATCATCCCCAACATAAACTCTGTACCTATTAGAGTGACTCCCCATTCCCCTTCCTTCCAGGCCCTGGTAATTCCGTTCTCTTTCTTATGAATTTGTCTCTTGTAAGTACCTCATATTATGGGAATCAAGCAATATTTATCTCTGTGTCTGGCTTATTTCACTTAGCATAATGTTTCCAATGTTCACCCATATTGTAACATGTATCAAAATTACATTGTTTTAAAGGCAGTATTCTATATAGTATTCCATTGTATGGATATACCACAATTTATCATTTCACCTGATGATGGGCATTTGGGTTGTTTCCACCTTTTGACTGTGGAATAGTGCTGCTGTGAACCATGGGTATGCAAATATCTGTTCAAGTCTCTGCTTTCAGTTCTTTTTAATATATACCTGGTGGTGGAATTGTTGGGTCATATGGTAGGTAATTCGATGTTTAACTTTTTGAGAAACTGCTAAACTCATTTTCATAGTGGCTATACCATTTTACATCCTTATCAGCAATGCAAGAGGAAGGGTTCCAATTTCTCCACAGTCTTGCCAACACATATTATTATTTTCTATTTGTTTTTTTAAAAATTATAGCCATCCTAGTATTTATGAAGTGATATCTCATTGTTTTGATTTGCCTCCTTAATGATTAGTGATATTGAGCATATTTTCATGTGTTTATTGGCCATTTACGTATCTTCTTTGAAGAAATATCTATGCAGATCTTTTGTGTATTTGAAAATTGGATTTTTATTTTTGAGTTTAGGCATTTTTATGCTCTAGATATTAATGTGTCAGATACATGATTTGCAAATATTTTCTCCCATTCTATAGGTTTTTCTGTGAATGTCTTTTCAGTAAAACTGGCATGAGTGCTCAGTTTACCTCTCTGGCCTTTCATCTTAGTTTTATCCTCTTGGTATTCCTTTATAACTTGTCAGCTCAGAGATCTATTTATAAAAATATGAATTTATTTTTATTTATAAAAATATTCTGAAAAATATCAACAGAAGCCCTTATTGATAGGTTTTTGGTTTCGTCATTATAAGTTTTATTGGACTTTTTTTACTTTTATTTTTTTTATTTGAGACAAGGTCTTACTCTGTCACCCAGGCTGGTGTGCAGTGGTGCAATCATGGCTCACTGCAGCCTCAACCTCCCGGGGCTCAAGCAGTCCTTCCACCTCAGCCTCCTGAGTAGCTGGGACCACAGGTGCACACCATCACACCCGGCTAATTTTTGTATTTTTAGTAGAGATGGGGTTTTGCCATGTTGCCCAGGTTGGTCTTGAACTCCTGACCGCAAGTGATAAATTTTTTTTATGTGATGTTAGCTAATGAGACATTTGTAGTAACCTTCTAGCTTATGGTGGCTCTTTTTCTATTGACTCACTTGTATATGCGGAGATGGCATTGTCTGTGTACCATTTGTTGAAATGAGGGAAAGGAAGGAAGTGAGATAACATTTATTGGGAGCCTGTTGTCTTCAAGGAACTTCATGTATGTTTTCTCATTTAATACAGAGATCTTATGTACTTTTGTGTTTGTGTTATATGTTGAATATTTTAACTCTTTTGAGAGACTTTTTCCTTGGTCTTATCTTTTTCTTTTCCTCCTCAAAGCAAATACCACTACAGCTCTGTACTACTAGATACTTCTTAGATAGTGAGAGAGCACTATTCGATACCTGTTGGAATGACTGAAAATAACTTTTGGTGAGGATGTGGAGCAACCGAAACTCTCATACATTACTGGTGGGACTGCAAAAGTGGCACAGCACTTTGGAAAACTGTTTGGCAGTTTCTTGTGAAGTTAAACATACACTTATATAAGACAAATTCCAACTCCTTGGTATTTACTTAAGAGAAATGAAAACATATGCCTACATAAAGACCCGCATGTATGTGAATGTCTTTGGGGCCAGGCGCGGTGGCATAATCTCAGCACTTTGGGAGGCCGAGGAGGGCGGATCACGAGGTCAGGAGATCGAGACCAACCTGGCCAACATGGTGAAACCCTGTCTCTACTAAAAATACAAAAATTAGCTGGGCGTGGTGGCGCATGCCTGTAATCCCAGCCACTCTGGAGGCTGAGGTGGGAGAATCGCTTGAACCCAGGAGGTGGAGGTTGCAGTGAGCCAAGATTGTGCCACTGCACTCCAGCCTGGCAACATAGCGAGACTCCGTCTCAAAAAAAATAAACAAATAAAAAATAAAGCAGCTTTGGTCATAGTGACCACAAACTGGAACCAAATGTTCATCAGTTTTTGAGTAGGTAAACAAAGTTTGGTATGTCTGTATAATGGAATACTACTCAGCATGAAAAGGAAGAAACTAGTGATCCTTGGAGAGATGTGAATGAATCTCAAAGACTTATGCTAAGTTAAAGAAGTAGCACAAAAAAGACTACGTATCATATGATTCATTTACATGATATTGTAGGATAGACAAAACTGTAGAGCAAGAAAACAGATGAATTGTTTCCAGTGCTGGGTGTAGGAGGAAAGGATTGACTACAAAAGGAACGAGGGAGCTTTTTGGTATGATGAAAGTATACTATATTGTGAGTGTGGTAGTGGTTATGTGATATAACATTTGTCGAAACTCACAGAGCTGTACACCTAAAATGGACGAATTATTCTATGTTATAATTATTTTCTAGTTACACTTCAATTATGTAGCTAGGTGTGGTGGCTCATACCTATAATCCCAGCAGTTTGGGAGGCTGAGGCAGAAGGATTGCTCGAGGTCATGAGTTTGAGCCCAGCCTGGGCAACACAGCAAGACTCTGTCTTTACAAAAAATAAAAATAATATAAAAGAATTAGCTGGGCATGGTGGTGTGTGCTTGTAGTCCTAGCTACTCTGGAGACTGAAGCAGGAAGATTGCTTGAGCCAAGGAGTTTGAGGCTGCAGTGAGCTGTGATTGTGTCACTGCACTCCATCCTGGGTGACAAAGTGAGATGCTGTCTCTGGAAAGAGAAAAATAATGTTAATTTTCTTCTTTTGCAGAGTATTGCACTGTACATACTTGGTGATGAGAGCTCAGTTTCTGATGAATCCTCACAGTATTTAACCAGAATAACTGTAGGTAAGTTGGTGCAATGTTGCCTCTGGAATCAAATTTTTGTAGATGTCAGTATCAGAATTGAAAAAAGAATTGAATTTTTCTTGTTTGCTTTGGCGGCCATGTCTTACCTTTTTAGTACTGTTCTGGTCTGTTGCGGTCTGTTGTCCACAACTAATTTTCAGGTATCAGGATTACTTAAAATCTAATAAATCTTGTATTTTCAGTGCGGGTAAAAAGGACTATTTTAGCCTGAAGGAAATTATTGTACCATTGACTCTTGAACAACATGAGTTTGAGTTGTGTGGGTCCACTTACAATGAAATTCTTTTCAGCCAAATGCAGATAGAAAATGCAGTATTCTCTGATGTGAAATGCATATGCAGGTTCTGCAGGGCCAATTGCAGGACTTGAGCATGCACGGATTTGGGTACACATGGGGTGTCCTAACCAGTCCCCTGAGTATTCTGAGGGCCTTGACTGTACTTTTCAGCCTGCCACAGTATTGCTTATTTTATTATTTTTTTAGATGTTGTTTGCTAATGGATTCTTATTTTCAAATGTCTTCTACATGTTACATGTTTTCTTTACCAGGATGACTATCAAAATTAAGTTTCATTTTGTTGCCTTTTAGCCCCCCAGAAGTTGCAAGCAGAACAAGAGGAAAACAGGTGACTTTTATTTAGACTGTGCTTTTATGTCAGACACTTAAAACAATATTATTTACTGTTCTGCTTAATTACTTTATGTTTTATTCTCTTATAGGTTTAGTTTCAGGCATTCTACGTCTGTTTCTAGTCTAGCTGAAAGATTGGTTGGCTGGATGACTAATGTAGGTGAGAGCTTCTTTGTTACCTCCTAACTAGGCCGTGCTTCCTCCAGACTAGCTAGAAGTGGAAGGCATGAGGAGAGAGGGGCTCTGGCTTTGTGAAAAGGCCTCACAAGATTGAGATTATGGTTCATCAAGCCATATTCTTTTTTCTCGACAATCTCACAACTTTCATATAATAATATGTGGGATACCAGCTTTTTATCTTGGTGCATAAGGAATCTTTATTTGCCATTACATTGGAACATTTGAGGCTATGGCTATGTAAGCTGGTCTCTGAGAATGGAGAACTCTAATTACCCTACATATACACCTGAAATCATTGTGATACTCAGATATCAGAAATGGGTGGTTTTGGCAAAGTCTAAAAGCAATAATATAAACATTTCAGGGTATACTTTTGAAGGATAAATGCACTTTTGAAGGGATTTCAGGCACCAAGATGAACATTGAACTGGGAAGAGGAAGAGGAAGGAAAAGCGTTCTATATTCCCTATTCCCCAAACCTATGCTCCTAGGTTTTAAATTAAGTAAAATACCAAAGAAATTTTTTTTCACAAAGAACTGAAAAACAAAATTAAAAATTACTGCCACGAAGACATGATTTTAAAGATGAGGATATTATATGGGATGTATGTTAAAAAGTAAAGTTTTAATGAATATTAAAAGATGTTTTTGAAGTCTTATCTAAAGTATGTTCTAAATGAAGTTTCTGACAGGTTTTTTTTTTTTGCATTTTACCTTAAAAATGACAATAACTGTTGCGTAGTATACATACAGGATACCTATGCTGAAAAATATTGGATTAGTTCTATCCATTTGTATATTGCATAATATTTAATAAGTGTTATTCTCATATAAGGAAACATTTTTTGCCTCAATAGTTAATCGACTTTTTATATTATAAATAATGCATAGTATTATAAAATTTAGAAAATCATGATAAGAAAAACATGATTTAATTAACCTGAGGATAAAAAAATTTAAATATGAAATATGGTATACTTACAAAATAATATGTCAAACGTATATGTTTAGTTTAGAGAATGGTACTAAAGTGAGTATTGATGTACTGGTCACCCACCCCTAGAAATAGAACATTACCCGCATAGTAGAAGGCCCTTACATATCTGTTCTTGGATGGTCCCCTCCTGTCACACACCCCAATGTTATAGTGAACCACTGCCCTACCTACATTTGTGTTACCTTACTCTTGTTTTTCTTTATAGTTTTACATCTTTATAAATTGCTAGGTTTTATGTAGTTTTGAAAATATATAGATGTAAATATATGTTCCTTTTTCTTCACTCAACTTTGTTTTTTAAAGATTCATCCATGTCGACTCACGTAGCAGTAGCAGTGGGTCATTCATTTTCTCTGATATAGAGATTACTTTGTTTGAACATATCACAATTTAATTACCCATTCTGTTAATGATAGACAATCGGACTTACCCCTTTCTCCATCTCTTTTTTTTTTTTCCATAGCAAACCAGTATTGCTAATGAATATTTTTATACCTGTGTCTTGGTGTACCTGGGTGTAAGTTTCTATATGGCTGTTGATGGATCAAATGGGTGGACTGACCTATACATACCAACTGTTTTCCAAAGTGGTTGTACCAGTTTACACTACCATTGGCTATGGATAAGAATTATTGTTGCTCGGGCCGGGCACGGTGGCTCATGCCTGTAATCCCAGCACTTTGGGAGGCCAAGGCGGGTGGATCACGAGGTCAGGAGATCAAGACCATCCTGGCTAACACGGTGAAACCCTGTCTCTACTAAAAAAAAACTACAAAAAAAATTAGCCGGGCATGGTGGTGGGCGCCTGTAGTCCCAGCTACTCGGGAAGCTGAGGCAGGAGAATGGCATGAACCCGGGAGGAGGAGCTTGCAGTGAGCCGAGATTACACCACTGCAGTCCATCCTGGGTGACAGAGCAAGACTCCATCTCAAAAAAAAAAAAAAAGAATAAAAAGAATTATTATCGCTCTACATAGTTGCCAACACTTGGTATTGATTGGCTTTGACATTTACATTTCTCAGTGGCTTTAATTTGCATTTTCCTGATCACTAATTAGGTAGAGCATCTTTTCATATGCATATTGCCCATTTATGTTTCCCCTTCTAGGAAATGTCTTTTTGTCTTTTATATTTTTCTATTAGATTGTCTTTTTTTCTTCAGGTTTTTACAAGTTCTTTCAAAGAGACTTCCTATACTAGTCCCTGATGTTAAGACATTAGTCTGGTACTAAGAGGAATAAAATGAATTTATTTGTCAGGATAGATATTGTTGCCAACTTCAGCTAGGATAATTGGGACAGTGGCAAGTCTAAATTAAAATGTTTCTCTCTTCCTTTAACCATTAGGATTCACTTTAAGAGATTTGGAAACTCTTCCCTTTGGAATTGCTCTTCCCATCAGAGATGCAATTTATCACTGTCGTGAGCAGCCTGCCTCAGACTGGCCAGAAGCTGTCTGTCTCTTGACTGGACGTCAGGATCTTTCCAAGCAGGCCTGCGAAGGAAACTTACCCAAAGGGAAGTCTGTGAGTATCAACATAGAAAGTTCAGAGTTCCAATTTTAGCCTTAAATAAAATCATAAAGTAGAAATGTTCTTCATTTTCCTTTAAGGCTTTTTCTAAGTATATATATTAGCTTGTCTTTTATATTATATGCCAGACGGGGTTTGTAATTGTATGCGTCTTATTAATTGTTAAGTTGAGCATAGGAGCAGGAGATTTTGTGAATGTTCTGTCTTGTGCCTGGATCTTTCTTTGCCTTGAATCAGGACAAGTCCTGAGTGTAGTCATGGAAACTACCATGGCTATTTCCCTACTTGTACCATATTAGTAATTAACCACTTTGTAATTATTACATAGGAAAAGGGAGAGCACATATATCCTGAATTTGGATGAGTAATTATATATAAATATTTTCTACTGCATATTTTTCGATGTGTTGAATTTTTTGAATTTAACCTTTTAAATAGGTGTAAACATATTTATTTAATCACATAAAACTGCAGCCCCAGGGAAAAAATGTGTTTTTTTAGTAGAGTTGTTTAAAAAGATGTCTTAAGCTATCCCTCCCGAAATACTGTCTTTCATCAATCATCAAGTCTGTTTTTTTTTTTTTAAATGAGTTCTAGGAATCCTGCAAGTAGAAAGTAAAATTATTTCATTACTCTCCAATTATCTTTTTATATCATCCTCTCTTAAAACTTGAAAATGAAACTTTTAAAACTTATTCTAGAATTCTAGGTAACTTTAAAAAATGAACAGTAGAATCTCATCAAGGAGGATTCAGGAATAATAATTCCACTCCTGGTGACTCTTTTATGTTCATGTCCCGAGAAGACAGTGGGAATTTGGTCTTACCTCTTAGTAGCTTTTGAATCAATACATAATAATCAGTGCATTGTAACTATGAGTCACCTTAGGTCTTATTACTACTTCTTCAGAGCCTATATCAAAACTTATTCCTAACCTCAGAGTTGCCTAATGTGTACCCATGCCGGAGTCAGTTTCCATGGGCATCTGATCTCCAGCACGGTCATCCCAGCACGTCTCTCCTTTAATCTGCGCCTCAATCACAGCTCTTCGTTGAATTAGTATTTACATCCTGTTTTAAACAGAAAACAAATCTTTTTGCTTATAAAATGATTTTCCTGTGAGAGAGAGCAGTTCAGCACCATTAGCATTAAAACATTAATCTGTATTTGAATGTGATTTTAAGTAATTATGTCTAAATACAGTTTGTTCAGTTGAGGCTACATTTTATAACTAATCCCATCTAAATTTATTTTGTCACTGTTTGAGACTATGTTTTATAGCTAACTCACCCATTAGAATATAGTTTTTTTTTTTAAATTAGATATTTTATAGGAGCTAAAAATGAATTTTTAGGAACTAAAAGTGATTATTTGGTCGTATCTACTTTTTTTTCAGGCTGACCTTGTTGGTTTCACATTAAATGTTGCAAAACTTTAACATTTCAACTTGGAGTTATTCTTTTGTTAAAAGAGTATAATACTGTTTTTGAGAGAATATGATATGATTCCACGCAATTCACATCTGTGTTGCAGTTAGATTTAATTATTTGGACTGGGAAGCCCCATATTAAAGCACATGCTGGGCTTAGAACATGATGACAATCAAGGAATTTACCCTCTTACTTGTTTTGCTGTAGTTCAGTACTTTTCCTTCTAAGAAATTTTTATTGGAAACACATTTTTTAAAAAATAGTGAAAACTGGCTGGGTGTGGTGGCGCATGCCTGTAATCTCAGCACTTTGGGGTGGCCAAGGCGGAGGACTGCTTGAGCCCAGGAGTTTGAGACCAGCCTAGGCAACATAGTGAGACCTCATCTCTACTTAAACAATTTTTTAAAAAATTTAGCCAGGTGTGGTGGTATGTGCCTGTAGTCCTAGCTATTTGGGAGGCTGAGGTGGGTGGATCTCCTTGAGGTCAGGAGTTCAAGACCAGCCTGGTCAACAGGGCAAGACTCTGTCTCTACAAAAAATAAAAAAAATTATCTGGGTGGGCGGTGCACATATGTAGTCCCAGCTACTCGGGAGGCTAAGGTTGAAAGCCTGCTTGAGCCCAAGAGGTGGAGGTTGCAGGGAGCCAGGATCACACCACTGCACTCCAGCCTGAGTGACAGAGTAAGACCCTGTCTCAAAAAAAAAAAACAAAAAAAAGCTTAATAATGGAATCCAACCATGATCCTGTCTATTTAAAGTAGTAAAGTAAAAGGTATTTCATTGTGTGACTTCCCCCAACCCTTGGGGTATATCCTTTCAGGCTTTTTTCCTTCTCCTTCTATTAATGAACAGACAATATTTAAATTAGCATTATTAGCAGTGACTAGTATTCATATTCTACTTGCAATAATTTTTTTTTAAGAAATGATCAGGATGTAGTTAGATTTTTTTTATAGTTTATTCAGAATATTTCTCTGTTCGTATCCAGCCCCTTGACTGTTGCCCTAAATTTAAACTCTCCCCGTCATTTCCAAATATTTCCAAGTAGGCAATGTAGTACTTTTGTTTGTTTGTTTGTTTGGTTTGTTTGGTTGTTTGAGACAGAATCTCACTCTGTCACCCAGGCTGGAGTACAGTGGCACGATCTCGGCTCACTGCAACCTCTGCCTCCCGCATTCAAGTGATTCTCCAGCCTCAGCCTCCCCAGTAGCTGGGACTACAGGTGTGCACCACTGCGTCTGGCTAGCTAATTTTTGTATTTTTAGTAGAGACCGGGTTTCACCATGTTGGCCAGGCTGGTCTGGAACCCCTGGCCTCGGGTGATCCACCCACCTCGGCCTCCCAAAGTGCTGGGATTACAGAGTGTGAGCCACCACACCCAGCCAGCAATATAGTACTTTTTAGAAAGATTTGTAGATTAGAGTCCCAGTATACATTGCGGCCCCAACCCATGCCTGCTTTGGAAAACATATTTTCTCTGTGCTAGTATAGTCATGGCACATCAGCCTATATATCCTCATGTTCAGCAAGTGCACGTTAACTGCTTTTGAAATTATTATTATAATAAATCTGTTACTCAGGTGCTCTCATCAGATGTTCCTTCAGGTACAGAAACTGAGGAGGAAGATGACGGCATGAATGACATGAATCACGAGGTCATGTCATTAATATGGAGTGAAGATTTAAGGGTGCAGGATGTGCGAAGGCTTCTTCAGAGTGCGCATCCTGTCCGTGTCAACGTAGTGCAGTACCCAGAGCTCAGTGACCACGAGTTCATCGAGGAAAAGGAAAACAGGTGAAAGAAAACACGTGTACTATCTCTTGTCACGTTTCATTGTTACATTTGTGTCTTGTTTATATTTGTTTTTCCTTCAAGTTTTTAGCATTTAAAACCCTAAAGAGATTTAAAAGATACTTTCAAGTGAAAATATGCCCTGTGTTTTAAGTTTTCATCCAACTTTAACAAACCACGTGTGTTAGCAAAATGTCTTTGGCTTTTGAGGACATAATTGTTGTATTTCATACCGTCCTCCTCTTGAAATACATATAACAGTTTACTCTTTAGAAAAGGTGAATGTAAAACTATTTTGCCTGATAGTTACCTTAAGAATTTACAAACAAAGAAAACACTGGACTTGTTTTTCTGTGTCTTGATCAGGAATAGATTTTGAGGTTAGTGGGGTTTTTAGTGTAGTTTAAACTTATATCAGTATTTTTTTTTTGGATATGATAGATAATACTCCAAATAAAAATAGATAAGCCTTTCTTCTGCCACTCCCCTGCACAGGATACATCCCTTGATACATTATAAGACTCACGTGCCTATGACATTCCAGAGCTATTCTCTTGGGACACTTCTGTTTTAAAATTCTCTCCTGTTCTTTTATCTGCTTGTCTCTATCATCTATCATTCATCTGTCACTGTTTTCTAGTTCTCTTTACTTTTTTTATGGTACTGTTTTGAGGGGAACCATCACCCACACTTAGCCACAGGCTGCTGAAGATCTGAATTAGTTGTGATTTCCCTATTAACTGTTTCCTCTCCACATGTACCCAGTTATTAGTCACCTGTGAATAAAAAGATGGAGTGACAGAAGTTGAGTTTAGAGCATAGGATTTATGAGCATGGCCTCTAGAGCCAGGCATGGCCATGCTGTGCTGGGTGACTTTGGTTAAATTACTTTACCTCTTGTTGCCTCAGTTTCTTCATTTGTAAAAGTAGGCATACTTCATGGGATGGTGCTGTGTATCAAGTGAATTATTTTTACATAGCACTTAGAATACTGCTCAATACATAGTAAAGCTCAGTGCAGTCAGCCATTATTATTAGTAGAGTTCATTGATTCTAAGATGCAAGTTTTTTCACTTTTTAATATCTCTGAAATCAGTTGTGTATTTTAGTGAACAGGCGTCATAGTTTAATTGGCAGTGCTTTTTCTTTCTTAGTTTCTCATGAAATAATGATACATCTTATCAGTGGCATCTTATATTCAGGGGATATAATATTGTTCTCATTATAATTTTGTTACTTGCGCAAAGTTGAAGTGAATTATGTGTAAGATTTCCTCTAAAAAAATTCTATGGGTTGCAACAGACTCTTGGCTTTGAATTTTCCTGATCCCAAATTAATGTTGCGGTTGTGTTCCCAGAGAATCTTTAAGACAGCAAAATTTTTCTTTCCAGTTAGCTAGAAAAGCAGTTATGTGTGTCCAGTTAAGGAGGGAGTATGCTTATGAATAGCTTTGTCTGCAGAGAAAATGTTTGTCAGTTGTCAGCCTCTGAAGGGATATTTCTGTGTCTTCAGATATAGCTTGTATAGGTGTTTCTTAGTTATAAATGCCCTACTTCCAAAATTTCTGTTAGTTTTTTTTAAGTGGCTATATGGAATGTTAAGCTATTTTAACATAGGAAGAAGTTGAAGAGTGGTGTATGAATTTCACAGTAGAGCCAACAGAAACCATTTTAACCTTGAACATACCTGATACATAATGGTATTAGTCCTATAAATCTAGCCATCATGTAAGTGAAACCAATCTGTATTTCCCTTGGAGACACCATGAAATCCATTCACCTCTAACACAAGGACCTTGTTTCTTTTCTTGTGTACAGGCCACAGAAATGGTACTTCTGAGGCTGTATTGGCAAAAGGGATGGGAGGAGGATCCCACATGTACTGAGGACAGCTAGACTGAAATTAACACAGTGATAAAAACCCCAAAAGTACTGTATTTTCCTTTGAGAAGGTTAGCATCCATCGGAGTGGAATTTTAAATTTCTTTTTTTTTTTTGAATGCCTAGAGAGAGTCGGCTTGGTTTATAGGCCAGGTGGTTTTCATTCAATGTAAATATGAAACAAAACAGAGGAAATATGTCTCTCCCTAAGAGTGTAATAGGAACAAGAATATTAAAATGAAAATAATCATGTTTGGGTAGTTCACTCACATCTGTGTATGAATTTACTTTGAGACAACTTCATCTTATACAGTACACCTTCTTTTGAAATACTTACAGATGATATTTCAATTGCTCTTTGCTTTAAACATTTTCACATGTTGGTTTTTACTTTAATTACAGATTGCTCCAATTGTGTCAGCGAACTATGGCTCTTCCTGTAGGACGAGGAATGTTTACCTTGTTTTCGTACCATCCTGTTCCAACAGAGCCATTGCCTATTCCTAAATTGAATCTGACTGGTATGTTAAATTCTGGGCTCAATGAGAAAGGAAAATGATTAAGTACATGCATTAAGTGTAGTTCTTTAAATTAGTTAAAACAAAAGAAATGCTCCCTCTATCCCCAGTGATTTAAAATTTTCCTAATAGCTGCTGTAGTGGTTATCAAAGCTCAAATGCCATGTGAAACTAAACTTTGAGAGAAGCAGAATATAGTTCATTACTCATTTTTGCTTTTTAATGAGGTGATTTCAAGATCTAAAAAGTCACTTGGAGAAGTTCAGAAAGATATTATTGATAACGATGAGACTTGAATTTTAAATAATCTTAAGTTTAATATGTAAAAATATTTAGTTTTAAAATGTCTTACGTCATAGTTTAAACAGATGATCATTGTATAAATCAAGAAATGTACTAAGCAAAAAGAGAAACAATGGTCACTTGCAGTACTCCCACTCTTCTGCATCACTCCTTTTAACATTTTAGTATATATGTTTACTAAGTTTATTTCCACATATTTATAATTTTATATTTGTTTAATTATCAGAAAATTTATATCTATTTTAGATTTTTTTAAAAATTTACAGTGAACATCCTTTTATATCTAGCAAATAAATGTATGTGTTTATAATTATGTGTATGTATTGTATACATGTGTTTTTAATCAATACACTCATTTTTATTTGCTTCAGAGTATTTCATTCAGCGGATATACCATAGTTTATAGAAGCAGCCTGGTATTGTTGGAAATTACAGTTTTTTGGTATTATAAACATTGTTGGGGCGTATTCGTCCTGTGTATTTAGGCTAAATGCTTAGAAGTAGAACTCTTAGGACAGCAAGATGAATGGTTTTAAGGAACATGTCAAATTGCCTTTCTGGCTGGCACAAGTTTTTATTTCTGCCATATATAACTGTAGTTATAGTCTTGATTACAATGAATTTTATAGTGCATGTCCCCCTAATGCTGATTTGAATGTGTTCTAAAGGTGACAATTACATAGTTGAAATTATCACTGAAACTCTATTATAGTATATATGGTTTTGTGAAACCTATACAAAATGTATGTATAATGTTTGTTGTAGTAGTGTATAGTATATGTGGTAGCATATAATGTATAATTTAATATATGATAAATAGTACATAATATATGCAAACATAATTATACAGTATTTTAAATTGCATACTTTAAAAAATCCAGAGTTCCACTCAGATTTGTGAAAAGCTTGTGCTTTGAGCAGCATGCAGGAAATGAGATTGACTAAGTGAAAGAACACATTCCCATCTCCATACCATGCTTATTCTGAGCCCTAATCTCACTGAGGGACATAGTGAGCAGAGTGGCTTTTAATATTTAAATTGTCTCAGAGGTAAAGCACCTATGGCAAAATTTTAACAATTATTGATTCTTGATGGAAGGCATGGTATATAGATGTTCATTTTAGTAGTCTTTCCAACTGTTTATATGAAAGATTTCATATACTAAGTGCAGATTAAAAAGAAAATCTAATGCAAAATTGGCAAATGTTAAAATGTATTCAATCTGGGTGATTTAGCACTCAAGTGATACTTGGGTGGGTTTAAAAAATATATACATGCATCTTTTTTTCTGAATACATTTAATTGAATTTGCATGATTTAAAATGTGTTTATGACATTAATCCAACATTTTATTCTTTTAGTCATTCTGGTAGGCCAAAAAGAAAGGTTATCCTCTTAATTTAGGAAAGAATATTTTCTTAAATAGTTGCTTAACCCACACTGATGTGGCCTGTTGTACTTTTGTATGTTGTTATTCTCATTGAAGAAAATTTACCTTACCCTTTGCATTTTATTTTCTCTCGTGTATAAATATTATGTCTCTTGCATATGATGAATGAATGTTTCAGAAAGGTCACTCAGTTTTTTCATATTGATATGTCTGCCTTTTTTGAGAAAGTACAAGTGTAACTTATGAACTTATTACTCATTGTGGTGCTAACACTAGCAGTTGAGTTAGCTTTTAGGTACAAAAAGCATATAGTAAAGACAAATAAGTCTTACTTTGTGCTTTGTGTGTGTATGTGTACATGCTACAAATAAGACACTTTGCATCTACTTAAAATTATTTTACATAACATCTTAGAACTCTTTAAAAATGGTATTTTTAAAGCTGCAGTGAAATGGATAACTTTATGCAGTAATTAAAATATTTATGTTAATTATTTTATCCGTGACTTAAGACAATATTCAAAATATATTTAAAAAGATTCAATGTTTGCTGTGTATAATGTAGATCAAAAAGAAAAGAATCAAGAAAAAATTCGTAGGGAACATATAGCATTGTGAACATATAATTTACATTGTTCTTAAATAAATGGACCGTAAAAGTATAATCTGGTGAATGCCCTTTTGAAGTTCACTGGGTGACTCAAGTCTATAAAAGGATGCTTTTTACAAAACTATCTCTAAGCATTTTAAACAATAGCATATAATTAGATATCTATATCTGTATGTATATATAGAGAGAGAGAGAAAAAAAGAGAGCAAAGGGGGCATATATAGGTAAGACCTGTAGCAGATTTATTAAGGTTCTTGTTTCCTTTTTTTTTTTCTTTTTTGAGATGCAGTCTCTGTCTGCTGCCCAGGTGGGAGTGCAATGGCATGATCTTGGCTCACTGCAACCTCTGCCTTCCAGGTTCAAGTGATTCTCTTGATTCTCTTTAGAAAGTGATAATCTTTCTAAAGCATAAATCAGAGTACGTCACTTCCCTGGTCAAAGCCATTTAATTAATGATCTCCCATTGCTTTTTTTTTTTTTTTTTTTTTCCTTGAGTAAGGCAGAGTAGAATTTAATGAGTGACAAGAAAGCTCTCAACAGCGAGAGGGGACCCGAAGGTGGGTTGCCAGCCACGAGGCTGAGTCTAGAGGTTTTTATGGGCTTGAAATGGGGGAGGTACATGCTGATTGGTCTGTGGGTATGCTTGAAAAAGCACCATTTAGAAATAGGCACGATAGTGTAGAGGACCAACCTTAGCCTCCCAAGTAGCTGGGACAGGCACGCACCACCAGGCCTGGCTTTTGTCTTTTCTTAAGATGTCATTTTTCCTTAATGTCTAGGGGAAAATAAAGGATAGAACATTTGAAATTAACATCAGTGTCATCAGATGTTGGGATTTATAACTTGTATAGTTTAACAGTGATGTTAGTCTTCATTTTGGTTTTTAAGCTCTCTGTTTGAAAGAAAAAATGAGTGATTATCCCAGTCATCTCTGTATAATGTTAAATTGGTATCAGTTATCTCATTATATAGCCTCATACATTTTAACAAAAAGGACAATGAACTGTTTAGACAGTGAAGGTTTTTCCAGTTCCATTAAGTTTGACTCACATGTACAAAAGTTTTAAGTGGTCATAGAGACCTAACGTTCCAGGCATTATGGGGTTAATGGTTTTGAATGTAGAAAACGTAACTAATCTTAGTCTCAAAGATCTAAATTTAACAATCTTGGTTTTGTGGATTTTTATTCTCTCAATGTTCTTCGTTTGGCTGGATAGGGCGTGCCCCTCCTCGGAACACAACAGTAGACCTTAATAGTGGAAACATCGATGTGCCTCCCAACATGACAAGCTGGGCCAGCTTTCATAATGGTGTGGCTGCTGGCCTGAAGATAGCTCCTGCCTCCCAGATCGACTCAGCTTGGATTGTTTACAATAAGCCCAAGCATGCTGAGTTGGCCAATGAGTATGCTGGCTTTCTCATGGCTCTGGGTTTGAATGGGCACCTTACCAAGCTGGCGACTCTCAATATCCATGACTACTTGACCAAGGTGAGACCTGTGCTCCCAGTGCCTGGCTTTGTGCCTTGGCTGGCTATTGTAGTAGCTCCTAATTGCTCTATTTGCTCTTCTTTCTTCATTCTTGTACTTCTAAGTCCATTTGTCTCATAGTACATGGAATAATCTTTCTAAAGCATAAATCAGAGTATGTCACTTCCCTGGTCAAAGCCATTTAATTAATGATCTCCCATTGCTTTTTTTTTTTTTTTTTTTCCCTGAGTAAGGTAGAGTAGAATTTAATGAGTGACAAGAAAGCTCTCAACAGCGAGAGGGGACCCGAAGGTGGGTTGCCAGCCACGAGGCTGAGTCTAGAGGTTTTTATGGGCTTGAAATGGGGGAGGTACATGCTGATTGGTCTGTGGGTATGCTTGAAAAAGCACCATTTAGAAATAGGCACGATAGTGTAGAGGACCAACTGGGGAAGGGCAGGTATATGTAAAGTAGGTGAAGGATAAGGACCAATCAGGAGAGAGCATGCCAAACAGGAATGAGAGCTCTCTAGTCCATGGATTTATCCAGAACTTGTAGCTTGGTTTTCAGGCTTTCGACTGTCCTTGGCTTGAAGGTTGAGTTTCATCTGAGAATTTACCTGCCTCCTACCGCCATCAATCCCCGCTCTGAAGAGGTATATCTAACTGCTGTTCGGATAGGGGTGATGACTGTTCTGCTTCATGCTGACAGAGGGTGTTGCTTTGGGAAACAGCAGTCAGGTCTCTCTTAGAGGCCTATCTAAGTGTCCCCTGGTAAAAGAGAGCCATCAACCGAGGTTCCATTTGCATGACCACTTGGAGTTTGATGGCCTCTAGGCGAGAAAAAACAAATTTTACAAGGAGGTTAAGTACACATGGACCAAATATGAGTATTACAATGAGAACACAAAGAGGAACTAAAAGGGGGAAAATCCATGCCCATATATTAGGGACACCTAGAAAGGACAGGAAGAAAACCTCTGAAAATGGACTGTTCTATTCCAGGATTTTGCAAAATAGGGTTGTCATGGGCATGTCCCCCTAGATTATTAGATATGTTATAATTAGGCATTGCAATGCTTTTAATTAGATTTCTGATCCATAGGCTGCAGAATCCAGTAATGCCTGATAATCCCTTTAGTTAGCTGAGGGTCTTGGGGAGAAGGAAGGAGAAAATGGATCCAATTCTCTCCTCGCCCAGTGTCCTGGTCCCTTCTGACAAGACCAGGCATAGGTACTTCACTGAAGTCTGACGGAGTTGAGCCTTGGACTTTGAAACTTTATGTCCTCTGTCAGTTAGAAAATTAAGAAGAGCCTTATTGCTTTTCTGAGAAATTTCCTCAGTTGGGGCACAGAGTAGAGTGTAATCTACATATTAAGACTAACTTGAGTTTGAAAGAACTCAGAGAGATCTTTTGAGATTGCCTGCCCAAACAGGTGGGGGCTGTCTTGGAATCCCTGTGGTAACACCATCCAGGTTAGCTGGGTAGTCTGGTTGGAGGGATCCCTGAATGCAAACAAGTTTTGGGAGTTGGGGTATAATGGTATGCAGAAAAAAAGCATCTTTTAATTCCAAGAATGCAAACCATTTAGTTCCTTCAGGTATCTAAGTTAACAAAGTATAGGGATTGGGAACCACTGGGTAAATTGGTTAATTACACCAGTTACTCATTAAGGAGGTGGAGATCCTGGACCAGTCTCCATTCCCTGTTGGGTTTCTTTCTGTACTTCCAATATTAGGATATTACAAGGACTGTCGCAGGGTTTAACAAGGCCCTGCATCCTTAGGTTATTAATGATGGCTTCTAGTTGTTTCCTAGCTTCTGGTTTTAGGGGATATTGTCTTTAATTAGGGAAGGAGATGAGATCCCTGAGATGGATTTGGACTGGTGAGACTGTTGTAGCTCAGCCAGTATTTTCCTGAATTGCCCAAACATCTGGATTAATATCAGTCTCCACCAGAGGGAGGCAAAGAGTCTGTCCTGGAGCCATAAGGATGGTGGTTCCCATGTGAGCTAAAATATCCCTACCTCAGAGGAGTCGGGCTTTCAGGTATGATTAAAAAGGCATAGGTAAACGAAAGGTCTCCCTAGGTACAGCTAAGGGATTGAGAAAAATATCGAGTCAGAGGCTTTCCTGAGACGCCCCTCACAGTTGTGCTAAGGGAGGAGGGGAGGCCCAGAATGGAGAGGAGAACAGGAATGGCTGCTCTGGTGTTGAGTAGGAAGTCTGTCCTCTGAGTCCTTTGACCTCCAGACTCACCCGGGACTCCTGGATGGTAATGCAGCCTGGGCTGTCAGAGCTGGGGAGGAGAGCCCTGGGACCCATCAGTCCTGCTGGACCATTTGAGAAGCCGGCTCTGAACCTTGGGACGTATGTTTCTGGAGGCAGTTTGTCTTCCAGTAGTCTCCCTTACAGATTGGACAGGGCCGTGGGGGCTGCTTCTGATTTCGGGGGCAGACTCTCTTTTAGTGCTCCCACACTGATAACAGTCGGTCATAGAATGAGAAGCTCCCTGGGATCGAGAGGTTTATATGCCTGTATGGCAGCTATTAGTGCCTCTGCCTTTTTCTCGTTCCTTTTCTCCCTTTTTCTTGGGCTTCCTCATGGTCCCGATTATAAAAGACCAAGGTGGTGACTTTCAGGATTTTCTTTAGAGTACTGTCTGGTGCAATAGCTAACTTTTTGCAGCATTCTTCCAATATTTGGGGCTGCTTGGGTTATAAACTTGTCTTTCAAAATTAACTATCCTTTTATAGAGTCAGGAGAGAGATGTGTGTTTAATTAAAGCCTCTCTCAGTTTTTTCCAGGAAAACAGAAGGGTTCTCTTCAGACCCTTGGTTTATGGTTGATAACTTAATGTAATTGAGAGATTTGCCTCTAGTTTTCAGATCTTCCACTGTGCATCCCTAAAAATGTTTTCTCGGCCACTTTCCTAGAGCAGTGTCTGAGTCCCATTGAGGATTATTGGTGGATGCTGCCTGCTTGGCTGTCAGAAAGGGCTCCCTAATTTCTTCCCCCTTTTGGTAGGTGCCATAATAAGATAAACATTTCATCTCCAAATGTCTCAGTGACCTGTAAAGCCGCCTGCTTCTCTGAAGCTCTAAGAGTCTAGTTGAGAAGTAACATGATACCCTTCCATGAAAGCTCAGACATTTGATTAAGGTTCTGAAAGGCTTCAATATACCTATCCAGGTCGACACAATTGTCCTAGATTTCTTTTTATCTGCCTCAAATCTTGTAAAGAAAAGGGGACTTGTACTTTGATAGGACCATATTCACTATGCATTTCCTGTAAAGGAAGAAGTGATGCTGGAGCGCATCCAGGTCGAACTCTTCTAACAGGATGAGGTTCAAAAGGGGGCCTGGATAAGGGGGACGAGATGATCCAAGAGGAGCTGGGACCTGGGCTGGTGCAGGGGCCTCTGTCTCCTCTTCTAAGGAGGCAGACTGTTTTTTCCCTTCTGTCTGGATTAAGTCTGGCTGGATATCACTGCTATAAGTGCAAGGTCTATTATACATTGCTGACAGAGCTTGCGGTTATTCTGCAGGGCAAAAAAGGCCTATACATATGGAATTTTGGACCATTTTCCTTCTCTGTGGTTGAAGAGATCTAGCTATAGGATAGTATTATAGTTGTTATTTTCCCCAGCTGACTAGGTCTCCCCATCTTCCAACTTCTAGCTGGGCCAAGCCTTGCTACTGATAAATACCAGGTATTTTTTCTTCAGAGTCTGAGGATCAAAGGAGTCCCAATGTCTCGCACTTGAGAGGAGTGCAGGCTACCCATTTAGAAAGAGAGAGGGGAGAAAAAGGCATCCTTAGTCTTTCCCTCTGCTGTGCTAGAGTCCAAGGCGTCTCTCAGGCTTGCCTTGGTCGTGGATGTGCGCGCAGCCACCATTCATGACCAGGGGGGGATCAAGCCAGCAGGAGTAGTTGCGTTCACTTGCACTCAGCCTTGACCCTCCTTGTCAACTGCCTTTGATTTCTCTGAATTCTATATGAGCTCAAGACTAAGATGAATCCAGGGGGGGTCCCTGCATATTATTTGTCTATAATTCTCATCTGGCTGGCAGTTTATTTAGCTTCATCAAGCATAACCCAGCATCCTGCCCTGAAAAGAAGCAATTTCTCAAAGAGACACATAACTAAGTAACATTTCTCAGAAGAGCAGTAGGAAAAACATGATAGGAAAGATTGGAAGTCTTTGTCCGACACCTGAACAGGCTGTTGGGGACTGGGGGCCGGTGTAGGGTCCTTCGGATGTACCCTTGGCCAGATACCTTTAGTTGCCCCAGGACCTTATTCTGATCCCACACGATGGCTGAACTTCTGTGAAGGGAAACTGGTTTAGAACAAGGCCAACATTCCCAACACCAGAGGGCAAAGGGGGATCGACCATTGCTCTTAATATACATTCTAGGAGCTGGTGTGATCCTGTTCACTTCTCCAGCCCTAGGTGGTACCACTGTTCTTCGTTTTTTTTTTTTGTTTTTTTTTTGATGTGGAGTCTCACCCTGTCACCTAGGCTGGAGTGCAGTGGTGTGATCTCATCTCACTGCAACCTCTACCTCCCAGGTTCAAGCAATTCTCCTGCCTCAGCCTTCTGAGTAGCTGGGATTACAGGTGCATACTACCACACCTGCGTAATTTTTGTATTTTTGATGGAAACAGGGTTTCACCATGTTGGCCAGGCTGGTCTTGAACTCCTGATCTCAGGTGATCTGCCCGCTTCAGCCTCCCAAAGTGCTGGGATTATAGGCGTGAGCCTCTGCACCCAGCCCCACTCTTCTTGCTCCCCCACACTCTAACCATACAGATTGGCTATTTTAGCTCTCTGGCAAACTAAACTCTTTCACTTCACAGCGTTATTTTTTTTTAAGGAATCTTTATTTATATAAATATATAAAATTCACATACCATACAATTCACTGTTTAAAGTGTGTGGTACAGTGGTTTTTAGTACATTCACAGAGTTGTGCATCCATCACCACTGTTAATTTTAGAACATCTTTTCACCCCATAAAGGAACCTTGTACCCACTAGTGGTGACTCCCCATTCCTCTACCTCACCCCCCCACCTTCACTTCACTTCCTGCCAACCACTAATCTACTTTCCGTGTCTGTGGGTTTGCCTTTTCTGGACCTTTCATATGAACGGAGTCATACAAAATATGGTATTTTAGGATGGGCTTCTTTCACTTAGCCTGATAATTTTAGGGTTCATCCGTGTTGTACCATCTATCAGCAATACATTCCTTTTTATTGTTGAATAAATGTTTTATTTTATGAATGTACATTTTATTCATAAGTTGATGAATATTTGGGTTATTTGTACTTTTTAGCTATTACGAATAATACTGCTATGAACATTTGTATACATGTTTTTGTGCGGATGTATGTTTTCATTACTCAAGAGTAATGAAGTAATGGTAAGTAGTGGTACATACTTAGGAGTGGAATTGCTGGGTTATATGGTAACTCTGTTAAACTTTTTGAGGAACTGTAAACCGTTTTCCATAATGACTGCACCATTATACAACCCCATCAGCAATACATGAGAGTTCCAATCTCTCCATATTTTTGCCAACACTTGTTATATTGTGTTGAGTCCAGCCTCATTCTTTTGAATGTGTCCTTCCACTTGTCCCAGCACTGTTTTTTGAAGACTGCCCTTTACCTGTTGAATTGTCTTGGCACCCTTGTGGTCAGTTGATGTTAATGTGAGGGTTCATTTCTGAATCGCCTCAGAGCCATTTATTTACATGCTGTTTTATCACCTGAAACAGTCTTCCTCACCTTCTAAACTTGAGTGTCCTCTTTCTTGCCACTGTTCCTGGCTAATTTGTTTTCATCCTTCAGGTCCTAATATAAATTTCTTTGTATAATCTTTAGAGATTTCATCCCTAATAATCCTCTAGTCCCTCCCAATCTAAATTAAGCTATTTTAAAATACTCTTTCATAATACTTTGTACTTTCTTATTGTACTACTTTTTAATAATATATTTGTTTATGTTTTTTAATTTAACACTTTTTTTCCTATTAAGTCATTAGGTCCATGAGAGCAAGGACCATGTTTGTTTAGTTTACTGCTGTATTCTCAGTGCCTCTCACCTTGCCTGTCAACATAAAAGTACTTCTTGAAAGTGGCAGGCAGTATTTTATTTTAAACTATGTATTTGTTTTGTTTCTATCTTAGGGCCATGAAATGACAAGCATTGGACTGCTACTTGGTGTTTCTGCTGCAAAACTAGGCACCATGGATATGTCTATTACTCGGCTTCTTAGCATTCGCATTCCTGCTCTCTTACCCCCAACGTCCACAGAGCTGGATGTTCCTCACAATGTCCAAGTGGCTGCAGTGGTTGGCATTGGCCTTGTATATCAAGGGACAGCTCACAGACATACTGCAGAAGTCCTGTTGGCTGAGATAGGTATGGGATTAATAGTGCTGAATCTTCATAGGCATGTACTCTCCACTCCACATTAACCCAATTAAAAGTGATAGTAAAATTATAAAAATTAAGGAAAGACAATGGTAGCTTTTGTGAGCAAAGAATGATCTAGTACTAATTAAAAAAAACAACAAAACTCTAAGTAATGTTATCCAAGGCTAATGTAACTGCAGGTTATTAACCTCCATGTTTATTTGCTAGCTCATTACTGAATTCCAGTGGTCACATTTAATGAGGTACCTGTGGTTTTAATCAGCTATGAGTATGCTGTTTATCCTGCTTTACCAGCAGTGTCTAGCAGTGGCCTGCACTTAAAACTCAGAGTAGATTGTTTTGGTCCCTGAGAGACACTAAACTAAACACATCACAGTGTTTACTGTGTTGGATAACAGCACTTCCAATAGAAGTCAAGTAATGGACTCCTGCTTTCCTCCTTTACATGCTGGTGGGTATGTTGGTGATGAACCTGGAAATGGTAAGGTCCACACACTCACTTTAGTGAACATTGTCTCTGTTTTTTATTGGCTCCAAACTTTTTGGAAATCTTAATGTGTTGTCATCTTTTTCTGCCAAATGGAAATGCTATTGGCATTATTAATATGCTCAACAATTTAGTTACATACTTATATGTCCTATTCAAGATCTTTTCTATATGGATTTGTGAATATATTGTTAAAGATGTATTATTCTTTAGTATCATTGTATCAGATAGCTATTGCCACAGTGATGCTACATACATACAGGCATAGCATTGGCCCAGGCAGCTCTGCTTTAGGCTGTAGATGTGTAGCCGGCTGTTCTGCTGCCGTTCTGCCTCACCTGCCTCATTCTGGGACCCAGGCTGGAGGGTGTGTTTCTCTCGTGGTGTTGATAGAAACCTAGGAGAGAACCAGTGAAGATTGGGACCCATAATTTAGTCTACTATAATGATAAATAAAATTATTCCCAAAGTTGAAATGTTTTGGCTATCACAATACATGGTAGCATAAGTCAGAGATCTGAAAAACGCTTATTCTGAAAATATTCAACACTGGTTGTTAAAGCATGTTCATCTGCAAAGTAGTCTACCCTTCTTTGGCTATATCATGATGATGTCTAATGGTGTCATTGCACAGTCTCACAGCTGCGGCATACCTCTTTCACACTGTATATAGAAGATTTCATCTTTAATTCATATGTATATGCCTTTTTATATAATTACTGTCAGAATGTACATTAAAATTTTTTTTTTTTTTTTGAGAGTCTTGCTCTGTTGCCCAGCCTGGAGTACAGTGGTGCAATCTTGGCTCATTGCAAGCTCCGCCTCCCGGGTTCACGCCATTCTCCTGCCTCAGCCTTCCGAGTAGCTGGGACTACAGGCGCCCGCCACTACGCCTGGCTAATTATTTTGTATTTTTAGTAGAGACAGGGTTTCATGGTGTTAGCCAGGATAGTCTGGATCTCCTGACCTCGTGATCCACCTGTCTCAGCCTCCCAAAGTGCTGGGATTACAGGCGTGAGCCACCGTGCCCAGCCTAAAAATTGTTTTTATAGATCATTGTTATAAATGGGTTTTAAAACACATTTTGTATAATATTCATTGAGTTGATGGTCTGTAAAATGCCTTTTTTTAACTTTTAGAACCTTTTAGATTGTTTCTAATAATCCTTTGTTGTTATGTATAAACATTACACTGATTACCTTTGTGTGTGATTTTTTTCTTTAATTTTTATTATTTATTTATTTATTTAGAGACAGAGTCTCGCTCTGTCACCCAGGCTGGAGCGGAGTGGCGCGATCTCGGTTCACTGCAGCCTCTGCCTCCCAGGTTCAAGCAATTCTCCTGCCTCAGCCTACCAAGTAGCTGGGATTACAGGTGTCTGTCAGCATGCCTGGCTAATTTTTGTAGTTTTAGTAGAGATGGGATTTCTCCATGTCAGACAGGCTGGTCTCGAACTCGTTGACCTCAAGTGATCCACCTGCCTTGGCCTCCCAAAGTGCTGGGATTACAGGCAAGGGCCACCACGCCCAGCCTTTTTTCTTTTTTTTTAAATTGCATTTTTTTCCTATAGGGATAAAATTTCAGGAATGTGAACATTTTTTCAGAGGGAAGGGTTTTAATACATAGTACATTTTATCGTTTTCAACAAGGTAGTGTTAGAGTTATAGGGTGCTTTTAAAAGTATGAATTTTGTATCCAGTCAGACTTCTAGGATCAGTACACAGAAATTCTACCATAGTAGGGCTCATTATTATATACACTCGAAATAAATGTCTAAACATAGTATTTAACAGCTTAACAACGTAAGTAAGTGACCTCCTTATTCATTATCATCATTCGAACATGTTTCACCACATGTGATGTGTGGATTTGAAAGTAATGAAAACAAAATGTAAGATATTTTGTTGTTGTTGTTGCTGAGATGGTGTCTCACTCTGTCGCCCAGGCTGGAGTGCAGTGACCTGATTTTGGCTCACTGCAACCTCCGCCTCCCAGGTTCAAGCGATTCTCCTGCCTCAGCCTCCTGAGTAGCTGGGATTACAGGCACCTGCCACCCTGGCTAATTTTTGTATTTTTAGTAGAGACAGGGTTTCACCGTGTTGGCCATCTGGTCTCCAACTCCTGACCTCAAGTGATCCACCTGCCTCAGCCTCCCAAAGTGCTGGGATTACAGGCATGAGCCAGCACACCTGGCCGAGATGTTTTAAAAAAAATAATAAAACTTTTTTTTGAATACTCTTACCTTTTTTCCTTTAAAATTTTTTTCTACTACTTGGTAATTTTTTTGATAAGACTCAAAGTTTCACAGTATTTCAATATCATTGCTTATAAAGACTTAAATTGGCAATTTAAAAAGAACTATTTTGGGCCCTTTTTTTTTGGTAGGTAAACCTACAGTTGTGGACATCATTTATTATAGTGTCATAACTTTCTGAATAGTTATATCCCATTCATATCTCCAGTGCAACTTGCTAGAAAGTTAACTCTAAGATTTTTATGAGATGAGATTTTGAGAAGCTAGTTTGAACTGTGTTGCTTTTCTTTTTACAGGACGGCCTCCTGGTCCTGAAATGGAATACTGCACTGACAGAAAGTCATACTCCTTAGCTGCTGGCTTGGCCCTGGGCATGGTCTGCTTGGGGGTAAGCATAGCCTATGCCTTCCCATGCTTCAGTTAGGACATCTACATGTTGAGACAAATAACGTTGACACCTAAACCTGAATATTGTCCCTTACTACGACTTAATCTTCTGCCCAGCTCTCTTGTCTTTTTGGATATTTTTCAAGGTACCAGATTTGCAAATTGAGAGAAACTGTGGTCAAGAGTGAGACTTTAAGATTTCTTTTCCTCCAGCTTACAGTGTTCATGAACAAACTAAAGGGAATAAAGTTTTTTTTAAAGTGTTCAAGACATAGAATGAATAAGTGACAGCCCACTATGACTGAAAACAGAGAATAGTGAAAATGTATATGATCAGGAGCCTTAAGAGTCTATAGTAGCTGCTTGAAACAAACCCTAACCCCCTTTTGCCATAGTGATGTTCACTGTGTATCCCAGAATGTTGTCCCAGTAGCATCTTCCTTGTGACAAAATGCAGTATCAGATTGACCCATCTTTAACTCCATCCAAGAGATGTGTACAGAATTACCAGAAATGTTTCATTAAATGATTGTTTCACTTGAAATGTGGTTCCCCTTGAAAAACCACCAATACATTCTTATGGTCAAACTAAATGATATAAAGAAAGTTATAAGGCCGAGGTGATCGGATCACCTGAGATCAGGGGTTCGAGACCAACCTGACCAACATGGAGAAACCCCATCTCTACTAAAAATACAGAATTAGCCAGGTGTGGTGGCGCATGCCTGTAATCCCAGCTACTCGGGAGGCTGAGGCAGGACAATCGCTTGAACCCAGGAGGCAGAGGTTGTGATGAATCAAGATCACACCATTGCACTCCAGCCTGGGCAACAAGAGTGAGACTCCATCTTAAAAAAAAAAGTTATAGTGGAAGGAATTTTTTCTCATGTGTGTTCTGAAAATCCACCTCGTGGTTGACCATCTGTTAGGGCCTTGAATTCACATTGGCACGTGAGCTAAAGAGGCTGGTGGTATAATGGAAAATAATCAGCTGGGTGTGGTGGCTCATGCCTGTAATCCCAGCACTTTGGGAGGCCGAGATGGGTGGATCACGAGGTCAGGAGATCCAGACCATCCTGTCTAACACGGTGAAACCCCGTCTCTACTAAAAATACAAAAAAATTAGCCAGGCATGGTGGTGGGCGCTTGTAGTTCCAGCTACTCGGGAGGCTGAGGCAGGAGAATGGTGTGAACCCAGGAGGCGGAGCTTGCAGAGAGTCGAGATCGTGCCACTGCACTCCAGCCTGGGCAAGAAGGCGAGACTCCGTCTCAAAAAAAAAAAAAAAAGAAAAGAATCACACAGGGAATTGCAACTTGAATTCTGGTCCTAACTAGTGAGTCAAGTCATTTAACTACATTATTGTCTATTGCTTAATCAGCTTCATGGATTGTTGAACCAGATGGCCGTGTTTTATATATAGCCCTGCAACTTACTATAATAGCTGTATAACCTTGGGCTTAATCCCTCTTTGCCACACTTTCCTTATTTATAAAATAGGGTTTTAATAGTAGCTATTTGATATGGCTGTTCATTCATGTTAAACACACAGAATAGTGCCTGACACAGAGCATGCATTTAATAAATTACTATTATTATCATAGTTATTGTTGGAAAAGTTCTTAAGTACAATAATGAAAGTATTCAGATATTTACAGTTCAGGTTTCAATTATATAACTAATATTTTTCTTTATTGTTAAATGTAACTAACTCTAAAGCTCTTATGTATTTTAAGACAGTACTTAAAGTTGAACATTCATGTATTAAAACTTTTATGAGAATTATTAATATTTATTAACTCATGATTAATGTTTGCTTTAAGTTGGAAATAAAAAAAACAAAACCCGAAATAACCTGCTTTGAAGTTAGTTCATTTTTATATTTGTTATGGGTATGTGTTATGGATCTTCCTCCATAAAATTTCTTTTCACTCGTCTGTTATTGTCTTTTCCAGCATGGCAGCAATTTGATAGGTATGTCTGATCTCAATGTGCCTGAGCAGCTCTATCAGTACATGGTTGGAGGACATAGGCGCTTTCAAACAGGAATGCATAGGGAGAAACATAAATCACCAAGTTATCAAATCAAAGTAAGTACACAGCAAAGTAATAGATCAAAAGTCTGGAAGCTGGGAAGTTAATTGGAAAATACTAGTGTTCATCCTGACATTGGTAAATATGTTAATTTTAAGCATACTTATCAGAGGAATTTTATAAAAATTTAGAACTCTTTTACATGCATAAACTCTTCTTTCAATAGGAAGGAGATACCATAAATGTGGATGTGACTTGTCCAGGTGCTACTCTAGCTTTGGCTATGATCTACTTAAAAACCAATAACAGGTATTTCTACCCACTCACCCTTCCTCCCACGGTGATAGTGTGATATCCTCTCTGACCTTGGTTGTAAAATTCAGTTATCTCATGTGTTTCTTTCCCCTGTGCTGGATTAAGCTGATTTTCGTTCTTTCAAGTACTGTAAGTTTTTGAAAGAAAACTGGCAGTATTTGAAGTTATAAAGATTTTACCTAGAAATAATGTATTTGGCTATTTTAATTGTATTTGACAATATAGTTTTCAATTTCTGTTCATTTCTGTTTTGTAGTTGATGTCAGTAACACCCAAACAATGCCCATGTTTGTTTTCATTAATTTAGCATATTGCTGTGAGGACTGGTTAAGCCAGAAATACTTATCATTAGTGTGATCTTGGCTACCATGTAAAACAATGGTTTTTGCCTACTTCAAGAGCTTTTGTAATTACCAAACCGTCTACCTTCCTAACTTGCTATATTAATGCTGATGCTTGAAAGTAAGATCTTTGGCATTTATGCTTACACGTTGCATGAAGAGTAAGTTGAGTACAACATGTTATGCCATGTATTAAGTCTATTAATTAAAAACAAATTCTAAGATTCAAGGAGCTTTTCAGTGTTCCACATTTCTCCCTTTAGAAAAAGTAAATGTGTGCAGAATTAACAAAGTGTTTAAAAATAGATATTTATTATTTTACTATTTGGATGAATGTGTAGGGCAGTGCTTCCTTGGCACTGGGGATATTTCATTGAGCAAAACTAAAAATATCTTCCCTCATGGAGTTTATGTTATAGTAAGACATACGTGTACCTCTATAATAACTATTACGTTAGAAGGTATAAAGTATTGTGAAAAATATATAGAGCAGTAGTGGAGTGGGAAGAAATGTTTTGAAATAGAGCTTGAGATTCTTGATTGTCTTGCCCTCTACTTGAACAGTGTCTTCTAGGAAGCCCAGACACATGGAGAAGTTCTGAGTGTTTTGGCCGATAGTCCCAGATGAGGTTCCAGCAACAGCTGGGATCACCCATGAGATGTGAGTGAGGAAGGCTTTGAGATGGTTTCAGCCCTAGCCACCACTGACCTCATAAGAGACCACAAGAATGAGAATCACCTGGCCAAGCCCAGCAGACCTTCAGAATTCAGAAATAAAATAATTCATCTTATTTTAAGCCACTGTGTTTTGGTTTGATTCATCCCATAGCAAAAGGCAACTTCAGCAGGCCCTTTCTGAGGCTCTGGAGGGGCCCTGGCAATGTATCCATTTGGTCATTTGCTTTTGACAAAAGCAGACATTTTAGCTGTAATTGGCTAAAATTCTGATCTCTTTCTGCCCTCATGTTGGGTGGTGGTGGAGTGGATGTGGGCATTTTGAGGATCCAGCAAAAGAAGAATTGAGTTGAGTCATTGAGTTTGGGTTCCATGGGATTTATTTATGTGGTATGGAGTCATTTCTGTGTATTTTATTGCTAGCTGTCCCTGTGTAAAACAGATTCAGAATAGTCTTCACCTCCCTCGTGCTGATTTACCTGGTGGTGTAATGTAAATATGCAAGACCATAGATTACATCACGATTGTGTCACATGACATGTGCATTTGCAGGAACATGGATGGAGCTGGAGGCCATTATTCTCAGCAAACTAACACAAGAACAGAAAACCAAATATCGCATGTTCTCACTTATAAGTGGGAGCTAAATGATGAGAACACATGGACACATCGAGGGGAACAACACACACTGGGGCCCATCAGGGTTGGAGGATGGGAAGAGAGACAGCATCAGGAAAAATAACTAATGAGTACTAGGCTTAATACCTGGGTGATGAAATAATCTGCACAACAAACCCCCATGACACATGTTTACCTATGTAACAACCCTGCACTTTTATCCCTGAACTTAAAATAAAAGTTGAATAAGAAAAATAGAAATGTACAAAGCTAGAAAAGAGTGTAGCTCATCCCATCTGGGAATTATTCCAAATCTTACAGTTCATACATAAAAATAGTTTGATAAAGATTTTCCTAAGTGTGCCAAGAATCCTGAAAACTTATCTTCCATTATCGATCCTGAGCTATGAAGCCAGAAGAAAAATTTAAATCTATCAATAATAAAATACTAGAGCCAAAATAGTTTATTATTCTCTTCTCTCATAGACTATGATATTACAACATTATTGAAGAGGCAATCAAAGAATATGCAGGCAAAAATGTTGGGAAAGGAGTATTACAGAGATAGGTCAGGAATTTGTTTAATTAAAATTGCTATTTTACTGAGTTTTACATATGTTTAGTGGTAGCGGTAGCTAGAGTAGACTTTGCTGGAGTCTGGGCCATTGAGATTGGTATTATTAAGGTTATGTTGGCCTCATTTGCTCTTACCTTCTGGCATACACAGGATACATCTCACTTGATTTCTCACAAGTCTTTGGTACCCATGACCACTCCCACCTTTTTACAATTTTCACTTTTGCTGGCTTCTCTGGACTCACACTGTCAATTTTCCCCTCTGGCTAACTGTTCTCAGTCATCTCTACAGAATTCTCTTCTTCTGGGTCCTTGTGTTGTTGAGGGCTTTATCCTAGGGCTTATTTTTTTCTCTCTGAGCAAGCTTGTCCACCCCCATTGCTTCAGTCCCACCTATCTGCTGACAACTGCTGATTCCACATCTCCAGCTCAGACCTCTTTCCTAGGCTCTACACCAGGAATTGGCAAACTTTTTCTGTAAAGCGATGATAACAAATATTTTATCGGCTTGCTGGTCATTGTACTGTCTCTGTCACATCTGCTCAACTCTGCTAAGGTGGTGCAAATATAGCCACAGAAAATAGTAAAAGAATGGGTGTGGCCATGTTCCAATAAAACTTGATTTATAAAAATAAGCCTGCTTCATGGGCTATAGTTTGCCAACTCCTGTTCTAAACCAGAATATTCAACTCCCTTCTGGAAATTTCCACTTGGGTTTTCTCAAGTTCCTAAACATAACATTGTCCCCAGCCAATTTCATCTTATTCCCTCCTATGCATTCCTTCTTAATGAATGATCCACTGTCCACCAGATGTCCAAGCCAGAAATTCAGGCAGCATACTTGATTTCATTCCCCACATTCAATGAGTCACAAAATCATGTCAATTCTACTTTCTCAACATCCCCCTAATCCATTCTTTTTTCTCTTTCTCCACTGCCTTCTTTCACCCCCTCTCATCTCTCACCTCCTATGACCTCCTCACTGTGCTGCAATCAGAGGGATCAAGCCACCCTTGGATTTTAAAAGCCTTCAGTAACAGTAGTCCCTGCCTTTCTTTGGCTGAAGTCTAAACTTCTTGAAACAGAGTGAGAAGCCTGCGCAATTGGACCATTTCCCCATGTTAGCCAAATTCCTCTCATCTGTCTGCTCCTCCTGCCTCTGGGACCCTGCACATATATTTCTTCTGCTTAAAGAATGTGTAGCAGGTGAAGCAACTATCTGAGGCCAGTATACCATGGGCAGTAAGAAGAATTTACCAAGACAGTTGTAGATAAAGGCAGATTTATTGAAGAAAGTATGAAAATATGTTGCAAGGCAGCAACAGGCAGGCCAGCAAGAGAGGAACTGAATGCCAAGAGACAAAGGCTTGCTGGGGGTTTTATAGGATGTTGCTTTTGCTGCGTGCTGAAGAGAGCTTTGTGCAGTACTGATAACACCAAGGTTGCAGTGGGATAACCTGCATTTTTCCATCAGCTGAGGGCCTGATGGTAGCTGGGCACAGGAAGATTGTGAGCTATTTGTGCAGGAGGGCTATGGTCCTGGACCATGAAGAAAGGCAAACTTACAGCTTATCTGCTTTCTCTTTCTTTTTTCCTCAGTGTCACCAGCCTGATTCCTTTTGCCTAATTAGGACTCCACAGAATTATTCTCCTTTCTCATCCTTCCAGCTGTCTTCTAAGTCTCAACTTGGATGTTACTTCCTCTGGGAAATGTCTCCTCACCTCTCAAGACTGTCTCTCTGTGCACCACTACAACAAATGGGACCTGGGCCACTTCACTTTTACAATTCCAGTTTACAGACCTGCATTGCCCCAAACCCATGAGACCAAAAACTCCCTGAGGGCAAAGATGGCCTCTTATTTACTCTTGATTCCCCAGCACCTAGCACAGCACTAAACACTGTACCCACTGAAAGAACATCTGAAGGATGAGAGTTTATAGCAAAAGTGGTTTCCACTGACATTCCCTTCTCTCTTCCCCAACTTTGGATTGAGGAGCCCAGGAGCTGGTCAGGTGGCAAGATAAGATGAGAAAGGAGAAGTCATTACTTGGGGCCTCTGTTTTGCTGGTGTTTTGCTGGTGTGTGGAGATGGTGGGTTTCCCTTGAATACCTGGGAGGCAGGAGCAGGCATGAACTACTCCAGCCTCTGGGTTCTGGACCCACATGGAGGGCTGCTGCTCTCTGGCACCCATCAGTCCTTAACCATCTGGTCTCCAGCCAGGGAAGGAGTGTGGTGGTGGAGAAGCCTCTCTGTCCCACCCACTCATCCCAGGAGCTCACGAGAATCAGCCAAAGTCCGAGTTCTGCACCCTGAGTTAGGAACTCTATAACTTTAGACTTTCCCTGAAATTTGGGAATTCTCTTAACTAGTATGAAAGCAGTTACATCATCCTAGGTCCTCCTAAAATAGACACATGTATCCAAATATAGGCACATGTGTTGCAAACATAACATGTATACATATATAAATATATACATATAATTTTTGTTTTGAAATAAGTATAAACACAACAAGTTACAAATATAGTACTGAGAGATCCTTGTGCCTATGGCCCCGCCTCCCTCAGGCAGTATCTTACATAACTATAGTTCATGATTACAACTGGAAAGTTGCCATTGGCACAATATCAGAAACTAGTCTGCAGACCTTGCTCAGATTTCACCAGGTTTTTTGTGCACTCATTTGCTTTCCTGAAAATATTTTAAGGTTTTTCTACATGACTTATCTCCCTGACATACTGTGAGATAAGATTTTTTTTTTCTCTGAATGAGCTTAGAGAACAATCAATGTGAGAGATGGGAAGGATGATTTGGTGCAACTCTGTTTTATCCATGGTGAGTCTGGACCTCAGAGCAGAAGGACCCTCGTCTCTCCTCTGGGGAGTCCTGGTGCCACCTCAGTGCAGGCTGCTAAGTTATCCGGGTCTGACTTTCTTCTTCTCTGCTAATATTTGTCTTAAGCATGTAACACAGCCATGCTTATTAATGATGAGGAGACAGCCAATGAAAATTAATTTTTTCAAAGATGAATAGATATCTAGATTTTTTCAAGCACAACTCAATTAAGAAAATATCACCTCACTGAGCCCCAAATGAGTTAGGTCTCACTGAGAAAGTGTCTCCTAGTG
The DNA here is from genome assembly GCF_000001405.40 of Homo sapiens. NCBI lineage: Eukaryota > Metazoa > Chordata > Mammalia > Primates > Hominidae > Homo > Homo sapiens. The sequence continues at coordinate 87,743,452 of NC_000002.12, forward strand.
CCAGGCAAAGTGCCTCATATTTGTAATCCCAGCACTTCTGGAGACTGAGATAGGAGGATCTCATGAGCCCAGGAGTTCAAGACCAGCCTGGGTAACATGGCAAAACCCTGTCCCTACAGAAAATACAAAAAAAAAAAAAAAAAAAATAGCTGTGCATGGTGGCGTGCACCTGTGGTCCCAGCTACTCTGGAGTCTGAGGTGGGAGAATCGCTTGAATCCAGGAGGTTAAGGCTACAGTGAGCTGTGTTTGTACCACCGCACTCCAGCCTGGGTGACAGAGCCAGCCTCTGTTTCCAAAAAAAAAAAAAAAAAGAAAGAAAGAAAGAAAGGAAAGGAAAATGCCCCCTAGTGGATTACGTTTTAACCACTGTGCTAACTTGAGAGATAGCCTGCTATCTCTTTACGGGACATGAGGGCTGATAAGCACCTCATTGCATGGTCCTGGGGACTGATGAACAAAGGCTAACATGTGGAAAAGAGCAACTAAAGAAAGAAGAGCCACCTCCAGGTTAATTAGTAGAAGTCTCCTCGCTGATATGCTCTCATACACTAAAACAGCAGTAAAAACAACCTGCACATTGGCATCGAGGGCACAGATAAACTTGCCGAGGACCCTTACCACGACAGAGGGATGCTTTATATGAATCCTTAGTAGATTAATTAAGTTCTTGCTATTTCCAGTTGGAAATGATACTGTCCTCTTAGGGCTATTCAGAGAAGTTCATCTTGATGAAGTGAGCTGTCCTAGAATGGCAGTTCCCGGGCAGCAGAGCCTGGGCTCAAGGAAGGTGGAAAGAGGGGGTGGCGAGGAGCTGCCAGGTGCAAATGTCAGGCCAGCAATGCAGTCCAGCTTGCATGGACGTGCATCACCTAGGAAGTTGTGACTTGGCTGCATTTTCCACTTCAGGTGAGATGGAAGGGTGAACTCTACCTCACCTCCTGGTGAGGTTGATGTTTCCTGGTGTTTATAACTTTCTTTGTAAATACTTGCAAGGAATTTACCATTTTAATGCTGGAAGAGACGTCTATTCCTTCATAAGAGGACCTGAGTGGATCTTGATTGCAGGCCTTATGCTGGGCAGAGCTAAGGAAATTCAATTTGTCTCCAATCTTATTTGAATGTTCTTTTTTTTTTTTTTTTTTTTTTTGAGACAGAGTCTTGCTCTCTCACCCAGGCTGGAGTGCAATGGCACGATCTCGGCTCACTGCAACCTCTGCCTGCTGGGTTCAAGCAATTCTCCTGCCTCAGCCTCCCCAGTATCTGGGACTACAGGAGCATGCCACCATGCCCGGCTAATTTTTTGTATTTTTAGTAGAGATGGGGTTTCACCATGCTGGCCAGGCTGGTCTCGAACTCCTGACCTCGTGATCCACCCGTCTTGGCCTCCCAAAATGCTGGGATTACGGGCATTAGCCACCGCGCCCGGCCTATTTGAACGTTCTTATGCCTGCTACAAGTGCAGCAGCAGAATCTCCACACATCTTGAGTGCGAAAGTTTCCTGTAGTTCCTTTAGCATGGAGAGGCTGGGGAAGGTTACAGACTGATTTGTACTCTTTAGACATATAGTTGATCATTGAACAACACACGTCTGAACTGTTACACACAGATTTTTTTCAATAAATGTGTTAGAAAATGTTTTGGAGTTTTGCAACAATTTGAAAAAACTCAAAGACAAACCATGCAGCTAGAAATATCAACAAAAATAGAAAAAGTTAAGTATGTCATGAATGCATAAAATGTATGTAGATACCTAGTCTATTTTATTATTTACTACCATAAAATATAACAAAACTATTGCAAAAGTTAAAATTTAGTAAAACTTATGTACACACTCACAGATCGTATATGGTGCTATTCTCAGTTGAGAGAAGTGTATACAAACATCAAGATGCAGTATTAAATTGTAACTGCATAAATTTAACCGTAGTGCATACCACAGTACGGTAATAAGTTCATAGCCTCCTCCTGTTGCTGTTGCAATGAGCTCAGGTGTTGCAAGTATCCACTTAAAACGTTCTGTGATACTCAACATTCCATCATGAGCAGGTCATCCCCAGTGAATTGCGCATCCCAGTAAAAAGTGCCCTCTCCCTGTTCACGTGTATTTTTCATCCTGTTTCGCGCTGTACTGTAAACCTTGAATAACACCATGGGATCCACATGAAGTGGCACTAGTGATGCTGGAAGTGCTCCCAACAAGCAGAGAAAAGTCATGACATTTGACATTACAAGAAAAACTTGATTTGCTTGATATGTAACAGAGACTGAGGTCTGTAGCTGGGGTTGCTTCCATTTCAGACAGATGATTCATCTTGTAAACAGGCGGTGTAAACTTACTGTATGGATAAATACATAACAGTACCATAGATGTATTTTCTCCTTAGAAACGTTTCCTTTTCTCTAGCTTACTTTATTGTAAGAATACAGTATATAATACATATAACATACAAAATACATGTTATTAACTGTTGCTGGTCAACAGCAGGCTATCAGTAGTTAAGTTTGGGGGAATCAGAATTATACCTGGATTTTCTACTGTGTACGGTCAGTGTGCCAAGCCCCCAAGTTGTTCAAGGGTCAACTGTAATCCTAAAAGAATCTAATACAATATTGTACACAGTAAGTGGTCAGTAAATAAGGAATTGAACTAAATAAGAATACATAAATCTCAGAATATGTGCAACCTGATCGTAGTACACAGAGATCTCTCTATATCTCTTTTCTCAGTTCATGCCATTATTTCAGGTAGAAAGCACCTTATTTTGAATTAGTTGTCTTTAGAGCAAAAATCCGTCTAAGAGTGCAGTGTGGTTTCCTATGCACAATCTGGAATAGTCCATTGCTTCATGCCTACCCTGGACATGAAGGGCCGTGCCACAGTGGAAGTCTCTATGCATCCACCCCTGTCTATACCTGAGCAACTCATTCCTCTTTGCTGCTCTCTTACAGGCTACAGAGTGCGGTGGCGCCAGCACAGAACTCTGCTCAATGTCCCTCTGTGCTTTCACGATGCTGATGGATTATGAAGGTAGGGAAGAATGTACAGCCAGGAGGCCATTAGGAGGGCAACTAATTTATAAAATCGCATTTGTAGAATTTAATGCATCCAACACCTACCAGGGGAAAGGTGGGCAAAAGCTATACCAACACCACCCAAGTCAAAACCAAAACAACAGGAAAAGAAAATTATGTGGATGTAGAATTTCTGATAACATCATTCCCAAGATGCCTTATCCAAGAGGAACTGCTACAATAATATTTTAAGTGGAAATAAATACATGCTGGAAGCATTATATATTAGTAGACTTTGTTTTTTTTTTTCCCCAAAGTACTTTCTCAAGCACATCAACATAAGCCCCCTAAGAGACATTTCACATTAAAAATAAAACGTCTGCCCACTGCTGGTTTCTCAATTTGCCTCCACCTTCTGTCCCCTTTAATGAACTGGGCCACGAGGTGAGTCAGAGAGGATAAAGGGAGTGGTAAGAATTTGAGGAGAGAAGAGAGTGAGGCTAGAATAGGAAATCAGGAAATGCGATTCGGTCCCCCTGTTCCTCACATGGGGCCACCCTCTTGTTGCCCAGTGTGGTTTCTTCTTGAGGGTTCTGCATGATTCCTCAATCCCAGGGAATTCCACAGGATGTTCCACCCAAGACCATTGGGCTCCCACCTCTACTCTTTTGCCAGTTAATGAATAGGCAGGAATTTCACTGCCTGGAAAGAGGAACAATGCTTTCTGGTCCTTATTTCACATCTAAAATAGAGAGGTCAATTGATTTATTGCTAAATATCTTTGAACACTAAAATAGAAGTTTTACAACATATATACTACCTGGTTGCTCTAGACTTAAGCCAGGGAAAAGTACAGATTCAACATTTAAAATTGAGATAGACGCTTTCCACTTAGTGCTACCAGTCTTGCTTTATTTCATGAGAATGAGAATATAATAATATGCCATACGTTCATTTGGGGGAAAGATTGATGTCTTATAATTTATAATTACAGAAAACATGTGAGTTCACTGGGAATAAAGAAATTTTGAAGATAATAAGATACTTTCACTTATGTCGTAATTTCTATGTCATTTGGTGTAGGATGTGGAGATATTAACATTTACACCTAACTTAAGTTTGTCATCCAGGACCTGAAAGGGTTTTGTCTATCAGCTGCACCCCTGGGTAGCGACACAACCTTGGGGAAGGCCTCAGCCCCATCCCTCGTACAGCAGGAATGAGAACAGCACTGCCTGTTGGGAAGCTTGAGGGAGGCTATGGACGTGCAGCGCTTGGCAGAGGGTCTCGTCATGGAAGGTTCCAGCAAATGTGAGATACTTTTCTGATTTCATTTTCTCCAAAAGAAAGGGAATAAAAGAAGAGGGGAGGAAATAAGACTAATTGTGAGAGATAAAGTACAAAGGTGAGGGAAGGAGTAAGGAGACATGAAGGCAGCGTGGAGCAGCTGAGGGGGGAGATTGCTTTCACCACTTCCCAGCATCTATTGCAGATTCCACCCTCAATCATTTTGTAAGGACCCTTTATTCAAGGTCATGTTTGAACCCTGCTGAGCCAGTGGCGTGGGTGTCTGAGAGAATCATTAACTTAATTTGACTATCTGGTCTGTGGATGCGTTTACTCTCATGTAAGTCAACAACATCCTGGGATTGGGACACACTTTCTGGGCACTGCTGGCCAGTCCCAAAATGGAACATAAGGAAGTGGTTCTTCTACTTCTTTTATTTCTGAAATCAGGTAAGACATAGTTTTTTTAAATTATAATAATTATTTTTTCTCCCACAATGCAGTACAAATACATATGCCATGGCTTTATGTGCAATTCATTTAATTTTTGATTCATGAAACTCCCAGTTGAAAATCTTGTATAAGATTGAGGAATTCTTCAAGAAATAAGTTTAGTTTTCCTGTGAAGATTGTCAGCGTGCTGGAATGAATGCGCAGAGAAAATAATGGGTGGTTTTTCAAATCTAAATGAGTGCACCCACATAATGGCCAGTCTAATTGAAAAAGAGCCAATGTAGCTAACTATGCAAAGGACGGCTAAGCTCTTCGCCTGGTTCTCAGTTTGACTAATTTATATAATCTCTCTTACGGTGTCATGCTCCCCTCACTTGCAAGTTAAAACAATGAAATTTCTCTTTGAATATATTCTGTTCTCTCACCAGTTCATGGTGGTGGCAGCGTCAGGGATTCAGCATTTCTCCCTTTGTTATGGCCTGAGGAAGGCTTTCCATCAGTATACGTTTGCCTCTAATCCCCGGAAAAATCACACGCATCCATTTGCCAGATGCTGTGTGCAGACAGTGATTCAACAAATACTCACTTAGTGCTTGGGTTAGGTCGCTACATTTTTACACATACATACATACCTGTGTGTGAATGTGAGTGTGAGTGTGTGTCCTTTACAAATACTAGCTTATTTAGCTCGCGGTATAGGTAGGGTAGCATATTCACCCTCATTTTATAAACAAAGAAATCTAGACAGGAAAATCATGTTATTTGCTCAGTGACCAAATTCTCAAATCTGGGAAATAAAGAAAACTGGATTTAAGCCAGGTTTCCCAGAAGGAATCTAGGGCTCTTCTCACTTTTCAGCTTTGTTTAAGCCTTTGAAATAATATTCTAAACATGTCCTAGTAGTTCTTTTTCTTTTTCTTTTTTTAAAAAAAAGCTTTATGGAGATATAATTAATGTATAGAATTCACCCATTTAGGCATACAATCCAATGGATTTCAATATATTGAGAGTTGTGCAGCCACCATCAGAATAAATTTTAAAACTATTCATACCCCCAAAAACGCACTCCACTCTCCTTAGCTGTTACCCCCGATCTGCAGCTTCTGGCAACCACTAATCTACTTTCTGTATTTATATCTTTGCCATTTTGAACATTTCATACGAACGGAATCATACGATTTGCTAGTAGTTCTTCCTGTAAATAATGTATACTTGAAATTCAATCTATAAATTACCAGATAAAATTTTACAAGTTGCACTTTAGAGTCAAATACATTTGAATTTAGTGGAAGCCATTCAAGGAGCTATCAAACAAAATACAGAGCAGGAGAAAATTAAAGAAATTTTTGTAAGAAATTGGTGTATGTTGGGGGTGTGAATATTATATTTCAATGCATGGAAACTATGACATAGATCACTGTGAACTTATTCAGTGGGCTACACCCAAAGGCTAGAACAAACTTCTCCGCCACAGGATTACCAATGTTTTAACCAACCTGGGGGGAACATTCTCTCATAAGCTCTTTTGGAAAGCCAGGCTTTCTGTGGATGTATCATCTTTCCAGTGTGCTGCAATGCCCGGGGAGAGGAAAAAGTTTCTTTTACAGCCATGCTTAGTGGGAAGTGGAGAAACATCTTCCATTTCACAAATTAAGTCTTTTACACATGCAAATATGCATACACATTCACACACCACAGTGAGGAAGAAATTCTCACACCATTAATAAAATACATTTGCATCAGTAGCAATATACATCTGCATTTTGCCTATAATATAAATGTATTTTTCCACTAAAAGATTTGATGTTTCCTTGCCAGCAAATAAGCCCTATCAAATCCTATTGCCATATGAGTCCTAGAGGTGAATAAGAGAAAAAAAAAATGGGGGAAAATTATTTCAAATTAAAAAGAAAAAAGTTTGATTCTGTTTTGGGATATTTCCTAGGGACAGGAGCTGGGGAGGGGATCTCAGCAGCGATGCGCTATGAAGTATAATAACATGACACAGAGAACTTAATTGAAGGGGGAAATAAATGGAAGTTTTCTTTTTTTGAATATCAATTGTAGCCTGCTCTGCTATACTTCAAAAAAACTCTTCAGAAAGTTTAACTGAACTCACCGTAGGACACACTTTGTGGATTTATTGTGTGTTTTGAAGTCACACTGCGAGCTATAGAATTAACCAAAACACAACTCTTCTTGGAAATGAGAGTTCAAGTTGGCAGAAAGTGCGGGGTAAAGACATGGATATGGGCCTAAAGCATCTATTTCTTTGTGATCTTTTGATACATCTCTCAAGTGCTTTTCAGTGGATTAGGTTTAGAATGCATCAGCCAACTCCTGCTCAATAATCCATTTTTCCAGCCCGGAATGTCTTAAATTGAGGAAGGACGAAGTCCCAGAGGTGGGGAGCAGGGGGACTTTGGCCGAGGACTTTGCATGAATTGATGAGCGTGCATCCTCCTCCCTGTGCTCTGTGTACCCTCAGGAGGTCAGGACGGGCCTTTCTGAGAATGAGAATCTGTTCATTTGCCTTCCTACTGGATATTTGTCATCAGCATACAAACCAGTGCGCTCTGCAGTGTGTCATCTTTCAGAACCTCCCCTGACCTCATCTTCCCTGGAGGGCTCGCTGTCTTCAGAGCCAGGCTTGTCTCCCGCTGCCGCCTCCACTGCTCTCCTCGTCACTCTATAACCCACTCCCTCTGCCTGCAGCCCCCACCACGCCCCTCAAAGTGGTCAAGGTTGTCCTGTTGTCTAATTCCATGGAGCTTGGCTATCTTCATTTTATTAGCCTCTTTTGGCCTCTTACCCCTGTGAAAATCACTAGCATTCTGTGCGAAGGATGGAGCTGGCATCTCCAGGCTTGGAATAGACCTACCAAAGCTCAGCCAGATGTCCGGAAGAGCCTCAGGACAAGGGAACACCCTGTAGCCTTGTGGTGGGAGCACAGCTGAGGCCCCCTTGGCCACCCTCTGCCACGACCAGGCAGAAAGCAGCTTTCGGACAGATTCGTTGTCTCAGATTTGATCTCAAAGAAAAACCAAGACCAGTATTTGTCCCAGGTTCTGCTTTTTTACAATTTCCTCCGAAATCCAGATACCTGTCAACACCTTGGAAAAACTGATTTCTCCCCAGTTAGTAGTGTTGTGTGACTGTCATCAGCCCAGTACAAAAATGGCCTTCTTTGTTGGGGAGCTTCTTACCCTCCAGTGTTTTGCCCAATTTTTGTCCAAGTTGGCAACATAATTTAGTTCAGTTCTTGTTTATTTCCACCATCATCTATGCACCAAAATTTATGTGTCTCAAGGAGGGACCATTCAGAGGATGCTTCCCACCAGTTCAAGTGACAGTGTCAGAACCAAAGCGCATATTGTAGGAAATCAAACAATGGCCTCCAAGTTCCATTTCTACCCAGGGATGAACAAATCAACATCAATCTTGGTAACACAACTGCCACTGATGGTGCCTTACTCTTCTCTCATGACATGGCACAATTGATAGCAAACATAAAATTTGTTCTTGTTTAAGGATTTATATCCACTAATATGGTAACATAGTAGTGGTTCCATAGTTCTAACCTGTTTATCAATCCAGTTAATCTTTTACTATCTTGCAATCTGTTAATGAAACTGTTTTTCTTTGTTTTATAATTTCAACTTTTAGAGTCAGGGGTACATGTGCAGGTTTGTTACATCACTAAATTGCGTGACACTGAGCTTTGGGGTACAAATGATTCCCATCACCCAGGTAGTGAGCTAAATACCTACTAAATAGGTAGTTTTTCAGCCCTTGCCTCGCTCCCTCTCTCCCTTCTCTGGTAGTCCCCAGTGTCTTTAGTTGCCATCTTTATTTATGTCCACATGCCCAACTGTGTGTTCTTAACTAAACATTTTGATTCATAGCTACCCATTCTACTTCCAGTAAACAGCAAGTTTTATTTGGTTAATGCTAACCAAATAGATTAAAAGGAAGTCATGACAATTAGACATTGGCATTGATTTACTGACCATTTATTCCACTTGGATCTCCCACCTCTAGGTCAAGGAGAGCCCCTGGATGACTATGTGAATACCCAGGGGCCTTCACTGTTCAGTGTCACTAAGAAGCAGCTGGGGGCAGGAAGCAGAGAAGAATGTGCAGCAAAATGTGAAGAGGACAAAGAATTCACCTGCAGGTATTTTCATCGTCGTTGCACCTACCCAGAAATCTGTAATTCAGATGGCAAGTAATTTACTCACAAATTTATTAACGATTTAAGAGGAAAGAGAAATTTATGGAGCCAGAGTTTGGAACTATATTTGCTCATAGCATGTGAAGCCATACTAACAGCTTCTTGTTAAGGTTTACTGGAGTCTTCATTAGAAAAATACCCTAAAAGGAAGTTATTTGTTTTTACACCGGACATAAACATTAGCAGTTATTGTTCTGAGCTCCAGTTTTTAACATCATCATCAGTAAATGTTTGTTGAGGATCATATGAATGAAAGTGTCCTAGATAGATCTGAGCAATGACTTATAGCTACAAGATCCAGTGCCTGCCCTTCAGTATTTAAGGTGACTGGATATAATGTTAAAAAAAAAAAAAGACAGCCTAAGTGAGCTACAGGCATAATCAATGCATGTTCTACCCAGATCCAGAAGAAAGAACAGTGCCTAAGGTTGAGGCAGCTAGAGAAGGCTCAGGGAGGAGGTGGGAACCGAGCTGGGTTTGGAGTTGAGAGAGCTCTTGAAAAGCACCAGGAAGGCAGGGGAAGATGCGGCCCTGCACTTTCTGAGGGGGACCATTAAGAGATCAAGTTGACTAAAGCAGAGACTTTGTGTAGGTGATGAGCCTGGGAAAGTAGCTATGGATGCCAGACTGAGCACCCATAGCAGGACCACGGGATGGAGATGGGAGGGGTCAGGGGCCAGGGTGGGGTGGAATGTGGGGCAGAGGTTCAGGGGAACTGATCAGAGTTGGGAGGTCATGGAGATGGACTATCTTGGGGAATGGGTTCAAAGCAACCAGAGTTGCTTCTTTCTGACCCAAAAACAAAAATTAAGAAGATGAGTGAAGAAGAAGTAAAACAGTTGAAACAGAAAGAAAGAGAAAATTATGAGGGAGGGAAGGTAAGGGCAGATAAGATTTACTGCCACGTTGGTGTATTTTGTTCAGTACTTCATCAATGCCATGCCCAAATAACTGAAAGAGGCAGCAATTCTGAGCTCTCTGGTCCCTCAAGATAGTCAATGATCTTTAGCATTTCTCATTTATTAATAAACATTTGTTTTCTTTAAATAAAGAAAAATACTTATTGGATTTCCTGCTTCGTTCTGCAGGGCATTCCAATATCACAGTAAAGAGCAACAATGTGTGATAATGGCTGAAAACAGGAAGTCCTCCATAATCATTAGGATGAGAGATGCAGTTTTATTTGAAAAGTAAAGTGAGTACATTTTCTTCCTCCTCCTCCTACTGTCCTCCCCATCCTCCCACTCTTCCTCTTTCTCTATTCTATCTTTAATTTATGAGACCAGAGGAGGAAGGCGCTATGGTGTTGTAAAATTGAATTCTGAGTTAGGACAGGATTTGATTACTAACTAACCATGTCAGCTTGAGTATATTACTTCACCTCCTAGATTTAATTTTTTTTTGTTCAAAAAATGAAAGGATTAGATTTACAAAATCACTTCTACCTCTATGACCCTGAAAATAAGATTTTTAAAATATTATTTTATATTTAACAAGGAGATGGGAAGTCTAAGCATTCCTTTTGGTCTTGGCTTCTTATTCTGCAGGGTGACCATGGTCCTTGGGCCCTAACATCTGGACGAAGCCTTGTAAAACAGAAATACTGAGGTGTTTTAATCCTCAGAAACATTTAGATTGGGACACAAATCTTATTTTTTACTCTTAAATTTTTCACATTTTGGGGGACATGGTCTATATTTTTCTCAGATTTCTGATATGTTGTCTTTTAAAAATGTGTAAAAGTTACAGTTCCTTTTCTATAGTTTATTTTAAAATGTGGGTCAATAGTCCCACTGCTTAGAATAAGAGGCACACAGGATTTCAATAGAAATTGCATGCCTTTTTAGATGTGCGAATGTTTCATTAAGCGTATGAATATTTGAAGAGATGTATGACACTTTAAAAACTGTTTCCTCTACTGTGTTGGTGGCCAGGTATTAAGACTGTTAATAATAACAATTTAGCTCTCCAAATATCCTGCATCACAGGTGTTAAAGAGGACTGGAAACACCTTAGTTCTTGTATTCTTGAGGATGATTTGCCATATTGTGTCTAGTATCACGGCAAAACTCCAAGTAGCATTTTAAATAGTATTTATTTGGGTTGGAATTATTTCTATGCATTGACTCATCTTCCTGGGTTTCATTAGCTGTACGCATTGTACTTTCTTCCTTACCACTATTTATCTCGAATTCTTGAGATTAAAGTACAGATGAAATCTAAACTTTATCTGGTAAAGTTATTAGTTCTTACAAGTAGCAAGCAAACGGTAAACTAAATAGGATGACCTAATTGTACCAGATTTAAAAAAAAAAACAAAAAACCCTGATTCTCCTGATTCTCTCTACAAAATGCTAACATTTAAATATGTCATTTGTAAATTGTTAACCAGAAGGAACATGGGAATGACTGTAGGTTGAGTTTGAAGTGTGAAGTTTGAAGGCTTAGTTTGCTTGTTTTCAAAGTGACAGAAGGGAGCAAAAGGTTATATAAACTCCGGTGGGTACATACAGTTGCTGTGGGATATTGACCTGCTGCTAACTTACCTGCCAGGGTTTTTCCAGGAACAGTCAGTGTTAGATCACGTTTACTTCTGCCACTTGCCACCAGCCACACTGCCTTCACCGAGTCCAAGACCCTATCACCACTGGTTGGGGCTACTTGTAGCTGTACACCTGATCTCGAAGAAATATAACTTCCCTGTTTAAAGCCCTTCCTAGTGCCCTTAAAATAAGACCCAAAGACTTCCCAAATGTGCCAGGGCCCGGCATTATTTACGTAACCCCCGGCTGCTGTTTGCTTGGCTTGCTAAACTTTTCTACAAAGTTTCTGGCCTTACTTCTGTTCCTTCACCACCCCAAGCACACGCCCTCCTGCCTGGGACCCTCTTCACCTTTGTCCTGCTGTGCCAGCTCCTTCTTATCGCCTAGGTGTCAGCTCAATCATCACCTCCTTTGCAAATCTTCCTTGACCCCTAGACCTCCCTTTCACAAAGTACCTTGAGTTTACACTTTGATGAGTGTCTTATGTCTACTGTAATACTATGTCCCAATGAAGATGTACTGGCAATCATAATAGGTAGTATTGGGTTAAAAGCATTAGTTTGCTGTAGGTACGTTAGGAGTACTCCCCATGTGATTGATCAGTGAATTTAAAAATGGCTAAAGTGGGTAACCTTAAATGATGGTGCAAATATACCTTAAACATTTTATATTTTCATTGAAAACACAAGTGTACTTGACACCTCTTGATGTAGAGCAGAGGCTTTTTTTCTTCGAATATGGGGTCACCAGTAGAAGGTCTCTGGTGCATTTCCTGCATAAACTATGCTCTAGTGCAACATCTACAATAATTACTTTCCTTATTTTTGAAGTGGACCATATCTCGACATTTATTAATCAATCTGCATGTGTAAAACCTTTAGATTTTTATGAATTCCTCCTCAAGCTTTATAGTCAACTATATGAGTGGATTGCCCTCTGTGGATCTGATAGCAATTTTTTAAATGATTCACGTTTCAACTTGTTAAAAACATTTAATTTAGTTAAAAACCAAACAAAAAAGAGCTTTGTTTCTTTTCACATTCATTTCTCAGTTTAGATCATCTTTAATTAAATATAAATGTAAGAAAGTTGGAAAATGCAAAGAAACGACTCGTTGTAAGCACATAACTCACGTGGGGGGAACAGACATGGGTGGGCACACTAGCAAACACCTGCCAGCTGCATGTGGACCCAGGTGGGCACCGGACTGTTTTAAACACAGGAGAGGGCCCATTGTCTAACTGGTGAGTTGGTTGAGTGGAAGCTGGTTGAGAACTTTTACTGCAAACCATTTACAGTAGACCACAATTTTATAGTCCTGTTTGGCACTTTTTCATATCACTGGGAGCCTGAAGAAATAGAAGTGGGTTGGATCTCTTTCAGCCTCGGAAAAGCCTGCCATTCCCCCATCTAAAAACCCTTTCCCCATTCTCTTACTCTGTCTCATCATGTATGTAACATGTATCCATGTATCATCATTAAGTGATCTCATTTTATATTGTTTACTTGAATATTTCCTGTAACCCCCCTGTCTGATTCCACTAGAATGTGAGCTCTATGATGGCCAAGCCTCTGGCTGCACTGTGCCCCGTGTGTCCCCAGCATCCTGGTGGGGCTCAATACACAGAGAGCTCATAAGTAGCATTTGAATACATGAATCAAAGTATGGAATGGCCCAGTTTACTGCAGCCTTTTTGCAGGTGCAAAAGATGATCTTTTAGAAAGCAGAAACAGGGGGTCTGGTGCATGAGATCTTTTTCTCAATGTGACTGTGCTGTGCAGACCTTCACGTGGTGTCTTGTGAAAGACTTTGACCACTGTGTGGACTTTCCTTCAGTGTATCTTTCAGAGTGCAAGACTGGGAATGGAAAGAACTACAGAGGGACGATGTCCAAAACAAAAAATGGCATCACCTGTCAAAAATGGAGTTCCACTTCTCCCCGCAGACCTAGGTCAGACTTTTCCTTTCATCTTTGTGTTCATCTACTGTAAAGTGTCCGTCTGTGTCTGTGAGGGATTGGTTCCAGGACCCCTGTGGCTACCAAAATCCATGCTTCTCAAGTCCCTTATGTAAAATGGTGCAGTATTTGCATATAACCTACATACCTTCTCTTGTGCAATCCCTAATATAATGTAAATGCTATGTAATCGTTGTTATACTGTATTGTTTTTATTTGTATTATGTTTTATTGTCATATTGTTATTTTCTCTCATCTTTTTCAAGTCTTTTCCATCCACAGTTGGTTGAATTTGTGGATGTGGAACCCATGGATACAGAGGGCCAACTGTATTTAGGATAATTTCATCACTTTTAATTCAAACCAGAATATGTGAATAAGCAGACAGAAAGAATCTTTTTGATGTCGATGTTCAACTATTTTTGGCACCATAGTAGAACATGGTTGCTTTCTATTTTTTCTTGGGTATGGAGGTTTCTTGAAGACCTAGAACATAGAAGAATGCCTAGTTAAAAAAAAAAATCAATGAAACTACGAGTTTTAGGCCAAATCTGAGAAAAGACCAAAGATGACTATGTTTGGGACTGAAGTAAACATATCAAGTTAGAACTCTCATCACATGTTTGACTCAAATTGTGGAGCAAAATAGTAAATAAAATATAAAAATGAAAATGAAGATACGTGAAATTCAAATGTCACAACTTGCCTATTATTTATTTTAGTGCATTTTTTTGTGCTTTTCCCAGTTTGGTGTTAGGTGGCCTTAAGTTCTCAGTAATGACACTTATCAAATAGGAACTTAGTGTTACTCACCTTTATCCATTCCCCCAACACTCAACAAATTGCCTTTGCTATATCCCTATGAGATGAGCAGATCAAATATTCCCCGTGAGTTAATGAAAACTGATTCAACCAAATGGCGAAGTCAGAGACTATCGGGGGCCATGGAGACACTCTGGGCCATTTTTATGAGGTAGTCTAGGCTCATCTTCATGAGGGAACTGAGGTCTTGGGGGGTGGGGGTTACCCAAATAGGTTCACAGAAGAACCAGAAATAAAACCTGCCTTTCTAGACTGTAAGTCTTGTGATTGTCATCTAAATGGTTGTCTCTATACAGCAACTCATCTCTAGAACTGAAAATAAGTTTAAATCCCTCCTCCATCCCCAATAATTCAAGCTGCATTTCAGAGAAAACCAGGACTTTGGAATCAGACAGATCAACTTTGAATTCTTGATCTGCTTCTTCATAGCTATTTATGCTTAGGCAAGTTTTGTTTTGTTTTGTTTTACGTTGCCACTCAGTCTTCTCATCTGTAAAACAGGGATAATAACACCTTCCTCAAATGGTTTTTTTTATTAGGACTAAAAGAGAGAATGTGTGGAAAGATGTTAGTGGAATTCCTGGCACATAGTTCACATGGACAAAATGGTGTTAACTACGAAAATTTTTACAGAGAAAAGGGCAACTGACAAAAGCAGGTGTTTGGAATGAATTAAGACCATGGCAGGCTTTTGAGGCCTTTATATTTCTCCTGACTGTGCAATAAAAATATTTTGGCTCTCTGTCTAAGACTTGGCTGTCACAGTAGCAATGGTAATATTAGCTACTGTGCCAGAAGCAGCCTATCAATAGAGAAATTGAAAATCTGACCACACAAATGCTGCAGCACCCAGCTGAAATGCATTTGGATGACAATCTCAGATGGGAATCGAGAGCATCTCCTTCTGCCTTGCTAATAGCAAGCTGATTTTTAGAATATAGTCTAAGTGCTTCTCTTCCATCCTCCCCAGATTCTCACCTGCTACACACCCCTCAGAGGGACTGGAGGAATCCAGACAACGATGCGCAGGGGCCCTGGTGCTATACTACTGATCCAGAACAGAGATATGACTACTGCGACATTCCTGAGTGTGAAGGGCAGGAGTGGCTCTAGAAAATGTTTTCATTTCTGCCCTTCACCTGTAAAATAATTTGTTGTAAAGCCCCTTCCCACAGGGATATTATTAATAATTGCGTAACGTGTTCACCTCTCGGAAAGGAGCAAAACTTTGCTCAGATCCCAGAATTAACCTGATTTTTTTTTTTTTTTCTGAGACAGAATTTTGCTCTCATTGCCCAGGCTAGAGTGCAATGGTGCGATCTCAGCTCACCACAACCTCCGCCTCCGGGTTCAAGCGATTCTCCTACCTCAGCCTCCCAAGTAGCTGGAATTACATGCATGTGCCACCATGCCTGGCTAATTTTACATTTTTAGTAGAGACAGGGTTTCTCCATGTTGGTCAGGCTGGTCTTGAACTCTCGACCTCAGGTGAGCCGCCCGCCTCAGCCTCCCAAAGTGCTGGGATTACAGGCATGAGCCACCATGCCCAGCAGACCTGAATTATTATTATTAAAATGTTACATCAACATGTACAAATATAAAACTACATCTAAACTCTAAGTACAGACTTCTTATGCTTAAAACTCTTACACAGTGTTAACCCCAAGACAGATTTGCAATTAAGTAGTTAAAATAAGACAACAAAGTCAATAAAAATCAAATAAACAATATACATTTAATGTGGTAGACTTTGCTGTTTTGCTGAAGCTAAGCAAGGAACCAGTTTTTAAATCAGCAATCCGTTATTTTAATGGACTGAGCAATTTAATAGTGCACCTCAAAGGTCAATGATAAAAACTAAAAAAAAAAAATACCTACTGAAAAAACTGTCATCGTTTCACATTTCTGGCTACGTTAGTGCAAAAGGGAATAAATAAAGGTGAGATTTGTGTGACAGTGTGGATATGGTACTGTGTGACAACTCAGTTCTCCCATCACTTCCACCTGTTTGAATCATCGGGATCCTTTATTTGTACACCATGTTATCGGTATTTGCCCTTAAGCACCACCAATGCACCACTTTTATATTAAGTCTGCCCGTTTTCCTTAGTACTCCATAAAATTTAAGTCACATATTACTCTGCCTCACCATGTTACTTCAATAATTCTGAATCAAAGTTTAAGTTTGTGAATAATTTTGCAAAAAAAGAGCCAATCATGCTTCTCAACAACATAAAAAGAGAAGCGCCGTCACTTCAGGTGAATATTGTTCTCCGTGAGGCCATGAGCATAAACAAAAACTCCAGACTAAAACCCTGAGACGGTGCCAGGTCATTCAGCAGTCAGCGGAATGATCAGTATAATTTCAAACAAAGTTTTAAAGATCATTATTGAAATGATGTATTTTGAGCTTCCTGGATCTGTTCCTTTATGTCTACCTTAGTTCATTTGGGCTGCTGTGACAAAAATATCATAAACTGGAGAGTTTATAAACAACAGAAATTTATTTCTCACCGTTCTAGGGGCTGTGATGTCCAAGACCAAGGCACTAGCAGTGTCTGGTGAGGCCCTGCTTCCTCATAGATGACACATTCTGGCTTTGTCCTCACATGGTGTCAGGGGCTAGCTAATTCCCTGGGGCTTCTTTCATAAGTGCACTAATCTCTGTCCTGAGGGTAGAGCCCTCGTAACCTGATTGACTCCCAAAAGCCCCACCTCAGTACTATCACATTGAGGATTAAGTTTCAATATAACTTTTGAGGAGACACAAACATTCAGACCATAGCTTTATCTATCATGAATTTGGGGGAATTTTCAGTCACTGTTGCTTCAAATGTTTCTTCTGTTTCTTTCTCTTTTTTTTTTTTTTTTTTGAGACAGAGTCTTGCTCTGTTGCCCAGGCTGGAGTGCAGTGGCACGATCTCAGCTCACTGCAAGCTCCTCCTCCCAGGTTCATGCCATTCTCCTGCCTCAGTCTCCCGAGTAGCTGGGACTACAGGCGCCTGCCACCACGCCCCGCTAATTTTTTGTATTTTTAGTAGAGACAGGGTTTCACCGTGTTAGCCAGGATGGTCTCGATCTCCTGACCTTGCGATCTGCCCGCCTCGGCCTCCCAAATTGCTGGCATTATAGGCGTAAGCCACCATGCCTGGCTTTCTCTTTTTCTTCTCTTTCTGGTATTTCCAAAAAGTCTCCATGTTCCACCTTTTGTAATTGTCTCACAGTTCTTGACTCTTGTTCTGTTTTTTCTTTTTCATTCTTTTCTCTCATTGTGTGTCAGCTTTTGAAGTATCTATTGACATCTCTTTGAGCTCACTGATTCTTTCATTGGCCATATCCATTCTTTTGATGAACCCATCAAAGGCATTCTTCATTTCTGTTATGGTGTTTTTTATTTCTAGTATTTCATCTTTATTTCTTCTTAGTGTTTTTATCTCTTTGCTTACATTACCCATCTGTTCTTGCATGTTATGCCATTTTTACATTAGAGCCCCTAGCATGTTAATCTTAGTTATTTTAAATTCCTGGTTGGATACTTCCGATATTTCTTTCATATCTGAGTCTGGTTCTGATGCTTGCTCTGTCTCTTCAAACTGTGGGGTTTCTTGTCTTTTAGTATGCTTTGTAATTTTTTGTTTGAGGCTGTATATGATGTACTGGGTGAAACGAACTGAGTTAAATAAGGCTTTAGTATGAGATTTTGTGTTTCTCTGGCTAGGAGTTAGGCTTTGTTTACTCTTTGCTATATAGTCATGGATGTCAGAGGCTAAAATTTCCTCTAGTGTCCTTGTGTTGTCTCCCCTGTCTTCTCTGGGGAGCTCCCTAGAGGCTTCTTTGTAAAGTAGCTCTGAGTCTTGCAGTGTCTATCCCTAATCATGGGAAAACATCAAACAAACCCATACAGCGGGACATCTGACAAAGTACCAAGTGTCAAGGATCATGGATTGAATCCTGAAACAGAGGAAGGACACTGAAGGAAAGACTGGGAAAACCTGACTGAGGTCTGGAGTTTAGTTAGTGATACTATACCAAGACGAATTTCTTAGTTTTGATAATTTGTTAACAGTTATGTTAACATTGGGGGTAGCTATGCAAGGGGTGTGAGAATGCTGTTATATCTTTAACCTTGGCCCATGGTTAAGGTGTTTCCAGTGTAAGGTCACTGTTATTCCTTGTAGTTAACATATATTTGGCACCACAGGATTCATTCTGGAATTCTCCTTGGCTTATTTATAACTTTTTTTCTAGTAGTGAGAAACCTGGCTTTCATGCAGAGTTTACAAACGCCAATTTAAACTTTTGTTTTGTCATACGCAATGATTTTATTACCTGTCTTTATTTCAGAGCTTATGAATTTTTAATTATTCTAAGGGCTAACATAGAACTTTTCCATGTTTTCTACTCTTCAAGAGTAGGTAAGACTTTAGTTTGTAATACATTACAAAAGGAATCCTGTGGTTCTCTAAGAGCTAATTTGTCTTGGCAAAAGGCCTTAGCAAGCTGTGAGTGGTGGCTCATGCCTGTAATCCCAGCACTTTGATCTGAGACGGCTGGATCACCTGAGGCCAGAAGTTTGAGACCAGTTTTGCCAACATGGCGAAACCCCATCTCTGCTAAAAATACAAAAAATTAGCCAGGCATAATGCCATGCACCTGTAGTCCCAGCTACTTGGGAGGCTGAGGCAGGAGAATCGCTTGAACCTCGGAAGTGGAGGTTGCAGTGAGCCGAGATTGTGCCACTGCACTCCAGCCTGGGAAACAGCGAGACTGTCTCAAAACAAACAAAAAAACCAAAAAACAAAAAAATTAGACGGGCGTGGTGGCATGCACCTACAGTCCCAGCTACTCAGGAGGCTGAGGCAGGAGAATCGCTTGAACCCAGGAGTTGGAGGTTGCACTGAGCAGAGATCATGCCGCTGCACTCTAGCCTGGGTGACACAGTGAGTATCCATCTCAAAACAACAACAACAACAACAACAACAAAAACAAATTAAAAAACCCAACAACAACAAAACCAGCAAACAAAAAAACTAAACAGGCTTTAGGGAAAGAGCAATCTAATTATCTGATTATATGATTGGCACTAAGATGGGAATGACTCTGGCCTGATTTCTTCAGTTTACATTTTAAAATAGGAGCTTAGTTAGCCCCCAAATAATATGTAATTGATGTATTAGCGTTGGGGAGTGAATATTTTTCAAAGCAGAAGATATTTCTCAATTCTTGCTTACTTTTAGAGGTTGAAGTTCAAGGAAGCCCCTTCCTTGGCACTGTATCCCAGGGAGGTATTTGGAGTTAATTTCAGGGCTTAGCAGTGACTCTTTAGAAAAGCAGTATACGATTGAAATGTAATGTGTTACAAATGAGATCACTACAAGTAATTTAAAAATGTGCTAGTAGTGTTTTTTTTTCTGAGACGGAGTCTCGCTCTGAAGCCCAGGCTGGAGTGCAGTGGCACGATCTCAGCTCACTGCAAGCTCCGCCTCCCGGGTTCGCGCCATTCTCCTGCCTCAGCCTCCCTAGTAGCTGGGACTACAGGCGCCTGCCAACACGTCTGGCTAATTTTTTGTATTTTTAGTAGAGACGGGGTTTCACCGTGTTAGCCAGGATGGTCTCGGTCTCCTGACCTCGTGATCCTCCCACCTCAGCCTCCCAAAGTGCTGGGATTACAGGAGTGAGCCACCACACCCAGCCTCTAGTAGTACTTTTATCAAAAGTAAATAGAAACATGAAATTAATTTTCACAATACATTTTATTTAAACTAATATGTTCACAATGTTAAAATTTCAACATGTAATCACTATAAAAACTACTAGTGAGATATTTCACATTACTTTTTTCATGTAAGCCTTTGAAATCTGGTGTGTATTTTATATTTACTGTACATCCTGATTTGGAATAACCACATTTCAATCTTTCAATAGCCACATGTGGCTAGTGGCTACTGTGTTAGAGCAGTTCTAGAACAAAGGAGTCCCTTTAAAACTATTTTGAAGTCATCGTCTATAAGGCAATATGAAAGCTGATCTGAATGATTTCTCCTTTTCCAGGAAAGGAAACAAAAATGAAATCATGTTAGGGCTGCATATTTTATGGATCCCAGGAGAAATACACAGTCTGAAAGAATGATCTCAGTCAGAAACTCAGAATGAATCATATGAATTAAACATTGGACAATGTCCAATGCTCAGCATGTGTTTTTGGTTTATACTAAGAGCATATTATGCCACCAAATACAGATATTTACTATTATACTTCGTGTAGGAGGTATATTGAGACATTGTTCTAGACTACCACAGTTCCATATTTTGTGAAAAGTTATATTGCACTTTTTTTTTTTTTGAGAGTGTGCCCAGGCTGGAGTGCAATGGCATGATCTCAGCTCACTCCAGCCTCCACCCCCCCAGGTTCAAGGGATTCTCCTGCCTCAGCCTCCCTAGTAGCTGGGATTACAGGTGGGCACCACCACATCTGGCTAATTGTTGTATTTTTAGTAGAGATGGGGTTTCGTCATGTTGGCCAGGCTGGTCTCGAACTCCTGATCTCAGGTGATGCACCTGCCTCAGCCTCCCAAAGTGTTAGGATTACAGGCGTGATCCACCATGCCCAGCCTTATATTTCACTCTTTGGGAATTGCATCTTACTGTAATCTTAAACTACACTAAAATAAATAATGTAAACCTTTTGTCAAATTGCTCAGAGTAGGTTTCTACTTTGGTTATAAGGAATAAAATTCATGCTTTTGTGTACACACTAGACATCTAAAGCAACCAACCATAGTTAACAAGCAGTGCTCTTACCAAAAGGTAACTCTTTCTAGAATCTGGCACACCATTTAATATCAGTATGAGCATATGGTGGGTTTAATAATTGTTTTCCATGTTTATAAGTTTTCTTTAGTTTTATAAGCAGTTAAAATGAATCCCTTTCACTGAAATACAATCTGTGGTGGGACTTCTAGCTTTTCTCGATCTTACGCTGCTAGATTTATGTCACTGCCATAGCTATGCAATGGGTGATATTTACACTATGCTCAAACAAAGCAACCAGAAAAACACATCATTGAATAATACAGATATTCTGAAGTCAAGCAAGCCAACTTTCATTAACAGATCAATTTCCTTAGAAAAGTTGATGAAACTAAAGACTGAAGTTCAAAGAAAAAGCCCTCTCAAGGGGGTATGAATTTCTGGTAACTTATGGGGTAAGAAAAAGAGCAAGAAACTTGAAAGTAGGGAAGAGAAAAAAGAAAAGGAGCAAGAGGGAATAGCCAGCTCTCAAAAGAGTCTCCAATAGGAAAGCAAAATCTGTATCTAGCCAGTACCAACATGTGAAGAAAGAGTGAGCATAGCAAAATTGAGAAAGGTTGCTTGAAAACCAAACAAAAAACCAAATACCTGTAATCCTAGCACTTTGGGAGGGTGAGGTGGGTGGATTGCCTGCACTCAGGAGTTCAAGACCAGCTGGGCAACATGGTGAAACCTTGTCTCTACTAAAATCCAAAAAAAAAAAAAAAAATTAGCCAGGCATGGGCTGGGCTGGGCTGTTTTCCAGGCTGGTCTCAAATTCCTGGGCTTAAGTGATCCTCCCACTTCAGCCTCACAGTGTTGGGATTACAGTCACGAGCCACTGTACCCAACCATATGTCATTCTTTAGACACACTGCTTACTAAATTTCTCTTTTTAAAGGATATACTGAATTTCCGGTTGAGCCAACTTAACAGCTAATTTTCTATTTTAGCTTTAAAACATTGATAAGCAACATGAAGCAATCTAGAACTTAACCTTTAAGTGGCTTTATTAAAGCAATCCAGCTATGAAAATTATGCAGAAATGATTATCTACAATCTTACCAGCACATAAGAAATTCTTCCTCTATTCTGAAATACCATCTTCTCACAATATACTTTGATGTTATGAATCAATGTCTGTTCTTGAACATTATTTATTGTCTTTCTCTATTAAACAATTCCAAAATAAAATTTCCAGCACAACTAAATATTGTTGATGATAAGAGGATTTTTAAAAAAGTTCTTTTAAAACAGAAGCTTATATACAACTTAGAATCTAAAACCAATAGATTTATGGTAAACCTTAAAACTGAACCAAAACAAACAAAAACCAAAGTTTTAATCATTTAAAAATCATGTTTATTGAGGTACAACTTATAGTAAAACCTGCCCTTTTCAGCGTATAGCACTGAGTCTTGACAAATGCACAGTTATGTACCACCACCGACCAAGGCCTGGCACATTTTTACCTCCTCAAAGTTCTCCCTGGCTGCTTCTCCCACTCCTTGGCAACCACTAACCTGTTTTCTGTCCTTATAGTACTGCTTTTTTCAGTGTCATATAAGTAGAATCACACTGTACATAGTATTTTGAGTCTGACCTCTGTCAACTGGCATAATGCATTTGAGAATTATCCATGTTGCTGTACTGGCAGTGCATTCTTTTTTATTGCTGAGCAGTATTCAATTGCATGGCTGTACCAGTTTGTTTATTCATTTGCCAGTTGAAGGATAACTGAGATCTTCCTCGTTTTTAGCAATTTTAAAGAAAGTTTCTATGAATAATTGTGTACAGGTTTTTAATTAAATGTTTTGGAGATATAATTCATATACCACATAATTCACCTTTTTAAAGTGCATAAGTCACTGGTTTTTAATATATTCACAAGGTTTGTGCATAGGTTTTTGTGTGAATACTGGTTTTCATTCCTCTTGGATAAAGATTTAATTTGGTATTACCCTTCCAGACACCTTTCTGTGTTTTCATACGTATATATGTATGACGGTTTGACCTTAGGCAGAGTAGCATTTTCAAAATTTTACATGGGGAAACTTTCTAGATTTAAAGCCATTTTATTTTTCTGTTCTGTCTGGTTTTATCTACGTGTTATTTACAATCTGCTGTGTAACAAATTACTACAAACTTAGTACCTTAACACATATTTATTTCACAGTTTCTGTGGGTCAGGAGATCAGAAATGGTTCTATTTCAAGGTCTCTCACAGGGCTGCAATCAAGATGTTGGCATGGCTGGGGTCTCATCTGAAGGCTGGACTGGAGAAGAATCTACTTCCAAACTTATGTGGTAGTTGGAAGAATTTAGTTCCTCAAGGCTGCTAAACTGATGGCCTGTGTTCCTTGCCTCTGGGATGGTAGCTTGCTTCAACAAAGTGTGCAAGCAGAGAAGACAGAGAGAGTCCGCTAGCAAGATAGAAGCCACAATCTCTTGTAATCTATCATTTTTGCTGTATGCTACTGGTTAAAAATAACTCATTAGGTTAGCCTACTGGCTCTCAGGGGGAAGAGATTATACAAAGGCATGAATTTCTGGAGGAGGGAATGAGGGCAAAGAACTCTGAAAAGTTTCTCTTCCACAATCTGAAGAACTTCTAGAAAGTAGAAGGAAGCAATATTGCTTAGGGATGGACAACTTGGCACTGGTTATGTGTTCCAAGTGAGGTAACCTTGTTCCCAGGAATAAAGAGAACCAGATGACTGTAAACATTTCCCTAAACTGAAATGCACTGTTGTATGTTCACCTGAAATGAATGGTGTAAGCTGAATATGAGATTTTTGACAAAATAAAAATTTTGCTGTGTTCTCAGATCTGGCAGGCTATTGTGAGGCAATGTGTCATTTTACCTTATAACGCAGAGTTGTAACATGCTACTCTGAGCAGCTCATGACATCTGCTTGAAATTTAAGTTGGGCCCCTAGTATGTGTTTATTATAAAGATTTTGATGCTGCTTTTCAGAGTTGGGTAACCTACTTTACCCCCTTAGCTAATGTTTCCCAAATACACCCAAACCCACAGAAAGGAAAACTATTCCTCATTAACTCACAGCCAACATCATAAACATTTTATATCTAGAGCTGATGATACAGTCAGGTATTTACCAACACTCATGTATATATGTAGAGTTTCAAGAAATAATTGCTTATCCTTACTAGATTCAACATATTCTAATGTTTCACATATTATTTTTATTTCTTAATTTTTTTTTTAAAGATGGGGTTTTACTCTGTTGCCCAGGCTGAAATGCAGTGGCATGACCAGGATTTCGACCAGAAGTTTGACTGCAGCCTCAAACTCCTTATAACAAAGAATCCTGCTGCCTTAGCCTCCCGAGTAGCTAGGACTATGGGCACATGCCACCAGATCTGGTATATTTTAAAATTTTTGTAGACATAGGGTCTCGCCATGTTGCCCACGCTGATTCTGAACTCCTGTTCTCAAGCAATCCTCCTGCCTGGTCTTCCCAAACTTTTGGGCTTACAGCTGTGAGTCACTGACCCCAGCTTGTATTCTTTTGATTTTAAAAAAATATTCTGAATGTGATCCACCAAATTAATTTCACCATCCACTAATAGGTAGCAACCTGAATGAAAAATACTGTTATAAACTTTACACAAAACCAGAGATTATAAACATTTGCTTCCAAGGAGAGAGGTAAAAGGTACTTGTTTGCTCTGATGGGCCCTGTTTCCTTCAGTGCCAGGAAGAGTGGCTCTCAGACCTTTCTTCTGGCATCCCTCATGTATGCAGTGTTGGTTATTATTTTCAAGGCCTTGGTAACCAAATGCCCCTAGTGTGACCAGTCAGACTGACAGTCCATATCTGTAATATGGTGGTAAGTTTCCTTTGCATGTCTTTCTTTCTGGCATCTTAGAACTTTTACCTAGGAAATTTTCTTTTTGCTTGAAGTACATCATTAAGAATTTTCAGTGAAGGCAGATTCTTAAAGTTTTTGTTTTCCAGAAGAGATCTTGGAAAATATAAAAGGTTGGCAGTTATTTCTTTTAGTACATGAGATAGTATTACACCAATGCTGTTGAGAAGTCTATTGTGAGGCAATGTGTCTTCTTTCTCTGGCTGCTTTTGAGATTTCTCTCTGTCTTTTTTAGGGGCAGTTTTACTCTTATGTGACTAGAAGTAGATTTCTTCTTTTTTTTTTAATATTGCTTGAGATTTTATTGGGTTTTTGAATCTGTGGATAGATATCCTTCAACAGTTCTGAAAGATTTCCAGCCATTCTCTTCATATATTATCTGTGCTGTATTCTTGTCTCTCCTTTTAGAACTTCGATTAGTAAAAACATGTTTGATGTCTTTTCCCACTCTTGTTTTTTGTTTCTCCCATGCTGAATTCTGTGTAATTTCTTTTGAACTATCTTGTAGTTTACATTTTTTTTTTTTTTTTTTTTTTTTTGAGATAAGAGTTTTGCTCTTGTTGCTCGGGCTGGAGTGCAATGGCACCATCTTGGCTCACTGCAACCTCTGCCTCCTGGGTTCAAGCAGTTCTCCTACCTCAGCCTCCCAAGTAGCTGGGATTACAGGCATGCACCACCACGCCCAGCTAATTTTTGTATTCTGAGTAGAGACGGGGTTTCACCATGTTGGCCAGGCTGGTCTCGAACTCCTGACCTCAGGTGATCTACCCTCCTCAGCCTCCCAAAGTGCTGGATTACAGGTGTGAGCCACCGTGCCAGGCCTTACATTCTCTCTCTTAAAGAGAAAATGTAAGGTATCTAAATCTGCTGCTAAACCATCATTGTTTTTAATTGTAATAAGGTCTCTTTTATGTACTCACATTGATAAGAGACAAGTAGGAAATAATCTTTAAAGGGCAAACTAATTTAAATGTGTTTTCCTGTCTGTTTACAGGACTTACCAAATGCACATCTTAGAGTTCTGGGTTTCTAATGTGTATCTCCTCTATGAAATTCTTTAAAAATATCTGTTCTTGGTATCCCTTAGGTTAGTCTCTTTTAGAACTTCTAAATCAATGGACCCTTAACTTATAGGAGCCACCTGGACGTTAGCAACGTCTACATTAAACATGCTGAGCTTTTAAAAGAGACCTGTTAGACATGCTGAGTATTTTGAGATAATATCATTGTTGTATTGAAAACTATTGAAAACTTTAATTTTAAAATGCAAACATTCTTAAAGTCCTGGTTAATTTTATAACTATAAAATTAGTTATAATTTTGAGATTTCTGTCTTGTTTTTTATAGGGGCAGTTTTACTCTTAGGTGACTAGAAGTAGATTTCTTCTTTTTTATAACTATAAAATTAGGTTTACTTTTGTTAGAATAAATTAAAGACAGTGAACTTGTAATTTGAATAACTACTAAAAATATACATGATGTATTCTTATTTGGGCCCTTGTGACAAAAATACTATTGTGGCTATAGAAACCTATCCTATAGTTTGAAGAACTGAGATTACTGTCAGTATTGAGAACATTCCTCCTTCATCATTAGAAAGATTATTAAAAACCAGATTCAAAGAAACTATCAATACTACTTATGAAGTATGTCTGTAAAAAAAATTAAGCCTGAATCTTATCAGGCCTCTAGACCAGGGATTCTCAAGGTATGGGCCCCAGACCAGAAGTATCAGCAACGAATTGCTAAAAATGCAGAATCTTGGGTCAGAAATT
Source organism: Homo sapiens (assembly GCF_000001405.40). NCBI lineage: Eukaryota > Metazoa > Chordata > Mammalia > Primates > Hominidae > Homo > Homo sapiens. Next base: position 87,770,220 of record NC_000002.12, read on the forward strand.
GGGGACCAGCAATTGGAATTTTAGTAAGTATACCAGATGATTCAGATGCCTGCTCAATTTTGAGGATGACTCTTATCAGTTTAGTTATTAGGATTTACAGGGGATGGGGAACATGTTAAAGAGCACCAACTAGATAAGGTCAATCAGTCAAAAGTAAGATGTCTGGACATTCTGGGCCTCCTGATGTCTTAGAAAGCACACAATACCATCTATGGTGTATTTTTGTCCACCATCCCACCCAATTGCACCTGGATCTTCCTATTTATAGGCAATTAGAACAAGCTCAGTGTTACCCTGTAATGATTAAAAACCAAATATAGGACTGCTATAGCATAAATGACCACTTTCTTCAATTAATAAGTGGCACATTAAAAATATATTTATATATGTAATTGTTATAGATAAAAAAAACAAAATGGCCGGGCGTGGTGGCTCACACCTGTAATCCCAGCACTTTGGGAGGCCAAGGCGGGCAGATGACAAGGTCAGGAGATTGAGACCATCCTGGCCAACATGGTGAAACCTCGTCTCTACTAAAAATAGAAAAATTAGCTGGCGTGCATCTGTAGTCCCAGCTACTTGGGAGGCTGACGCAGGAGAATCGCTTGAATCCGGGAGGCGGAGGTTGCAGTGAGCCATGATCGGACCACTGCACTCCAGCCAGGGTGACAGAGCAACACTACGTCTCAAACAAACAAAAACACAACAACAAAATAAAGCTTAAGGAACATCAACCAAATGCAATATATGAGCCCTATTTAGGATACTATAAAAAGACATTCACAATAACACAGGCAAAATGAACATAAACTAGGTATAGGTGACAGAGAAATCCAATAAACATTGAATTATTCACTGGGGAAAGAAATGATGTGTGGGATTTAAGTCTCTAACTCTCCCCTATTTACGCCAAAAGATTGTCCATGAGTTGAAAACCGTTAGAGATGGGTGACAACTCAAGAGAGATTATAGCGTCTTCCTTGTGCTTGTAAATGTCAAAAATAAAAGTAATTTAAAACTAAAACAAAAATGAAACCATAATTCTTAAGATGCAGCTTGAATTCAGTTAACTATAGCAGTTGTATATGAAGCATTTCAAAGAAGTTAATGACATCACAGTATTAAATCCATCTGACATGGAAACCAACTCTAACTACATCATAGTTTTTTTTTTTTTTTTTTTTTTTTTTTTTTTTGAGATGGGAGTCTCGCTCTGCCGTCAGGCTGGAGTACAGTGGCGTGACAGATCACTGCAACCTCCACCTCGTGAGTTCAAGCGACTCTCCTGCCTCAGCCTCCTGAGTAGCTGGGACTACAGGCACATGCCACCACGTCCAGCTAATTTTTGTATTTTTAGTAGAGACGAGATTTCACCATGTTGGCCAGGATAGTCTCAGTATCTTGATCTTGTGATCCGCCTGCCTCGGCCTCCCAAAGTGGTGGGATTATAGGCATGAACCACCAGTGCCTGGCCTATGGCACAGTTTTAAAACTGCATTTGCCTAGAAAGTGGACTGCTGTATATAGACCAAGTGTTGGGCTATATGACTCCATTGTCTTAGGCTATTTGGGGTTGGAGGAAGGAAGAGGGGTGAAGTAGAAAAGGAACAAGCTAATAAATGTTTTTTAAAAAGTAGAATTTAAAACAAAACCACGTTCAGCTGAACACCAGAACTCAACACCAGGATAAAAATCCAATTTTCAAAGAGCTAGAAGATCAAGCTAAGCACTTATTGTATTTTGCTGAACGTTAAAATTATATAAATGTACTACAGTTGCCTCAAGATGTTAAAAAGTCAGCTTTTCAAATCTAGTCACGGCCTACTCATATGACAGACCCAATACAAATGAGCAAAATTGAAAAGTTACACATACAGACAACTTCTCAACCACCAGGCTGTTTAGTTTAAGTTAGAAGTCAGAAGTTCTGAGACTCTCCTTTTACCCACCTTGAGCAACCGCAGCAAGTTTTCCCTTTTCTTCAGGGCTGAGCTGCAACATCGTATTTATAACAGGAAGAAGGCTCTCTCTCTCACTACCTGGCTTCAAGAAAATGAACTGCAGCAAGACGTTCTTCAAGTGTTCCACGTTAGCTGCAGACTCCTCTTGATTCCTTTCCAATCTTCTTATTTCACTTTTGAGAAGCTGGTGTTAGAGAAATGAGTTAAAAATGGGCTTTAGGAGCTTCTGATTAAATATGGCAGACTGAACTCATGTATTTTTCTTCTCTTCCCCCCAAATTTCCCCCTTCCCTCCATATGGCAATAAAGGAAGGAATTCAGTTAACTACAGCAGCTGCATGTGAAGCATTTCAAAGGAGTTTATGACATCACCGTATAAAATCCATTTGACATGAAAACCGGAACTCCAACTATGAGATAGTTTCAAAGCTGCATTTGCCTAGAAAGTGGATTGCTGCATATGAACCAAGTGTTGGGCTATATGACTCCATTGTCCTAAGCTATTTGGGGTTGGAAGGAAGAGGGGTGAAGTAGAAAAGCAACAAGCTAATACAAGAGGAGAAAAAGTAGATGAGATAACGTCAAGACATTCTCACGAGAAACAGATGAAGAGGTGGAAATGAGTCAGTCCAGCAGCTTACCAAGTATCACTGACAGGAGAGGATGCATCCTGTGTAAATACTGGAGTTCTTGTCTCAGAAGCACAGGGTATCATGGAAATGGAGTTGAAAGCTGGGGAACTGATGGAACGTCTCCATGAGGAGCAACTAACTGGAGCCATGGGTTGGTACCAAGATGTTCCCTCTGCCTTCTACTTTTGATAGAAACTAAGCCAGTATGGCATGGGGCTCTGAAAATGGGCTGAGGGGAACATCGGTAGCCTCCACTAACCCCCTGCCCCTACGCTGTTCCTGAAGTCCCAGGCAGTTAAGACGTCCACAGTGAACGGCACTTAAAAAGTTCAGACACAGTGAAAATTCAGGAATATAAGACAATGTAAAACACTATCAGAGAAATGAGGCAAAGAACGATATAAAAAAGGTAGTATCATGTTCAAGTCTTTGAGGAAGATTTCCAGGTTGAAACCAAGCCATAGCTTTTAGTATATTTTCATTTTAGGTTAGGCAAGAAAGTTAGCGAACTTTGTCCTCAAACCTAGGACCATTTAAAAAAGTGACAATAAAGAAGACGAAGAAATCATGAAGAGAGTATAAATTTATGAAAATATAACATTTGGCCAGGCGTGGTGGCTCATGCCTGTAATCCCAACACTTTGGGAGGCTGAGGCAGGCAGATCATGAGGTCAGGAGATTCAGACCGTCCTGGCCAACATGGTGAAACCGTGTCTCTAGTAAAATAAAAAAAATTAGCCGGGCATGGTGGTGCGTGCCTGCAGTCCCAGCTACTCGGGAGGCTGAGGCAGGGGAATCGCTTGAACCTGGGAGGCGGAGATTGCAGTGAGCTGAGATTGCACCACTGCACTCCAAACCTGGTGACAGAGCAAGACTATCTCAAAAAAAAAAAAAAAAGAAAATATAACATTTAAATAAGTCATTTAGGTTTACTGGGCTAGTTAGTGATTTGTTAGCTATGATAATGTTTTTATTAGTGGGAAAATGCTATTTTATAGAGATGCATACTGAAGTATTTAATGGTGGAATGTCATGATATATACAATTTACTGAAAATAACTGAATTCGGCTTTAAAATAATCTGACAAGGATAGCTAGTGGCCTTGCACAGTGGCAGGACAGATCTACTAGGAACAGCAAAGTACAGGGGAAAAGCATGTACTTTTCAGACAGCTATGAGTTTGAATTTTGTTCCACCATTTACCAGCTTCAATTTTTCTCTCAACCAGTGATGAGATTAAATAATGTATGTAGAGCCCAGGGCCTGGGTCATAAGAACTCCTCAATAAGCAGTATGACTATATTCTGAGGGGTGATTTATCAGTGAGCCAGGGTGGAAATACCTCATTTGAGTAATCCTCAACTGTTCTGCAACATTCCTAGATGTTTCTGGTGTCTACTTTAAACAGGAAAAACTTCCCATGCCACTTTGCCATCTCCACCTGAAAACTGTTTAGTAGTTCAGTACTATAAATATCAGTTGAATAATTTAAATTCACTGGTTATCTTTAGAATTCAAAGACTCACACCCATTTTTTATTTAAGCATATGTGAACAATGATTTGTGAACATCTCTCTAGTTTCTAAATCTATTACGGTTTCTTAGGAAAAGTAGGAATTAAGAAATAATCTTTATGTAATAGGTGTAAAAGAAGTATTTTGGCTGGATGCGGTGGCTCTTGCCTGTAATACCCACACTTTGGGAGGCCAAGGCAGGTGGATCACGAGGTCAGGAGATCGAGACCATCCTGGCTAACATGGTAAACCCTGTCTCTACTAAAAATACAAAGAAATTAGCCAGGCATGTTGGCGGGCACCTGTAGTCCCAGCTACTCGGGAGGCTGAGGCAGGAGAATGGCGTGAACCTGGGAGGTGGAGCTTGCAGTGAGCCGAGATCGTGCCACTGCACTCCAGCCTGGGTGACAGAGCAAGACTGTCTCAAAAAAAAAAAAAAAAAAAAAAAAAAAAGGCAATATTTATTTCTCACCATCAGGAATCTAATAATCTAATATAAAGATCAAGACGTTATAGATGCATCTGCAATGTGAATTTTTAAACTTGGGTGCATGTGTATGGAGGGTCCAGAAAACCAAACTGGCGGTTTTCACAGTGGCCAGGTTTCTGATCTCACCTTAATTTGCTCCATAAGGACTGCACTGGTTGCCTCTGTTTCCCGAAGCAGGCCGTTTAACTGATCTGCACTTTTTGTGGTGGAACTGAGCTTCTGAACCAATTCTTCTTTGGTAAATTCAGCATGCCATAATGGAGGCTCTGCAACATGTTGTTCCAAGAATTAATTTTCAAAATCATACATTACAGATGAAGATTCTAAATAAGAAAAATCTAAATATAAATATCTTACTATGTGATATTTTATAGGTCTGCTTTCTTTGCCATTCATCTATTCAACATACCTCAATCAACAGATTATATGTTGTAGGTGACACAAATAAAACAGTATCTCTGTTGTAAAGCATGTAATCTAACTGAATACAAGCCCTATGAGTCCCAGTTCTGAAATTTGTCAGAATTGTGTTTATAGACAGTTTTATTACACATCTTCTTCCCATCTATTAATATTCCAAGATTTTATGTCATTTCACGTATAAGGAAAGCATTAACATTTACTGGTCACGTATCATGTTCCCTCATAAGAATCTTCTATCAGGCGGGGTAGGTATCATTATTCAAACTTTACAGACGATGAAACAGGCTCACAGTTGACAGGTAATTTTTTCAGAAATCACAAAGTCAAATTGGCTTCTGGAGTCTGCTGCTCTATCATGATGCCTCCGTGTCACCACTATTAACTTTGCCTGAAGGAACCATGACTTGCAGTTTCTACCCCATGTGGTCAGTGACCATGAATACAAATGACCCTTACTCCAGGTGATTCTGAAGTTTCAGGAAGATGACAGATTCCCCCTAAATTTTGAACAGTAATATTAATTACAGGTAATAAAATATACCAAAACATCACTACAAAAATTTAGCATTACTTCATCAAGAGGAATAAACTGAAACTGTCAGTTTCTTGGAAGGGTGAGAGGATAGTTTATCCTGCTTTCTAATACCCACCACCTATTTGTGACTATAAACTTCCCACCACTTATTTATGGTTCAAGCCTAGGGCAAGAGCTAGCATTTTATTTTAAAAAAGATTTGTTTAATAATTTTTCCATTTGGACAGTGTGATGGTTAATACTGGGTGTCAACTTGATTGGATTAAAGGATGCAAAGTATTAATCCTGAGTGTTGTCTGTGAGGGTGTTGCCAAAGGAGATTAACATTTGAGTCAGTGGGCTGGGGAAGGCAGACCCACCCTTAACCTGGTAGGTGCCATCTAATCAGCTGCCAGCGAATATAAAGCAGGCAGAAAAACCTGAAAAGGCGAGACTGGCCTAGCCTCCCAACCTACATCTTTCTCCTGTGCTGGATGCTTCCTGCCCTTGAACATCAGACTCCTAGTTCTTCAGTTTTGGAACTTGGACTGGCTCTCGTTGCTCCTCAGTCTGCAGATGGCCTAGTGATCGTGTAAGGTAATACTTAATAAGCATCCATCCATCCATCTCATCCATCCATCCAACCATCCAATTAGCTCTGTCCCTCTAGAGAACCCTAATACAAACAGGTAGTGGAATATTGAAAGAAATTTTATTGGAGCAGCCCAAAAAAGCATATGTACCTTAGAGTAATAGTAATTAAATAAGACAGTGAAATTAAAGAAGAAGAACATATTTAGACAGAGTAACAGACCAAGTTTAGTTTCGGGAGAATTAAGCAGCTGCTCTAAAGACTGTGTGTATGTGCTGGCGGAAGACACAGACTCCGTAATCAGTTGTCTCCATGCCTTCTCCCTCTTCCCGGGTTACAGTGTGCATGTCTAGAAGCGGGAGGTCTGTGTTTCTCCTTTCTCGAAGGTTCTTCAAAGACTGCTGAGAGGAAACTGGGCCTATTAGATTTTTTTTAAAGGTTAAGTGTGAGATTGTTCAAAATCTATTGATTCGGCCTTACAGAGATACACAATAAAATGAAAATATCAAATGATAAGAGTAGAGGAATTAAGTAACTATAAGTGAAAGGTGTATGAAGAATTGCTAAAACATTTCCTAAAATTTAGTCATCAAGGCCAGGCGTGGTGGCTCAAATCTGTAATCCTAGCAGTTTGGGAGGCTAAGGTGGGTGGATCACGAGGTCAGCAAGTTCAAGACCAGCCTGGCCAAGATGGTGAAACCCTATCTCTACTAAAAATACAAAAATTAGCCAGGCACGGTGGCAGGTGCCTGTAATCCCAGCTGCTGGGGAGGCTGAGGCAGAGAATTGCTGGAAGCCAGGAGGCGGAGGTTGCAGTGAGCCAAGATCATGCCACTGCACTCCAGCCTGGCGACAGAGCGAGACTCCAGCTCAAAAAAACAAACAAACAAACAAAAAAAAACTTAGTCATCAAACTTTTAACTACGTTAGTCATTTTAATAGCAGCTATAAATTAATTGCTACTAGCTAAGATAAACTGTTAGATAACACAGCTCATAATATAGTACTACTTATTTTTTATTAATTTAGAGTAGAGGGCCAAACTACTGCTAAATACTGGCCAAAATTAAAAGACTAGATTCTAGCAATTTTTCAGGATTAGGTATTTCAGATTGCGGCATACTTCTTGAAACACACTTGCCGAAATCTGCTTGGTAGACATCCTCAATCACTGCCCTTATACCTTTACCTCTGCAGCTTCTTAATTGTTGCTGCTCACACCTACAGTGCTCATACAGTTAAGAGCCCAGAATCCAGGGCACAGAACTAATCAATTACGTTGCCTAGCAAGACTTTCCTGTTTGCTGATAAACTATATTTTTTCTGAGACAGGGTCTCACTCTGTCACACAGGTTGGAGTGCAGTGGCACGATCTTGGCTCACAGCAACCTCTGCCTCCCAGGCTCAAGCCATCCTCCCACCTCAGCCCCACAAGTAGCTGGGACTTCCAGGTGCATGCCATCCCGCCCAGATAATTTTTGTACTTTTAATAGAGATGGGATTTCACCATGTTGTTCAGACTGGTCTCAAACTCCTGGCCTCATGTGATCCACCCGCCTTGGCCTCCCAAAGTGCTGAGATTGCAGGGGTGAGACACCACGCCTGGTCTAAACTGTAAAGTTTATCGGGCCCTTTGACATGTATTGGTTTATTGACTCCCAAAAATCTGAAGTTCAGAGAAATTTAATGACTTTGCCCAAGGTCTCATAACTGAGTTAGAAACCAGAATTGTAATCTAGATTTTTAAACTTCAGATTTCATTTATTTTGCATTTCATTAAATTGCCTTAGTCCTGACTGCCCTTTCTAAAGCATTTTCCTGGGTTTCTGGTAAGCTGACTGCTTATTCCACTGCTGATTGCTAGATTACAATCTCTTGTGCGACCTTTGCCCTGGCTGATTACTTCCTTTGTTGATTCTTTGGCATATGTTAAATTCTTCTGAAGTTGCTTTTTTACCCTAATAAGTGACCGATAGCTGCTAATGCTCCAGTGACAATATTTCCCATGGGAAACCAAAACACCATCAACTTGCTACTAAAATACTGCATCATCATGGCTGACATTTTTCCATTTCTTCCTGGAAGCAGAATGGAAGATACTGGGTACGGCTGAACTAAAACTCCAACTAATTGTAAATATGAAAGCAAAGAAGCTATATTGGTTATGCAATTCTACACATTCAGTGCTGCTTGAGTGTTTCTAAGTTCCTTGCTCTAGCTAATGTTTCTATTTAAAAAGTAGACAAATTTGATGACTAACAACGGAGAACACGAAACAAATCTGGTGAATACCAGAATTAAGACATGTGTCAGCCAGGCGCAGTGGCTCATGCCTGTAATCCCAGCACTTTGGGAGGCCGAGGCGGGTGGATCACGAGGTCAGGAGACCGAGACTATCTGAGGGAGAATCTTCAGGTTTTTTCTTCTCTTTTGCTGTAACACCAGTCAAAAAAATTGACAAAGATAAGGTATTAAGTATTGACGTTAATACTCTACCTGAAAATAAAAACCATGGAACCTATCTATAGGTTAAAACAGCATACTGATAAAAAACACATATACTTTGATGCAGAGATGTACGATAATCATGAATTAGAATTAGCATCCTGATTTAGTTTTCTACCAAAAACCCTAAGTGAACACAGAATCTATTTAAAACGAAAGAAAACAAAAAAATCTTGTGTTTACTTAATAGTCATTGAAAAGAATTACTACAAATTTCTAGAATTTAAAAAGGTTAAAAATTTTAAAGTGTTGCCTAACTATACTTAGCATACAATAGTTTACCAAAATATCCATGCATTTGCAGCAATTGAAAAAAATCTTAAAACATAAGCAAGTATTAGTATACATATGAAACTAATCCAAAGCCAACTGTGATTAGTTCCTGTAAGGAAAGTTAACAATTGCCAAGAATGGAAGGTGACTAGAGTTGCATCTAGTTTGCCTGTGTTCAAGCATGATACTAGATAAAATTAAATAAAAACTGTTACTCTATGGGTAGCTAACACTATAAAATCTAAGACCATTCATATGGCTGAAAACAACCCATCCCCAGCCACCATCAATGCAAAGGGCAAAAAATTAGAAACAGAAAAAACTTCTATATGCAACCTGTTCTGATCTATTAATGTAAAGAACAACTTCTGGCTAAAGGAGTTTAATAAAGTAAGCCAGTTATGAAGCATGCCATGTATACCAACTGGTGACAGGGAAACATTCTGAGAGCTATGGTGTCCAATATGGTAGCCTAGCCACATTCTATTAAAACCTCACAAGGTGGCTAGTCCAAATCAAGACATGCTAACAGTAAGTGTAAACACACACACTGGATTTTGAAGACTTGGTGAAAAACAATAATGTAAAATATCATTAATTTTTATATTAATTAGAAGTTAAAATGATATTTTGGACATAATGAGTTAAATCAAATCTATCGATAAAGTTACTTTCATCTGTTTCCCTTTTTAACTGTTTCTTTTTATTCTTTTTAATATGGCTACTAGAAAATTTATTTATTTATGTATTTATTTGAGATGCGGTCTTGCTTTGTCACCCAGAGCTGGAGTGCAGTGATGTGATCATAGTTCACTGAAGCCTGGAACTTGTGGGCTCAAGTGATCCCTCTGCCTCAGCCTCCCAAGTAACTGGGATTATAGGCACAAGCCATTGCACCAAATGACAATTTTAAATTACATACACAGGTTATATTTTATTTCTATTGGATGACACTGCTCTGCAGAACCAGTGCCCTTCCTTTTACAATGTTAAATTTGTCCCTCTCCTTCATTATAAACGAAAACCTAGTATCATTTCCTAGCTAGGAGAAATAACAGTACACCGTAAGATACAGATTCTTGTTCCACTTCTGCTATTACTCAGTAAAGACCTCTTGGGTAAATCAGATAGCCTCTCTTGGCCTCAGTTTACTCATGTCTAAAGTCTTCATTTCTAAGGTCCCTTGGGACAATGACATTATCAGATTCAAAACAGAATAAGGCTCTATGTTCTACAGTAGTGTATAGGCACATTCGTTCTTAGGTCAGGGATTCCTAACCTAGAGCTCACAGAAACTGTACGCAAGTATACATCCACTTTTAAGTTAACACTTTTCACATTTCTCAAAGACCGTATCTTTAAAATAAAAGATTAAGAGCTACCTTAGCTGGTAATAAAACTGGTATACTTAAAAAAAAATCAGAGATTGTTATTTTATCATTGTACTTGTTTGGCATGGCTAAGATGTGTTACTGGTCACTAAGGGTGAGGTTTCACTTCCCTAACCTGTTCTTGAAGGCCTTCAACAGATCCCACTTCTTGTTCCACTCTAGTAGCCACACTTCTAAAAATGATCTGTGCAACATATATAATATGCAAGCTGTAGAATGCTGGCTGTTAAAAATGGGGTCCATTTTCAAATACAACATTTTTCTAAACCATGCACAAAAGAACAGCCCTACAGGGACACTCTTCCATACTGTATACATGCCGTTGCCACTACATGTGAATACTGGCAGACGTTAGTGGCTAAAGATAAACATTAGATAAAACATAGGTCTTCACTGAGCAGACCTGAAATAGCAGAGCAATGAAGTACATTACAAATCAGCATCCCAGTACATTTTAAAAAACAAACCAACAAGGGTGTCATGCCACCAGTCAAAAGGTACTTTGCTTAAACTGGCATTCTTTAACATTCATGTTGTAGTGGTAAGTACTTCATTTCATACAGCCACAGTTATTAATACTTTCCTAAGGGCTACCAGCTGCTAAAAACTGCTGTTATCTCATACTGAGAATGCTAGTTCTATACCTTTGCTCTCAGGCTGTGAGGAAGGGGTGCTAGTCCAAAAGGCCATGGGATTAGATTTAAAAAGGCTAAAATTAAATCCTAGAAAATAAAGAATATTTCATTTTTTAACATTTTAGGAAACAAAATGAATATGCTTTTAAAACATAAAAAGCCAGAATCCCTCAATTTATACCACCAATCTGACTGTCTTACATATTCATTTATCCCTGTAGTTTCATTCTTTGCTCATTTAATACATGAGCAAGACTGACATACAACACATAAAATGAGAACATCTCAATATCATGGTTTTTTTTGTTTTTTTGTTTTTTTTTTTTTTTTTGGAGACAAAGTCTCACTCAGTCAGGCTGGAGTGCAGTGGCATGATTTCAGCTCACTGCTACCTCCATCTCCTGTGCTCAAGCGATCCACCTGCCTCAACCTCCTGAGTAGCTGCTAATTATAGGCACGCACCACCACGCCCGGCTCATTTTTGTATTTTCAGTAGAAACAGGGTTTCACCACATTGGCCAGGCTGGTCTCGAACTCCTGAGCTCAAGTGATCTGCCCACCTCAACCTCCCAAAGTGCTGGCATTCTAGGAGTGAGCCACCGTGCCCAGCCTCAATATCATGTTTTCTGAGTGACAAAAGAAACAGAACAAATGAAAATGAACACTTTAAAAAAAGACTCACGTTAATGCGCATGATTCAAGCATGAGTCCGTACACTGTACCAAGTTCTTTTGCTCTGCCCTAGCATGATAGAAGTATCTTCCAGTTACTGAAATGTCTTTAACTAAGTTCTCTTGCTCTTTGAAACCTCACCGTGAACTTATTAAGGGAGAAAAAAAATTGCTCAAATATTTTGGGGGTGTTCACAAAGCATCGTTTATATCCCAACATTAGTATCCCACAAAGAGTCTGCATCAAGCTAAACATTAAAAGAAAGAAAAATTGTGCTTAACTTTAACAACAAAGTACCTACCCTTTTCTGGTGTTTTAAATGTGTAGTTGATTGAAGATTCTTCCATTGGAAAGGAAGCAGAGAGATTTTTGACTTTGCTATCTGAAGACTGTTCGATATCAGAGTTCTTTGACAGTTCACATTTTTTAGGTTCCACTTTGCTTTCAGATCCACTCTGGGCTACTGAACTAGTTTCACTATCGTTACTTTTCAAAGGTGCATTAAAACTAAATCCAAACAAAGACCCAGTGGCAGAACTGTTGCCAAATGCAAATGGGTTTGATTTTTCACTACTAAAAATTCTTTTAACAGACTCTGAACCAAATACAAACTTTGGAGGAGAAACCACTGCTTTTGTTGTTGTTTCAGATGTGCTAGACACTTCAACTTCTGAAGCTGCATCTGCTACATCATCACCCTGAATAACATCTGTCCTCTCTCTTGTGGTTTCTTCTAATACAGCTACAGCAATTTTGCCACATGGTGACTCTCTGGGAGTGCTTGACCGAGAAACATGAGGTGTTATCAAAGAATCTTTTTCCTGGGCTGTTTTTGCTTCATCAAAAATTTTCTTAAATGAGTCTGCAACATCCTGTAGTTTAAAACGAACAGCTAAATGCTCTACTTTTCTTTCTCCATCTGCAAAATCACATGCAGTCCACACCCATACTCTTTCTGTCCCTTTCATATTTTGCAAACTCATGTCTGGAGTTATTCTGTGATTGGCACAAAGTTTTAATACTTGGTCCCTTCTCATCACTATACGAACTTGCTTATTATCATAATTCTGTAAAATCTTTATATCACCAATGCCCCTTTCTTTCCATTGACCAACATCTTTATCATATCTGTAGAGTTCTGCCATGTGACTAAAAACAACTTGTTCATTTTCCTCACCACTGGATACTTCAACTAGATCAGGTAAAGGAACAACAGGTTCAAAGTACTGTCCATCTCTCTCTTCTTCTTGAGTAACATCAGATTCTTCATCAGTGCCAACTGAAGTCCCACTCTGATTCAACTTGGCAGGAGACTTAGATAGACTCAAAGCAGATTTAAAACTGAAGTTAAATCCTGTTGTTGACTCATCAAAGCGGAAAATATTTTTTCTCACAGGGCTACTTGCCAACGGAGAATCATGTACTGAGCTACTACTAACATTATCATCCAAAGCATCTTCCCTTAAATCATAGTTATCCCATTCTAATGTGGGCCCAGTGTTTTCAGGATTGGGTTTTATTGTTGTGTCTGAGGCACCGGCTGCACCTGTACCTGAACCCTTATTTTCTTCCTCAGTGACTTTTGTTTGATCATTTGTCAAAAACGTTTTGAAATCTTTCAGTCCACTCTTCATTTCTTCAGCTCTCTGTATTAGCTTGGCAGCTCTGCCAGTATCTACAAGTTTATGGGGAGTTTGAAGTGGTATGTCTAACAGAAGCCGCTGGCATTCCTCAAATTTCTGCTTGAATTCTTCAGCCAGCTCTGGTGTTTTAAATTGTGCTGCCAACCGCTCTAGTTTGGCATCACCATCAGAGAAATCACTGGCTAACCACATCCATGCTCTATCTGATCCAGAGAGGGGCTTCAGGTTCATTGTAGTTGTTATCCAATGATTAGCACACACTTTTAGTACTTGGTCTCTTCGCATCAGCATTCTTGGTTTGCCATTGACCTCATTTTTGAGAATTTTTAAGTTCCCCAAGCCCCTTTCTTTCCACTGACTTATCTCAGCATCAAATCTAAATAGTTTTACCCCCTGTGAATACAGAACTTTTTCACCTTCTTCTCCTGTTACAAGTTCTACTTTTTCAGGCATTTGAACTACTGGTTCAAAATGGATGTCATCGCTGTCCTCAGTCTTACAGGCATCATCATCTTTCTCAAAGTCACCGGAAGTGTTTGCTTTATTGGCCATTTTACCGCATTGTGATGAGAATAATTTTTCTCCAGCACCTGAAAATCCCTTGAAATTGGGGTCTTTTTTGCCAAACTGAAATCCTTCTCCTGAAGTTGATTTTGCAACATCTGCAAATGTAAAAGTGCTACTTGTTTGGCCAAAAATCACACCACGGCCATTCTTCTGGCCACTAATATCCTGAGCCTGGAAGCCAGTATCATTTTCAAGAGGCTTTTCACTTTTCTTTTCTTGATTTCCTGGTTCCGAAATGCCAAATTTAAATCCATCAGCAGACACAGCGATGGAAAATCCTTCTTTGGTTGACTTAAATTCTGTATTAGAAGAACCCTGAAACATAAATGAAGGTGAATTTTCTTGATCCACATGCCCAAAATAGTCATGAAATAAATACCTTCTTCATTCCTAAACAATTTATCAAATGATGTTAACAATAATGATGATGATGATGATGATAACATTTATTGAGCATTTATTAATGTGCCAGCTGGGCACTGTTCTAAGCACTTTACATTATTATCTCATTTTAATATCCTCAAAAACCCTATGAATTAAGGTATTATTATTACCCTCATTTCACATATGAGGCAACTGATGCATTGAGAGGTTAAGAAACTTGCCTGTGGTCAAAATAAGCAGAAGAACAAGGGTCTAAATGCACCCCAACACTCTGTCCTCAAAGCTGTCACATTCAACTACCACTGTAATATTGAGTCTTCAATCAATTGTTATATATATAGCTGTATCAGGCCTGAAAGTACTTACCACATAGTGGGTCAGCAAGGGCATTACAGTTCTATTTCTGTTAAAACAGAACGATGAAGGATCCACCACCACCACTCCCATTTTTAAAATATTCTAAATATTCACACTTATTAACACAAAAATAAGGTGACTAAGAAGGATAATTTCTGTATTTGGAGATAAATTTAAAATATCTACATTTTAAGGGACATAAAAGTTTTAATAGTGAACTGCTCTCTTGAATTTATTTGAAGGAACCCTAAACAATTTAAAAAGAAAATAATTATAAATGTATAAATTATTCCTTTGTTACCTTTGTGGGAGTAACATTAGCTGCTGGTCTGAGAAGATACTGGGAATTATATGCTGGTGACTGACTATAATATACTGAAGGGCCAGTAGTTGCAACTAAAAAAAAAAAAAGAAAAGAAAGAAAACACTGTTAAAGTCTATACTACAGTTAAGACTATCTAGGCAAGAGCTATAAATACAAAAGCAATAGAAATTAAAGAAAGATTTAACTACATAAATTTTAAATTTCTGTACATCAAAATATACCAATCAAGATTATCAAATGACAAACTAGAAAAAAATTGCTAAATATGACATGAAGAATAAGAGAATAGCATCGCTGTGATCAACAAGAACTACCTCACAAGCATTAAAAAAGGAATAAAGGAGAAAGTAACTGTTGCCTTTTCTAAGAAAGATCAGTATGATGTGGAATTATGGACATTCAGTCACAGAAAGGACGTAAGGAACCAAGATGCCATCTGATGGTCAATGCATTTGAAGTGGGCCTAGAAAATCTGCAGAAAGACTAGGTTGTATTTTGTAAACTAAAGCTATTACTGAGAATGTTCAGCTCAAAAATCACCTGACAAATTCATGGAAAGGATGTCATAAATAACATAAAATGTGTTCCCTGGCTTAAAATAAAAAGCACATCAACACTCATACAGATGTACAAACTGTCTGCTCCCTCTGTTTGGTCTGTTTTACCAGGAAACAAAACGACTAGAAGGCACCCATGTTAATGACAAAACTACCAATAGTCATTTGCTTGAACTGTTTTATGATAGTTTTACCAGAAAACAACCAAAAGACCTTTTATGCCTGTACATGGAAGAAGAAACAGAAACTGTGCCAAGAGGTTCCAAACAATTGCCTCTGGAAAGCACTGAAAAATCAAGACCTAGAAAAGGCTAGCCAGAAGCCCAAGTTTGATTTTGGAAACCTTACAGAGGTGAGGATAACTATTTTGAAATTACTATGGGGAGGAAGCAGGCACAGAACACAGAACAACCTGACAGAAATGGCCCAAGAATCTTAAAGTCTTGCAAAATGTCTGTCTGCATGAAAGCAAAAAGAAAAAATAAAATATTAAATAAAAAAAAAATCTTAGTCTGAAGTTTAAGTAGGGACTTTAATTGACTACTGACTCTAAACTGTGAGGCTCTAATAAATATACTAAAAGTAATCTAATTTTTTAAAGCACCATATGAATAGACAATTTAGGAAAGAAATGTTAATAGGCCTCAAGGAACATGTTTTTGAAGTGAGCCTTGAAAATCTGCAAAATGACAAGGTTGCATTGTGCAAATTGAAGCTATTATGAGAATGTTCAAGTCAAAAAAATTACCTGACAAATTCATGCACAGGATCTCACAAGGAACACAAATGTGTTCGTTGGCTTTAAAAAAATCACATTAACATTCATGTTGATATACAAAAACTCTTCTCCATCTGTTTTGTGTGAGTTTTACCAAGAAACCAAACAACTGGAAGGTACCCACGTTGAAGATGGCAAAACTACCAACTGCCATTTGCATGAATTGTTGAGCATGACTAGTATTAAAAAAACTTAAAAATTGATATAACTTTTGTTCCTACAAATTGGCAAAGGATTTTATAAACTAGTAAGTCAGCATTAGCAAAAGTGCGAAAATGGCACTATCAGATACTAGTGGTAAGAGCATAAACTGAATATTTTGAATACCCTACAAAACTAGGACAGTGTCCTAGAATTTGTAATGGCATAAACCAGAAACAACATAAATAAAGGAACAGAATTTACAGTACTTCCATGTGATGGGACACCATGAACTCATTAATATTCAAAAAACATTTAAGTTTAAAAATGCTCAGAACTAAAGTAACATTTAAAAAACAGGCTAGCTCATCTACACACAACATAGTAACATGGTAACAATCTCATAAAAAATACTATATGTATAGAGAAAGAACCAGAAGGAAATGCTCTCAAATATAAGAAATGTTAATAAGGTGGTTAGTTTTTAGTTTTCTTCACCCTGTTCAGTACTTCTGAGTATCTCCTATGAGCTCATTAATCTTTAATTTTAATCATCTTATTTTAAAAAAACAAGGACCATCTTGATATATGTTTACTTTTATTAAGGAAAAAGAATCTATGAACACAGGAACAGAAATCAGGAGATCTTGGCTCTCGCCCTTTCAGTGCCACAAAGCTGTTTTGTGAACCTGTAAATAATCCATTTGGAGTCTCCATGTTTCTCAATTGTAAAATGAGGATATGCTGCTTCTACACATTTCACAGGGTCATTGCAAGAATAAAATGAGACAATGAGAATGTTGGATTTACATGCTTGTATAAGAACAGAAGACCTTTTATGCCTGTACACAGAAGAAATGGAAATCATGACCCACAAGGCACCAAATAACTGACTGCACACGTCACTAAAAAAGCCCCAGGAAAGGCTAGCCGGTTTGTTTATCCTCTTACAAGGACCTATATGATGTGTAAGGTTTTAAGAAAACAAGGTTTGAACGTTAGACATTTCATATACTTATCTATGACTTACGACATTTAATAAGCTTGACTTCACAAAGATTTTCTGTTATTTTGCTTGTGTTGAGAAGATACTATCACAAAAGGCTAGTGGGGTTGCCTTAACTATAGGAACCATCACACAAATGTGCTCATCTAAACTAGATTTTATTCTAAATCTTTCCTGGGCTAAAAAGAGAAAAAAAAAAGGGCACTACTACTACCATTTCAGAAGTCTGTCGTACGTAAAAGGAACAATTTTTTTATTTCTGGCTGCCTGGGAGCAATGTATTATACTGGCAAGTGCTTTGGAGTTACACCACTGGAGTGTGAATCTCGGCTCTATCAATAACTAGCTGTATAATAATGAGTAAGTTACCTAACCTTTCTTTATCCATTTCCTTATTTATAAAAAAGGGATTAATAATGGTACCGGCCATTCTAAGTTACTGTAATTAAATCAAATTACATTCACAAAGCACTTTTGCACATAGCCAACCCACAGTAAACACTATTAGTAACCTTAGTTCATTAACTGTTTACTGTATACTCTAATAAATGTCTGATACACACCCACGCCCACCTGCACATACACAAATGCTCATAGTAATTATGTAAGGCAAGTATTATCTCCACATTTCAGACAGGTTAACTTACACAGCTATTATAGTAAGTGATAGAGCAGAACTTAAAAACCCTGTATGATTCAGGTCCAAACTCCTTTTCTTTCTTTATATAACCATAATATTTCAAATTAAGTAAGATTTCCTATATAACGTCCTGCCTCTCATCATTATCATCAAAATAATTCCCCAGAGGTGTAGGTTCTTAATTAAGCATTTCTTAGTGCATAACTCTATTCAATAACATTTTTCAATTTAAGGAATAATCTCATCTCAGCTCATCTGAGGTGTGGATTAAGTGTTCTTTAAGCCTTTATATACACGTGATCACATACGGCTCGTTTTTTCTGCTTGGGATTATAAAAATCTCCGTAACACCAAATACAGCTTTTGAAGTCACATATAAACAGACGTTGACATGTATATTAACAAACATATATAAACAAGGTGATTTCACACGTTATCTACTTAAAAGAGGGAAGTAAAGTAGTTTTACTAAAATATGCGATTATGCACTTGCCAGCTCACCTGTTAGTGGAGCCCCATGAAATGTCTGTGACCCCTGATATCCATCAGGCACCGAGTCTGGTCCATAATTCTCTGTGGGCCAACGATGACGGGATGCTGACTTACTGCTATTTAGTTTCTATTGGAAGAAAAAAAAATCAAATAATTTTAATCATTTAATTATATCATGCCAGAAACAGTGCTGGGGAAACTTACTCTTTTAAATTTAAATAACTGATTTTTTCTTTTTTTCTTTTTTGAGATGGTGTCTCGATCTGTCATCCAGGCTGGAGTGCAATGGCACAATCTTGGCTCACCGCAACCTCCACCTCCTGGGCTCAAGCAATTCTCCCACCTCAGCCTCCCGAGTAGCTGGGATTACAGGCGTCAGCCAGCACACCCGGCTAATTTTTTGTATAATAGTAGAGATGGGGTTTCACCATGTTTGCCAGGCTAGTCTTGAACTCCTGACCTCAAGTGATCCAACACCTCAGCCTCCCAAAGTGCTGGGATTATAGGTGTGACCCACCACGCCCGGACCTGATTATATCTTTTGAAAGTTTCTATTTGCCAATGAGTTCTAGGTACCTGGTGCTGATTTTAAAATATGATTCTTAATTTGTTAAAAATTTATCTGCTCCCATTTTCATTCGTTAATACAAAACCTAATTCATTAACTCTCTCACCTAAACAAATAACCTCCTAAATGATCACACCTTCATTTCCATTCTACACTTGCCTACATTAACCTTTCTGACATTCACCTCCAGCCAAGACAATTCCCTGCTCAAAAAAACAAGTACCTACAAACTAAACTTCTTTCCCCAACTTTCACAGTCCTCTAACATTACACTGACCATCCTTTCAGTGTGTTCTTTCTATACTGCAATCTGGACTACCTGACATTCCAAATCACCTCCCCAAATTAGCTTTTCACTTAACCCCATGCTGAAACAAAATACAACTAATTCTCCAGGTGACGTTCAAATGCTCCACCAGGAAAGGGAAAAAAGCAGTAGCTGCAGATAATTTATTATGTATATAATAATACGTCCAATGCACTTAAACTCTTAATTTTTATACTATCTACACTGTTAGGTAAACAATATTAGCTCCTATCTTAAAATGAGAGAAAGGGATGCAGGGAATAACAGCTGGAATTTGAACCACATCTGACTCCAAAAATGTTCTCTTAACACAACTCTGCTGCCTTGACAAGATGGCAGATAGATACAATGCCGTCTAGTGTAGCTATGTGGCTACCTGATCTCTGCTGAAGAAAACTAAATGACAGCACCATACCCAACCCTAGAACCTACAAAATGTCCCCTTACAAAACAGACACTTAACAGGAAATTCTTTTTCCAAAGAAATTGTAGTGGTATCAGAAAACAGGTAAATTTTGAAAAGTTTCAAACTTCTCTGTATCAGCCCAGGAATCCGACCAGTTCTAACAAGTGAGGTCAGGGACAGATCTAGCATGTCTGCTTTCTTTTTCTACAAGTGTTTCAAATAAAAATTTCCCAGAAAGACCTAACCATGAGGTCCAAAACTATCTCAATTTTCAAGCTAAATAAAATTTCCCCCACTCATCCATCTACAGTGCCTAGTCCAGATGCTACACATACACATCCAAGAAATAAGAAACTAGTGGAATCACCTAGAAAACTTTATGGTCACTGTTGGTATCCGCACCAGAGCTTTGAATTTGCAATCACTGCTGTAACTGTAATTTTTAACATTCAGTGTAATGAGAACTGGCTTCAATAATTCTCTCATTTTAAAGATAAGAAGCCAGTCACGAAGGAAGTGACTGGCCCAAGATCATTAATTAATGGCAGAGTCAGTACTAGTACCAAGCTTTTCAAGCTCATGGACTAGTGCTCCACTATACTTCCACAGAATACAATGTTGGGAGCCTGAAACCTGTATGTTAAGTCAAAATTGTATGTAATTGTCATAGGCCATGACTACACAGAATTAACATTCAAGATTTTTGTGCAAATTCAAAAATGTCTTCCCCACCAAATAGTATTCTCTTAATTTGCAAATACTGCTGATCACACTGTAATAATCGCCACACATCAGCATATCCTTGATGTAACTTTAGCAGTATAATTTAGTTCTTGCCTGATAAACATGAAAGAACCTACTTTTATTTCCAATTCCAAAAAAGTCAAGCTCCTTTGAACCCTATTGTTAAAATAAGATATATATACATAACTATTTCCTTACATAATTAAGTCAAATTCATATGGAAGTATTAAAATATAGCAAGACTTTTTGAAGCTCAGACCACTTTTCAATTCCTAGCTATACATTTGAAACACATGTAATCCACAGCTAATCTGAGAATGAACTCATAGACCAGAGTATGATTAGTACACTGTAGCAGTTCAATCACTCGGGAACCTTCTCTGTGTCAGGAACTCTTATATTTTAAATAAAACAGTTTCTACCTTTGAAGGTCTCAAATTTTGTGGAAGATGAGGAGAGAGACACATAAAGTACTTTCAAAAATATAGTAAAGGGCTGGGTGTGGTGGTTTACACCTGTAATCCCAGCACTTTGGGAGGCCAAGGCGGGCAGATCGCCTGAGGTCAGAAGTTCAAAACCAGCCTGGCCAACATGGTGAAACTCTGTGTCTACTAAAAATACAAAAATTAGCTGGTCCTGGTGGCGGGTGCCTGTAATCCCAGCTACTCAGGAGGCTGAGGCAGGAGAGTCGCTTGAACCTGGGAGGTGGAGGTTGCAGTGAGCCAAGATCGCACCATTGCACTCCAGACTGGGCAACAGAGTGAGACTCCATCTCAAAACAAAACAAAACAAAATATGGTAAAGGGTCAAGACCAAGGTATGTAGGCTGGGCACAGTGGCTCACACCTGCAATCCCAGCACTTTGGGAGGCTGAAGCAGGAGGATTGTTTGAGCCAGGAGTTCAAGGCCACCCTGGGCAACATGGAAAAATCCCATCTCTACAAAAAATACAATTAGCTGGGCCTAGTGGCGTGTGACTCTCTGTAGTCCTGGCTTCGTGGCAGGCTAAGCCAAGAGGCTCTCTTGAGCTAGGAGGTCGAAGCCACAGTAAGCTGTGATCATACCACTGTACTGCAGCCTGCACAACAAGACCCTGTCTTAAAAAAAAAAAAAAAAAAGACCAAAATGTCCCCTTGCCATACTATTTGGATGGCAAGGGGACATTCTGACCAGCTTCAGAAAAAAAGTGAGAGAGTGGCCAGGGAAGGAATCTTGGAATAAAAAGTACAGCTAGAGAAATTAAGTGACTTACCGTAATGGCCTTTACTTCTTGGCAAATCATTTTCCGTAAAGAATTCTGATCTTCTGCCCATCGAGGTGGTGTTTTGGGAGAATACTAAAAAAAAAAATAAAAATAACAAAAGAGCATTTAAAACACTTAGAAACAATTTCACAATGAAATGATTCCATTCTTTCCTGTTTACCTTGTAACTTTTACTTGGTGATAGTGAATATTTGGTAGGAGATGGTGTAGAATGTTTTATTTCTGAATCTGCATTTCGCAAAGAACCATTTTTATAGAGAGGACCTCCTTCACTATAGTCTTCGAGTTCCTGCATGACTGACTTAAGCATCTCTTTTACAGACTCCAGGGGCACAGGCAACTAAAAATAAAAGACATTAATTAAGGGCTTTCATTTGCAAAAAATTCCAAAAGTAAAAACTCTAAAATGATATATTTTATCTTATTTACATTTTTGTCATTTTAATAAGCACTTTACACTTTAAATAATAATACACGTGAAAGTGTTTTTTAATTATCTTTTTTCTTTGTTTTTCTGCTGTTTTGTATTATTATTTTTATTTTTTTGTCTTTATTCTATTTTTTTCTTCATGAACACAGAAAAGTGTTGTACAATCTAACATCTTCTGATTCTAAAGTCCATGCTCTTTCTATTACTTCTGTTAACCATGATAATTGTAGAGGAATGTTAACTTGGAAAGCTTTTCCAAGTGAACAAAATAAGTTACTGATGTTTTCTAACTGATTTTCAATGGTGACAGAAATACAGATGCTACAATACACCAGACAACATAAATCCTAATAAAAGAGTAGTAACACAAATTAATCAACAAAACACTCAGAAGACTGAACATAATTTAACATCATCATGACAATCTCAAACAGCTGACAGCAAGAAAACAAGGGCGTTCATAATGGCTGATGAGGATGAGAAGAAATGCTCTTAAGTTGTCAGCAACAACTTTCAATTTCAGCAAAGTTCATTAAGAATTAGTCCTGAGGTTATAATATTTGTTTTGATTACACTGCTAAGATAACACCTAGATTCCCAAGTTTAAAAAGACACACCAAACCTAAGACAAAGCAAGCAAATATAAGCATTTAGACACACACATCCCTTCTGTGCATTAATAACAACATATTACTGAGTATTTTTGAAATTACCAAAATATAAGACCAACGCAAAAACACTGACCAGTGGGTTATCAGTAAGAACGTACATACAACAACCTGCTACTTACTTTCTTGACCACTGAAAGATTTGAATCACTGTCATCTATAATCTTTATTAGGTAGTCCCTGGTCTTTCTCAGATAATTTTTGCATTCTTCTTGTTCTTCAGGAAAAACGGCATCATTTTCAATGTCTTCTGCTTTCCTGTGAAAAATCTATACAAATAGTGCTTTTATGAAATCATTAGCTTTTTAAAACAAAAAACTTTCAGCTTGGCCACGCATGGTGGCTCATGCCTGTAATCCCAGCTACTCGGGAGCTGAGGCACAAGAATCGCTTGAGCCTGGGAAGCAGAGGTTGCAGTGAGCCAAGATTGTGCCACTGCACTCTAGCCTGGCCAACAGAGAAACCCCGTCTTTTAAAAGAAATAATAAATAAATAAATAAAACTTTTAGCTCAAGTACTGCATCTACTTACCAGTGCAAGATTCCAATAAGAAACAACACTTTTTATAGATTCAAAAGCAGTCACAGCATCTTCTATATTTCCATGTACTGCATCCAATATAGCAAAAGTTATGTGTGCATCTTCTTCATACTCAACAATTTCTGATGCCTAAACACACAGAATAGTTTTTAGTCAAATTGTTTATACTCAGAATATAAAACCCAAATGATTTTCCAAAGATTTTATATGATCTTAAGAGACAAACATCTCATTACTCTTCTCTGTCATATCTTATCTGTGAGAGCTAGTGAATTTAGAAAACAAGATTACCGTTAAATAACAAGGCAATTAATTTAAGCAGTTTATAGCTCCACGTCTTTGTTTATAAACTGGAAATTCCCATCTCCAATAAATTCATAAAGGAACTCTGTTACCTGAATGTCTACACTATGAAAATGTTTAAACAGAGGATCAATAGGTTCAGGAATACTGTTCTTCTTTATTATCTTCAACAATGGCAAAACTTTCTTCCAATAATGAACACTTCTCCCTATGTATTCTTGTTGATCATAAGAAGAATTAAGACCCCTGCCCTAAAAAAGAAAGTTAAAAGCACACAACTTTAAGGAACACGCATGATTAGATCTAAAGTTCATTTACAGGTTGTAAGAACTGGCTAAAATTTCAAGTCAAAACCAAATGGTACCTCAATAGTCATTTGTTCAACTTCCAAATACTGTAATAACTAAACCACCTTAATACCAGTGAACTCACTGCAACCTCTGCCGTGCAGGTTCAAGCAATTCTCCTGCCTCAGCTTCCCAAGTAGCTGGGATTACAGGCACCTGCCACCATGTCTGGCTAATTTTGTAGTTTTAGTAGAGTTTTTTTTTGTATTTTTAGTAGAGACGGGGTTTCACCGTGTTAGCCAGGAATGATCTCGATCTCCTGATCTTGTGATCTGCCCGCCTCGGCCTCCTAACGTGCTGGGATTACAGATGTGAGCCACCGCACCCGGCCTCTACACTCAACTTTTAAACACTTCTAATGATACCACCCTAATGTAGCAATCCCAACTACTTTTTAACAGTTGCCATTTTTAGATAGCTGAAACCTGCCTCTTCTGTAGTGTCAGTTTGTTCAAAAGGCTGACCATCTTCACCTAATGGTGACACAAAACAAACCTTAAATATTTAGAAAGATCTATAATGGTCTTACCTACAAAGCCTTGTGCTAATTTTTTTTTTTAATTTTCAGGCTGAATAATTATCAGAACTTAATTATTAAGGAATAACAGTAACAGCTCAGCTAATATGTAACATTCACTGTGTGCCAGGCATTGCTCCTCTAAGTGCTTATATTTAACTACATTAACTATTTTGCAGCAATAAAAAACACATCTGTCATAATATGACCAAGCTGCTGTTTTCTGAACAAAAAAACTTTCAATAAAAAGTGCATGATTTTAAAAAATTAAGGTAATGTTCTTTAAAAATGCTTATACTTTAAAACTCACCATTTTCTGAAGGCATTTTGCCCAATGTACAAGCAGAGCAGGTTGAAGGCCATGTTTTTCCTGGGCTCTTAGAGTGTTTATTTCATGCTGAACTACAAGTCTCAATTCTGCTGAGTTTCCAGGTCTAAAAAATACTTCAATTTACTAAAATTGTTTTCTAAATACACAGTTCAGCGCTTACATACATATATGTTAATGGGTCACATGACAAATTAAATCTTCACATGAGGATTAAATCCCCGGTAAAACCTACGCACTAAGTGAAAGCAATATTTTTGTTTTACTACTTACACTGCTTTTCTGTGAATCAGAGTACAAACCGCATCCCACCAAGATTTTTGTCTCTCTGTACAAAGCCGTTTACACACAGGAAGGGGCAGGCATAACGGCTGATAGGAGCTGTGGTGAGAATTACATTTCTCCTTTAATTGTAAGTGGCTGGTATATACTACTCCAAGGAGAAATACCTGTTTTATTTAAGGAAAAGTTAAGTTAGAAAAAAAAATTAAACAAAATTCAGAATATTTAATTTGTTAAAATCTTTGCTTACTTCAAGATCTAAAATACATATTGATTCAGGTGCATTTGTTTCAAGCCTTGAGGTTTCCTGGGGCAAATGATGGAAAAGCTGTTTTAGCCATTTTCGGATTCCAGGTAAAGCAGGCAATGAATTCCACTGTAAGCCAAGCCAAGTAAGGTGCTGAAGACTACCATTATGTGCTTGAATAGCACCTGAAATAAAATAAAAAAATTGGCTTAAGGGTTCGAAATTTTTCTTTGTGCCATTAGTTTTGCCAACATAAACAATTCACATTATATATATCTTAATTATATAACTGCTTTTCTATATCAAAGCTGGAGGGAATTCTATGTTAGGCAAAATCTCATGTTCTTATTAAATGCATTCTCACTTGATTATTTCTAGAAATTTTAATAAAAATAGTAGTGATGAAGAATGTTTAAGTCCATCTTAAAAAATGACACTGACTAGAACTCAATAAACCAAAATCAACTGACAAAAGCCAAATAAAGAACACCTAACCTAATAAGAAACCCCAAAACAATGGGTTTTCCTTTAAGTCATTAAAGCAATGGAACACCACTATATTAATCCATCGGTACAGTAAAGAAATCTGTTTTTCTACAAGAAAGTCAATATTGAAAAGGTTATGTGCAGTCAGGAGTTCGAGACCAGCCTGGCCAGCATGGTGAAACTCCGTCTCTACTAAAAATACAAAAAATTAGCCGAGCATGGTGTCACATGCCTATAGTCCCAGCTACTTGGGAGGCTGAGGCAAGACAATTGCTTGAACCTGGCAGGCGGAAGTTGCAGTGAGCCGAGATTGCACCACTGCGCTCCAGCCTGGGTGACGGAGCGAGACTCTGTCTCAAAAAAAAGAAAAGAAAAGAAAAGAAAAGGTTATGCGCTTCTGGAAGCATGAAGAGGTATAATCTTTCTGTCATTTTGGCAATTTGCAAGACTTAAAGATGTTCATGTCCTTTGTCTCAGTAATTCTGTTTTTAGGTATCTCTATGGAAATAACTTGCAATGAAGACACTTTTTGTTGAAGTTTTTATCAGAGTATGATTATTAACAGTGGAAAAGTTGAGAAAACTTGGATGCCCAATAACAGAAAGTTGCAAGCAAATTATGACTACTTCATAAAAAAGATTATATTGCCAATAAAAGTGATATTTATAGTTTTAATACAGAGACTATGGGAGAGAATTCATGAAGGAAGCAAGATAAATCATACATAAACAACCATTTAGATGAAAAATATGGTCAGATGCAGTGGCTCATGCCTATAATTCCAACACTTTTGTTTTTGAGACGAAGTCTCGCTCTGTCGCCCAGGCTGTAGTGCAGCAGTGTGATCTTGGCTCACTGCAACCTCCACCTCCCGGGTTGGAGCGATTCTCCTGCCTCAGCCTCCTGAGTAGGGACTACAGGCACATGCCACCACCCCCGGATAATTTTTGTATTTTTAGTAGAGATGGGGTTTCACCATGTTGGCCAGGATGGTCTCGAACTCCTGATCTCAGGTGATCTGCCCGCCTCGGCCTCCCAAAGTGCTGGGATTACAGATATGAGCCACTGTGCCAGGCCTAATCCCAACACTTTGCGGGGCTTAGGCAGGAGGATCACTTGAGCCTAGGAGTTGGAGACTAGCCTGGGCAACAAAGGGAGACCCTGTCTCTACCAATTAAAAAAAAAATTATCTGGGCCGAGTGGCATGTGCCTATGGTACCAGCTACTCAGGAGGCTGAGGCAAGAGAATCCCTTGAGCCCAGAAGTTCAAGGCAGCAGTGACCTACGATCACGCCACTACACTCCAGCCCAGGTGACACAGCGAGACCCTGTCTCAAAATACAACAAGGCTGGTCGCGGTGGCTCACTCCTGTAATCCCAGCACTTTGGGAGGCCAAGGCAGGTGGATCACCTGAGGTCAGGAGTTTGAGACCAGCCTGACCAACATGATGAAACCCCGTCTCTACTAAAAATACAAAAAATTAGCCGGGCGTGGTGGTGGGCATTTGTAATCCCGCTACTTGGGAGACTGAGGCAGTAGAATTACTTGAACCCGGGAGGCAGAGGTTACAGTGAGCCGAGATCGCACCACTGCACTCCAGCATGGGCGACAAGAGCAAAACTTGGTCTCAAAAACAACAACAACAACAAAAAATACATGCCACCCCTACAGCACCACATTCAAACTCCCCCCAGCCCAACCCACACACAAAAGGAATACAGGAAAATATTAAGTCGTTATTTCTGGGTAATAAGATTATGGGCAATTTATAATAATTAAGACGGAGACCATTTCCTCTGAAACATATAACTTACCAACATCGTATCTAGCCAAATCTTCAAGCTCTGGTTCTTGTACATCAATGTTTCCAATATCATCGCTACCAAGAAAAGATGTATCCTTAGATGACTGACTAGAAAACAGAGCATTATATAACACAGACTGCCCGCTTTTGTTGGCAAAAGTTTCAACAACCTCTTTTAAAAAATCTTGCTTGCCACGACTTAAGTTTAGCAACATATGCCCTGAAAAAAAAATTTAAGTTATTTCCATCACTTTAAAAATACAGATTGTATTTGCTCACGTTGTCTCATTTGTATACCCAAAGGGGAAATAACATGATTATTGCAGACCTAACCCTCCAACCCAAAAAATACAGCTGGACAACAAAACGGGTGCTTATGTAGCAAATGAAAAGAGTACAGGTTTAATATTCTCAGTATCTACATAAGACAGCAGAAGGGGGAAAAAAGACAGGAATGTGTATGAAAAATGCCAAACATATTTGCATTTTAGATGAAAAGGTCTGGATTTAAGTGGCCATAGGAGAACAGGGACAAGCTCTTATTCTCTGATCTGATACACTGATTTCTGAACCTGGCTGATCAGAATCCTCCTTTAAACAGCTTTTAAGAATTATTTCCGGCTGGGCACGGTGGCTCATGCCTGTAATCCCAGCACTTTGGGAGGCCAAGCTGGGTGGATAATGAGGTCAGGAGATCAAGACCATCCTGGCTAACACAGTGAAACTCCGTCTCTACTAAAAATACAAAAAAAAAAAAAAAAAAATTAGCCGGCCCTGGTGGCGGGCGCCTGTAGTCCCAGCTACTGGGGAGGCTGAGGGAGGAGAATGGCGTGAACCCGGGAGGCGGAGCTTGCAGTGAGCCGAGATCACGCCACTGCACTCCAGCCTGGGCGACAGAGTAAGACTGTCTCAGGAAAAAAAAAAAAAGAATTATTTCCAGGCCTTGTTCCCAGAGATTTTTATTCCATAGGTTTACAGTAAGCAATCAAAAAATCATAGTCCTCGGATAAAATACTGATACATGCTATAACACAGATGAACCTTGAAAACCTTGCTAAATGAAAGAAGCCAGTCACAAAAGACCACATACTACATGATTCCATTTATGTGAAATGTTCAGAAGAGGCAAACCGGCCGGGCGCGGTGGCTCACGCCTGTAATCCCAGCACTTTGGGAGGCCGAGGCGGGCAGATCACGAGGTCAGGAGATCGAGACCATCCCGGCTAAAACGGTGAAACCCCGTCTCTACTAAAAATACAAAAAATTAGCCGGGCGTAGTGGCGGGCGCCTGTAGTCCCAGCTACTTGGGAGGCTGAGGCAGGAGAATGGCGTGAATCCGGGAGGCGGAGCTTGCAGTGAGCCGAGATCCCGCCACTGCACTCCAGCCTGGGCGACAGAGCGAGACTCCGTCTCAAAAAAAAAAAAAAAGAAGAGGCAAACCTACAGAGACAGATTAGCGGTTGCCAAGGCTGAGAGGTTTGGGTAAAATGGGGAGTAACTGCTAATAGGTAAGAAATTCCTCATGGAGTGATGAAAATCTTCTAAAACTGACTGTGGTGACAGTGGTAATACTCTATGAACATAGTAAAAGCCACTGAACTGTACACTTTAAATGGGTGAAGCGTATGGTACATGAATTATATTTCAATTCAACTTTTTTTAAAAACCCTCCTTTGAGTTAATTCTGCTGGGCAATTAGGTTTGGTTACCACTACACAGTTGTGTCTCAGCACACTTACAGAGGCACCCTCGGGATGCCCAGATCAAAGACATAAAAAAAAAATACAGGCAATTTTCATCTAACTGTGACACCATGCAAAGGCACTTATGAGAGCCCTGCAAGGGTAGAAGGAAAAGAGAAAAGGAAAAAAGTAGAAAGTCACTTTAAGGACTGAAAGCCTAGCTCCCACAAAAAAAGTGGGCTATGGAATAAAAGAGCAATGTGAGCTTTGGCCAACAGCCTAACTATACACCAAAGCTTATAATAACTTTGATTTAATATTACATCTTGCTCTTTACAAAATTCATCCAATTTTATATCAAAACTGCTCCTTATAGGAAGCATTATGTTTCTTCAGTTCACTGCTTGATTCAATGGCCATCTAACTACCTTAAAGTTTGTATCTTAGCAAAATCACAGGTAATATGCAACAGACCTTTAGGATTCATCCCAAGCCAAAAACGGGGGAAAAAAATCCACAAATTCCAAGAGCCTAATATAAGGTAAGTATATATCTTCTATCTTCCTCACTATGCTCTCAGCTCTTTAAGACAGATCCGTATCTTCTTCATCTTTATATCCCCACAGCAGTGTTTTTAGAATCAGCTGGTGTTAAATGGTTGGCAAATCAATAATTATACTTAGTTCAGGAAGTGACTAAATATTCAGGCTAGAGGCTCTAGCAGCCAGATGAAGAAAGAGTTAAGAAATCCTCTCCACATAGGAACAAACAATATCAAATATTCATTTTTTTTAAAGAATGTGCTATTTCTTCGCATCTCTTCCATACCTATTGCTCTTAACTGATACGGCAAAAAGAAATAATTTTGACAAATTATCTCCTGGACAGATGAAGATTTTATCATAAGATATGCCTTAACAGAAATTCCTTTTTCTTTTTAAATTAAATTAGTTTAATATTACTATTACCTGATTGGCTCAGTCGGTCACAGGCCATCATTTCCAGCAGATTTTGTCCAGCTTCACCTTTTATTAATTTAATCTTTGGTCTTGGAACCTAATAATTTTAGAATCAAAAATCTTAATTTGATGATACCCATACTTCTAATAGTAACATGGTCTTGTCTATTACACTGTACTTTTTTTGATAATGAATAAACAGTTAACCATTAATTAAACTGAATTGGAAAAGACTGCAAAAACTGGGAACCAAGGAATTTATATAACCTATGAAAGATAGGCCAGGTACAGGCGTGGTGGCTCACACCTGTAATCCCAACACTCTGGGAGGCCAAGGTGGGCTGATCACTTGAGGTCAGGAGTTCGAGACCAGCCTGGCCAACATGGTGAAACCCAGTCTCTACTAAAAATAATAAAAAAAAAAACAAAGAGGCAGGCGTGGTGGCACACACCTGTTAATTCCGGCTACACGGGAGGCTGAGGCACAAGGATAGCTTGAACCTGGGAGGCAGAGGTCGTAGCGCGCCGAGACTGCGCCATTGCACTCCAGCCTGGGTGAAAGAGCGAGACTCCATCGCAAAAAAAAAAAAAAAGAGGGGCCAGACATGTTGGCTCACACCTGTAATCCCAGCACTTTGGGAGGCCGAGGTGGGGGGATCACTTGAGCCCAGAGTTCAAGACCAGCCTGAACAACACGGTGAGACCCTATCTCTAAAAAAAGTTTTTTTTATTAGCCAGGAGTGGTGGCACACAACTGTGGTCCCAGCTACTCAGGAGGCTGAGGCAGGAGGATCACTTAAATCCAGGAGGTCAAGGCTGCAGTGAGCCATGATCATGCCACTGTGCTCCAGCTTGGGTGACAGAGTGAGACCCTATCTCCAAAAAAAGAAAAAAAAAAAAAAAGCATACACAGAGCAGCTCTGAGAAATTAGTTTCTACTAAAAGCACATTCGTGTTACATTCAGAGAAATGGAAAATTTAATTATATTACTTTTCTGCCCTGAATAAATAGGACAACAGCAGATGTTGTCCTATTTGAGTAGATATGACACCCTACTTTAAAAAGTACAGGTGAAATGACACTTGGAAATGCCACATTGTAGATAACACATTTTCAGAGTATGGATAACAGGGGATAGCACTAGAATAAATGGGACAACCAGGAAATTAAAGAGATCCTAATGCAATAACCTATGGAAAAAAAAAAAGCATGATGAATAGAATGGCGAAGGGAAGACGTGACAGCTGCCTTCAGGTATTAAAATTATTTTATAAAAGAAATCATCAAAAGAAGAAACAAGACCAACAGGTAGAAGGCTTGAAGAATATTTTTATTCTATATAAGGAAGTACCAAGAGCCAAACCACCTAAAGATGCACTGGGCTATCTTGAAAAGTAATGAATGCCCATCACTGAAAACGTCCAGTCACAGGCAATGCCCACTTACTAGAAACATGCCAAAAGTAACTATATGGGTGACTAGAGCATCGGCTTTTAATTCTATCACCACTTTCTTAATTGGTGGTGGAAATGTAATTTGATACAACCTCTTTAGGGTTAGATATTTGGCAACAGCTCTAAAAATTATAAATGCACAGATATACTTTGATACTGCAATTCTTTCAGGAATTCATGGCACAAGTTAATCATTGCTAAATTACTTGAAGTAGCATTAAAAAAAAAAGTAAAAGCAAGCTAATGTCCTGGTTTTAGGACCCTGGTTTTAAAAACTCCAAAACTACAGTACATCCATACAATGGAATAATATGCAAGCATCCAAACTAATGAGAATGCCCTTTATATATACTGACATGGAAACATCTCCAAGATACAGTTAATGGAAATAAAGTAAATGCAATGTTCAAATGTTTTCCTCCTTCCTTTAAAGACAGGGGATATATGTGTGTTTACTTGGAGATGCATAAAACATTTCCTGAAGAACACACAAGAAAGCAATAACATTAGTTTCTTTGGGGCTGGAGAAAGTAAATAACTAGGGAACAGAAAGGAGTCTTCATAGCATATTCTTAAGAGCCGCCAGAATTTTAAACCATGTATATATAATTCTTTCCAAACATGCTCATTTTTCAAAATATATGATTTATGAACCTAAAAGCTTCTGATTTTGAATTTTAGAAATATTCATATCGCCTATCCTTTTACTCACAAGTTTTCTAAACATCATGTCAAAGTTTGTCATCTATATGTTGAAAAGAGCACACAAAGTAAGAAACAAAATGTTGACATCATTCTTTTTGTTTTCAAACTGACCTCAATTCATAAACCCGGCCTCTTTTACAAAATTATTCAACAGTTGAATCTGTGACCAGTTAATTAGTTGTGAATCCACTCAATCAAATCATCTCAATTCACTATTTCCTCTTTTTTTTTTGAGATGGAGTCTCGCTCCGTCGCCAGGCTGGAGTGCTGCAGTGGCACGATCTCGGCTCACTGCAATCTCCGCCTCCTGGTTTCAAGCAATTCTCCTGTCTCGGCCTCTCAAGTAGCTGGGACTACAGGCACCTGCCACCATGCGTGGCTAATTTTTGTATTTTTAGTAGAGATGGGGTTTGACCATGTTGGTCAGGATGGTCTCAAACTCCTGACCTCAAGCGATCCGCCCGCCTCAGCCTCCCAAAGTGCTAAGATTATAGGTGTGAGCCACCACGCCTGGCTATTTCCTCATCTTAACTAAAAGGTTTCAAGATACTTTGTTAACTACCTAGCTGCAATGCAGATGCACTTACTAGAACCACAGTATTCCTCTGATTAAGAGTCTGAAAATCTTGCCATAAAAGTTAGCCAATTCTTAAATACCCAAATGCCAGCACATAACCTACATTTTATGCTTATAATCATTTGTTCATTAAGCTTTAAAATAAACTGATCAAATAAAATACAAGCATCTAAGATGTTTCTATTATATATTCATTCTACAGAAATATGTGGTAGCTAATAAAGACTGAGGTAGGTATCTCTGTGCTGAAGTGGAACAATGAAGAAACATTCAGAAAAGCAAGGCATCTGGCAATAGGTAAAGCACACCCACATTGAGGCACAATATTTTTTAAAAGCAGAGAAAGAATGTATTGCACATTTGCATATGCAAAAAATATTTCTGAACACCCAAGAAACTCCTAACAGTAGCTGTCATCTAGGAAAGGAG